>NC_000001.11:182578526-182881556 GCF_000001405.40 Homo sapiens | reverse complement strand
CTCACAAAAACGTATCTCTGCTTCTTCTCCACCCATTCTAAAATAAATTGGCATGAGAAATCATTCTCTAAGACCAGAGAACTAAATACAAATGAGAAACTACAGACAGCTCACCCAAATCTTACTCATACCTAGCATCATCCCAGGCTTGGAATACTGATAAAAGGGCTACGTGATCAGAAAATCTGTTTCCAGCAAAATTTCGATGGATATAGCCCAGCCGCTTTCCTTCATTGATGAAAGGCTCTGGAAAGCAGGTAGCAGCAGCAATGGTACAGATAGCATCTCCCACGCTGAAATACACAAAGACAGTTAAATCCAGACTAGATCACAATGTTGTTGCCAGCAGCTCAGGTAGGACTGTCGACTGTGGGTTGCAGTCTTTATGGCTATGATTCTACTTTTATTTGCAATGAAACTGGCTTAACAAAGAACTTTATAGCTGCTCTCTTCAGAATCAGAAAGAAAAAAATGCTCTGATGCTCTAATGGCCACATATTTATCATAAATTATGACCAAGTATATTTTTCCTTTTATATTCTCTCTTCCCCATCATACCAAATCTCTTAATCTTCAACATTTTCTGATAAAATAAACCTCTTTTCCTGACACCGCTCTTTCAAGACCAACTATTAATAACAAGGGACCCTCCCACCCTGGCCTCCCAAAGTGCTAGGATTCAAGGTGTGAGCCACATTGCCTGGCCTGCTTGCTTTTAACTTTTGAGAAATCAGTGCCCTTTTCCCCATATTGGGCCCAGATATCCACCTACTGGAACTGTTCATTTTTTTAGTGTTACACTGCTCTCAATATCTAGGTATGTTACTTCCCTGAAGAACATTTAGGATTTTTTTTTTGTCTATCTGAGCCAATACTGCTTTTACAGGGAGGAGAAGATTCTGAAATTATTCTGCCACTTAACGAAGAGAAATAAAACAAAGCACTTACTAGAAAATACACCCCATTATCATCATTTTGCCAAAACGAGGCTCAATGGGGAGTTTAGCCAGGATTCGTCCCAAAGGAGTCAACTCATCATTGGCATCTAATGCATCAAGCTCTGTGGGGAGATAGTTCTTTGTGAGCAGAAACAAATGAACACTAATTTTAGGCAGACAAAACATTACTCTAAATTAAGGTTAAGACAGTTTAGAGTTCCTCTTTTGTCAAGCCAATCGCTAATACCATGTCTACGGCCAACAATTCTCTGTACTCAAAAATAGAACAAAATCAAAATCTGGAGCACCCAACATAAAGGTACTACAACTAAATCCTGTAGGTTATAAAAACAAATACAATTCATATGAAGTCTATAAATACAGTATTAACTATAATAGCAGCGTAAGTTTCTACATGCCATAAGAAGTCTGATACCCAGCTGTTAATGTTTTAAAAAAAATAAAATCTAGAGAAAATTCTGAAGTTACATAGTAGATAAATGCTAGATTCAAAATTCAAATTCAGATCTAGCTCCAATGCCCTTAATTTTCACTGTACCTCTAACAAGTTTAGCAAGAAAAAATAAATGTTCCAGGCTGGACACAGTGGCTCCTGCCTGTAATCCCAGCACTTTGGGAGGCTGAGGTGAGTGGATCACTTGAGGTCGGGAGTTTCAGAAGAGCCTGGCCAACATGGTGAAACCCTGTCTTAGTAAAATATAAAAATTAGCCGGGTGTGGTGGTGTATGCCTGTAGTCTCAGCTACTCGGGAGGCTGAGGCAGAAGAATGGCTTGAACCTGGGAGGTGGGGGTTGCAGTGAGCTGAGATCACGCCACTGCACTCCAGCCTGGGCAATGGAGCGAGATTCCGTCTCAAAAAAACAAAAAAAGTTGTAAGAGATTCATATGAAATACTGTGGGTATCATGAGTAAGTTATGTTCTGATCTTTAGTACATAGTTAAGAGATGCCTTTTTAAGTTTTCTTTTCTTTTTTAAAGACTCACATTGTCCCTTTCTTCCTTCTCATTGCTCATTAGAACAGTGACTATACTAACTATCTAAGGTAAGACTGGAGGCCTTACTATTATTATCACAGCCCTGTTGACTACATCTTCATCATCTTGATTCATTTGTAAGTGTTATCTGCCAGAACAAGACAGATGGTATGATTAATATCTGCGTCAAGTAGGTTTGTATTTGTAAGTACCTCTAAGAGTGTGTTCTGCTTCAATCACAGCATCCAAAGGGGGAGGTTCAATTGCTTTGGCCAGAAATTGGCCAATTCCTCCTAGACGCAGAAGTTTTATGCTAAGAGCAATTTCATGCAATGGTGTTCGGAACATCTCTGGTGTCATGTGGGTTTCAAGTCTAAGAGAAAATAAGCATAAAATAACCATCCTCCTTGTGTATACACAGATGTTAATAAACTTTTTGCAGCAAGGTAATCAGGGATACAGAGCTGCCTTTTCCTCATCCTTTTATTTTACAATTACCATCGGACCTTTTATCGTTCACTATACACACTGTTGACAAAATTTAATCTGGTTGCATAGTGGTTTCTGACTTATCCTCACAGCTTGATAGCCTTTTAGGCTGAGAAGAAAAATGAAAAAATTATCCAAAATCGCGAATGTTATTAGCTCCACCCATGGTCTCTTCAGGCCTTGCCTGTTGACAAACATGGGTTAAAAACGACAACAAGACTTTTTGTAGGATGATAACTCATACTAACATTTCTCTACAACCTCCCACCTTCCTAGTTCATGTAATTTTAGTGCCACTAGAAAGGCTCTTATAGATGTATCTTTAAAATCCAAAACTTTTTGACTTCTGACATGACACTTAAAGGAAATGCTCATTAGAGCGTTTTGGATTTCATATTTTCAGATTAGGGATGCCCGACTGGTAAATACAATGCAAATATTACCAAGAAAAAAAATCCAAAACCACTTCTGGTCCCAAGCATTTCAGTTTTAAAAGAGATATCTGACCTGTATAAATTAACAACAGCAAACACTTATTGGGAGATCATGATGTGCCATACACTGTTCAAAGTATTTTACATTATTAAATCATTTAATACTTATACCAACCCTATGGGTTAGGCATTATTTATATTCTTTTTACAACTGAGGAAACAAGAGAGGTTAAGTAACTTAATATTTTATAGAATGAGGGAAATGCAGGCCTAAGGAGTAACCACTTAGTGTTATACAATGTATTAGGCACAAATAATATTAAAATCTAGGTCTCTATATTTCTAAATCTGGCTTATTCTCTAAATGATTTGTGATGAAGATTCTTACGAAACATTTACACCTGATTCCAACATGGCTGGCAAGACTTAGATCAGCTTATATTGGCAGGTTTACATAACTGCACACATCTGTCCCTACAGAGAACAGAACAAAAATCCCTTACTAAAGGTCAAGAATGGGTCTTACCTCTCAAAACGAGCTCGGCTGCACAGGTGAAAGCAGAATCCAGGCCGTACTCGGCCAGCTCGCCCTTTCCGTTGCTCAAGGTTTGTTTTTGATGCCCATACGGTAGCATAGTTGGTCATATTGTTGTGAGCAGTGAAGAGTTTCACTTTCTGCCTACATAGGAAAAAGTGGTTAATTCTAAGACTCATGTGTATTATCAATAACTATTATATATCCACTAAGTAGTGAATGCTTTCCACTATGTAGTTAAAGCCATACCTACTTGTGATGTCTATTCATGAATGGCACAAGTAAGAATCAGCAATCTGACTGCAAACTCCTAGTTGTCAACCTACTAAAAGGCAATGTAACATCCACTTGCCACTTATCAGCTGAACTGCCTTGGCCAAACTTTGCATGCCATTATCTACCTTATAGTTTTTTTGGTAAACATTAAATAAATTAACAAATGCAAAGCATTTAAATGGAATATGGCACATACACAAAAGAAAGTAATTATTTAAGTCATCTCTATTCCAAAGTTTAGTGTAACTTTTAGGATATCTGTATCTAGTGATGCCTGTGTGGTCCATTTGAACCCCCAAGTAACCTCAGATTCCTTCAATGTTACATACAGAGACAGCTGCCACTAAATGACTGGGATTGGCACAGAATGCTATTCATCATTTCCTAAAATGGATGTTGGCAGCAAATTGTTTTCATTGTCAGGACAGACTAAGGAATTATAAAGAGAAGTCATGGGGTACAAGTTGGCCAGATATAACCAAGTTTCAACTTTTTTGTCCTTTCAATTTATCAATTACCATGTAATTCCTGTATCTACACAGAATGTCTCCTGGTATATTTTTCCAGGCTCATCTCATACCAAAATGAAGACCCTTAATCCTTAAAGGAGTGTCCTTCAAGGTAGGATATTTGTCATGTGCTAAACACTGGTCATCTTTATTCATCAAACAGCATGCTATAGTATGGCAGTGATCAATGGAAACACCCAATGGGAAATAAGTGAGACACCAGCAGCCAAGAGCAATGAGAAGTAATCATCAGTTACAGTTTCAAGCTTTGTCACTTTCTACCGTAACTGATTTGCAGTAATCAACAATAATTACTCTTAATTATCAATTACCTATAATGCTATATAGATGCACAATAATTTTGGAGATTTAAGAACACAGGAGTTTAAAAATAAGGTGTTTTTGATTCTGTTAACTGGTAAGAAGTTTCCAGTTAGTAACACTGGAGCAGACAAATAGGTTTCCCAGTAACTTACTTGCAGGAGTCAATGACATAAACAACATCGTTTATGGTAATGCTTGTTTCAGCAATATTTGTGGACAAAATAACCTGTGAAGAAAGAAAAATTACACTCCAGAAAATATTCTTATTAGTTACTTAAAAGGACTGATTTGCTTATGTATGTAACAAATGACAAGAAAATTACAGAAGTCCTAAAAAGATCACCCAATAACTGATTAATGAACAACAATCTACTAAGCTCAGAAAGAGAAGACTCCTTTTTTCTTCCTCAATTTAGATGGGTTACAATTTTTTGGGTAGCTCTTTGAAAGCCTGTAACATTTGTTTAGTATCTACGTCACTTCCAATCCCATCACTCTAATGTTTAATATTTACCTTGGTTACTCCAACTGGTACTGGATCAAACACTTTGCGCTGTTCCTCTCGAGGAATCTGAGAATGCAGGGGTAGAATCTGATACCGATGGCTTCCTATATAACAATAAAGAACAATCAGGGACTAAAAACAGGAGCTGGTTTCAAACAGCTCTCCATTATACATATTTTTATTCGAAAGTAGAAACAATACAAAATTTTGTTTTCACATACTGGCTAAGGCACTAGCAAAAACATTCATTTTCACTCTCAAATATGTGAGAATTCAAAGACTCATACCAAAATGTGGATTCATTTCCAAATGCTTCTGCATAGTATAAATCAGATTCCAGCCAGGCAAAAAAACCAACACAGCTCCAGGAACATTAAGGGTTTCAATGTACTTAAGTAGAGCCTCGATGAGTTCAAAAGGAGTTTCCTTTTCGTTCAATTGAGACATGCTCAACCTTGTTTCTGGACCATATTCATCACCACAGATCAAGTTGCAATTTGCCTGTAAAAAACAGGGAGACATATTTTTGGATTGTCTCAGTTACTCATGAGGTAAGTCTTCTAGATTTCTTCTAGTGACTCTAATTACTTGTAATGTCATTATTTATTCTAGTTGACTAGTCACACACTATAGAATACAGAAGAAATTTAATTTCCAAAAATGTAGAGCTTACATCAATATACTGAACTTTTCCACTAATTAGTATTTCTCACAGGATAGGACTAAAATTCAAACACAAACTTAAATTTGACTCAAAACTCTCATGGAGCCTTCTGAGTATATTTCTTTGTATTATTGAAATAATGTATTTTCCAAAAAGTTTACATTTGAATCAATGATAAAGCAAGTTGAGAAACAGTTGTTGCAATTGGTCTTTTTCTAAATTTTCTAATCTGCTGTTCATTTACATCTTCAGATCTTTTGATTAAAAAGATATAATCTTAGGTTTTCTAGCAAATTCTGCATTGCTGGCTGTCTCAGTCTGTATTTCCAGATAATCCATTTCTATACTATCGTCGTCCAACTCTCAAGCACTACAAAGTCTTTTCTTTCCTGTTTCTCCTAGGAAATCCCTCATTGCTCCCTGATTTAATACTCTGTCCACCTGATAATGTCATCACCGGTCTCCTGTAGCTAAAGCTATAGCTGCTGTTTCTTAAACTTTATTGTATATACAGATCACCTGAGGATCTTGTTAAACTGTAGATTCTGACTCAGTAGATCTAGGGTGGGGCACAGCATTCTGTCTTTCTACCAGTTTCCCAGATGCTGCAGCCTACTGAAAAACTTTGAGTAGCAAAACCTTATACAACAGCATTGTCCCTAACCATGCCTGGCCTTTAAACATCGCATTCTTTCTTCTTTTTCCTTTGATCTTTACGCCAGAGATAATTTAACTTGTGATAGAAAACAGCTTGTCACTGAACCTGGAATTTTTTTGCAGTAAAATACATCAATTAATCCAAAGGCAGACATTACAGTCAGTTTTTAAGAAAGTTTGCTGTAATGCTAATACATTGCATGTTACATTAACTCATTTTTTTCTCTGCATTGACAATTTGCCCATAATGGAAATTCTTCATGAAATTCACTTACATCATCATCCTCACCACCATCATCATCCTTATCCTTCTTCTTTTTGTCTTTTGGTGGAGGAACAAAGTGGGTCATCTGAATGCAGTCTTCCAGAAAATATTCTGCCAGGGACAATCCAGTCAGGTTAAGTACTATCAACTTTCACAATGGAGCAGACCTAAATTCATTTGCTAATTCATAGTTCAAAACTACTTTAATACCCCTCTAGTCTGATTCTTCACAAATGCCAAAAAGTTCCAGTAGCAATAACCTTATTTTCCTAATCAAACTCAGTGTTTCCCTCTCTTAGACCTTGAAGGAGGGTGAGGTGTCTTTTATACATGTTCCCAGAGCCAGTTGGGGTATCCTCTGTGTATAACATTCAATCAAACATTTATCTATACACTTCCATTGTGTGGGAGTTATACATGGAAAGAAGTAACTTCAATACAATATACCACAGTCCATCCTTCCTCTATCAGTATGCACACACAAAATGGCTTCTGGTCAATCTGAAGAAGGATCTCAATGCAAGGACTGGAAGATCTGTTGATCAATTATGCCCAAGATTCTCAGATGGCCCCAGAATGTCTTTATAATCAAAACACCCTCTATATCCAAAAACTCCCAAAGTGCCAGTCTCATCACATCATATTAAGGGCATATCCTATCAATATGACTTACTCCTCATGATGTTAAAACTTGATCACCTGTGGTAGTGCCTGCCAAATTTCTCCACTGTAAAGTTACTCATTTTCCCTTCTTCCCACACTGTAGTCTTCAGAAGTTATTAAACACAGCCCACTCAGGGGTTAGGTAGTGTAGGCCCACTTGTTTGAAAAATGGGGAGACCATTTACATAAATTATTTGAAATTCTTTTGTAAGAGGCACTTGTCACTATTCTTTTTATTAAACCACTTATTTACATATCAGTATAGACACACAAATATTTTGTATTTTGGTAATCTAATACCATGTTATTTTTTTTCCTCAAACTGTTCCAGCTTTGGCCATTGGGAACTCTTTCAGGTTGGCTCCTGTGTCCCTTTATCCCCATCGTTATGGGCTTCTTTTAGGCACCTCCTTACTTTAAGGGACAAGATGTTCCAGGCTCATTTTTGTATATTGTTTCATCCTAGAAGCAGCCATTTCTCCAGGAATATCTGGCTCCTTTAGTTGGAGAATGGCATTAAAAACAAAATCTGAATGTGGGGCATATCCCTATCTACTGGGTGTCACTGCTTCTACTCCCACTCAGCACAGAGCTAGAAAAAAATATGTATACTAACACATGTATCCACACCTATCTATAATTATTTCTATACCTATCCATTTGTACCTCCATTTAGCTAAACACACGTTCGTACTGATCTCTTTGAGTATAATCCAGTAACATACGGTTTGTTCTAGCAATCCCACTTATCCTTAACTTCTCTTCCTAGTAGTAAGAAACTGAGCTCCCACCACTTGCCATCCATTTACTTGTATGGCATTTCCAGTACACATGTACAGCAGTTTCAGAATTAACCTGTACCCCAGTGAATTATACTGGCTTAGCATGCTGGCATAGCCATAACATCACTTCGTATCTGTCTACACTGTTTCTCTCTTATTTTCATGCCCTCAATTAGAATGTACCATAATTCTTTTTTTTCCCCCACAGCTACCAGATGACTATCCTAGAAAACTGTGGTAACAACTCCTAAAGACAGTAAAGAAGGCTGGGCGCAGTGGCTCTAGACTGTAATCCCAGCACTTTGGGAGGCTGAGGCAGGCTGACTGCTTGAGTCCATGAGTTTGAGAGCAGCTTGGGCAACAGGGTGAGACCTTGTCTCTACAAAATATACAAAAATTAGCCAGGCGTGGTGTTGTGCGCCTGTAGTCCCAGGTACTCAGGAAGCTGAGATGGGAGGACTGGTTGAGCCTGGGAGCCAGAGGTTGCAGTGAGCCAAGTGAGTGCACCACTACACTCCAGTCTGGGTGACAGAGTGAGACCTTGTCTTAGAAAAACAAAAAGATACTAAAGAACTCTCACTTATCAGAAATACATAACCTTGATACACTTCCTTTAATCTTAATTCAAAATCTAGTTGCTCAGGCTCTAAAAAGGATTCTTAATTTGATCCTGGCTGCTTAAACTTTTAACAGTAATTCCCATAATTACCTATACACCACAGTGATTTCCCTTTGACTATACTTTATAATTTTTAAAAGTTTGGCTTTATAAGTAAAGGCCTGGAAACTTACTGCATATGCAAACTACTCAAGTAGTAAATGAAACCTGGTCTCACTTCTCAGACTGTACTCACTACTGTATAAAATAACAGAAGAGAAACTCCTCAAAAATGCTATGATACATTTGATACTATAATTTGTCCTGTATTTTAAGTATTCTTTAAATTGTAACTCCAATCTCCAGGATTAAGAAAATACAAACCCTATTGCACAAAAGATGTTCCTATACCACCCCCACAATATTACCTTGAACTGGGTAAGTCCTCCCATAAACTTCAATGATGGGGCAATTGAAGAAATATTCACAAAACATGCTGGTATCAATAGTAGCAGACATAAGAACAATGCGAACTTCAGGATAAGCCTGAACAACATCACGCAGTACTACCAAAAGGAAGTCAGTCTATTAAAAAACAAACACAAAATTTTTGAAATTACATTAAGTTTATATAACAAGCTATGCCTAAAAGAGTTATACAGCCATAAGACATCAATTAAATTCAGTTTCTTAGATGACTCACAGAAGTGCCAAGATAAAGGACCACAATGGATCTTTTATCAATTTTTAAGATAACAATAACAATTTTTGAGAACAGTTGTAGCCTAATAGTTGTGATTAGAAATGAGTGCTATTGGCCAGGCCCAGTGGCTCACACCTGTAATCCCAGTATTTTTGGAGGTCAAGGCGGGCAGATAATCTGAGGTCGGGAGTTCGAGACCAGCCTGACCAACATGGAGAAATCCTGTCTCGACTAAAAATACAAAATTAGCCCAGTGTGGTGGCACATGCCTGTAATCCCAGGTACTCAGGAGACTGAGGCAGGATAATCACTTGAACCCAGGAAGGAGAGGCTGCAGTGAGCCGAGCCATGTTGGCCAGGCTGGTCTCAAACTCCTGGCCTCAAGTGATCCACCCGCCTCGGCCGACTATATTTTTAAATTTTACTTACTTTATGGGAATGCATATTTTATGTTGTCTTGGGATTTCCTTTTTTATATACAACAGCATTGCTAAGATTCATCCACACATTACTATACTCATCCTTTCTGATGACAGTTTACTGTCCCAGTGTATGAATATATCAGTTAATTCACTTACTCTTACACATATCTGGCTTCTTTTCAAGATTTACTAATGTGAACATTTGCTACTATGAGCATTCTTGTTCAAGTCTAAACAGGAGTGCTAAACATATCCAAGTTTCTGTAGGTTAAACATGGGTATGGAATTGCCAAGCTATAGGGTATGTAACTGCTGAACTTCGGAAGGTAATGCTTAACTATTTTTCTAAGTGGTACCATTATTTATATATCCCCATAAGCAGTGGATAAGGGATCCTGCTGATCCACATACTCTCCAACATTTTTAGTGTCACTTTTTATTAAATAAACAGATATAAAGCAGTGTCTTGTTGTGATCTAGATCTATACTTTCCTATTAGTCCCAATGAGATTGAGTATCTCCATGTTTATTAGCCAAATGTTTCCTCTTCTATAAAATGCCTGTATTTTTGATCATTTTTCTACTAAGTTGTTTACTTATCTTACTGATTTGTAGAAGTTGCTTATATATTCCTATACTAACATATTGGAATCTTTGAGCTTGTGGTTTTCCTTAAAGTAAGGAAATAACCTTTTGATTAAACAAATAACCTTAATTTTAATATAGAATAATATATTGATCTTTTATTTCAAGGTTAGTGCATTTCATGTTTTCAGCAATCCTTTCAGAAGGTCTAAGACTATGCTGCCCAATACAGTAGCATTAATCTGAATTGAGATGTACTCTGTATGTAAAACACACACCAAATTTTGAACACACCATAAGAAAAATAATGCAAAATATCTCAAATGTAACTTAAAATTAACTGCGTGTTGTAAATATTTTAGATATTCTGGGTTAAATATGTTTAATTTCACCTTTTCACCTTTTTAAATGTGTTACTAGAAAAATTTAAATTATCTATGTGGCTTACATATTTCTTTTGGACAGCACTGTCTAGACGATGCTTATTTATATTTTTATATTTTCTACTTCAGTGTATGAAAAACTCTTTCATGTGTCAACACGTTTAAAGTTCTCAATCTATATGGAATTGATTTTTGTACTTAGTTATGAGGTAGGGAACCGATTTCAACTACTTTGAAATAACCATTAGTTTCCAGTTCCATTTACTTAATTGCTCATTCCCTTTCTCACTAATCTGACATGCCACCGTCTCCTAACAATGTTGCATGTAACATATAACATACAATGTGCTTTTGTGCCCTGTCTTATCCCATCTGTCAACTCATGTACCTCACTGTCTCGATTATTTTAGCTTCAAAGCAAGTCTTGTTATCTGTAAACCAAGATTCTCTATTCTGCTCTTCTTTAGAAATACTGGCTATTTGGGGCCATAAATCTATCTTTTTAAGTATTTATAATCACCTCATCAAGTTATATGGAAAACCTTACTGGGATTTTAATTAGAATTGCATTCAAAATGTGGACCAACTTGAAAATAATTGATATGCTATTAAATCCTTCTACATATAAACATGGTCTTTTTTCAGTGTTTTGTGATAAAACTTATTTTTCTTGGAGAGATCTTGCATGTTTTTGTTTATTCTTAGGTACTAAATACTTTGACTACTGCAATGGTATCTTTTTTTGTTTTTCTAGTTATTTGTGTAAGTATAAAAAATGCAACTGCCTTCGGTATATTACCTTTTATCCAGCCAGACTGTTAAATTCTATTATTTGTAGTAATTGGTCTGTAAGTGCACTTGGGTTTTCTATGTAAGGTGACAGAACTAGGTAAGATTTATCTTGAAAGAGAACAAGAAAAGTTTCTGCAGGCTGGGCACAGTGGCTCATGCCTGTAAATCCCAGCACTTTGGCAGGCTGAGGCAGGCAGATCACCTGAGGTCAGGAGTTTGAGACCAGTTCGGCCAACATGGTGAAACCCTGTCTCTACTAAAAATACAAAAATTACCCAGGTGTGGTGGCAGGCGCCTACAATCCCAGCTACTCGTAGGAGAATCGCCTGAACTCAGGGGCGGAGGTTGCAGTGAGCTGAGATGCCGAAACTTCACTCTAGCCTGGGCGGAAGAGTGAAACTCCAAGACAAGACTGGACTGGACAAGACCAAACCAAACTGGACCAGACCAAACTAGACAACACTGGTCAGGACCAGATAAGACCGGTCAGGACTGGGCAAGACTGGACCAAACCAGACAAGACCTGTCAGGACCAGACAAGACCAGACCAAACCGCAGCAAACCGGGTAAGACTGGTCAGCATCAGATAAGACAGGACCAGACCAGGCCAAACCGGATAAGACTGGTCAGGACTGGCCCAAACCAGATAGGACAAGACCTATCCGGACTAGATTAGACCAGACAGGACTGGACAAGACCGGGCTGAACCAGATAAGACTGGTCAGGACCGGACCAGACTGGGCCGAACCGGATAAGACCGGTCAGGACTGGAGAAGACTGGACCAAACAATACCGGACAAGGTTTCACTGTGAATAGTACACAGACCTCAAGAGACCCATCCACCTCAGCCTCCCAAAGTGCTAGGATTACAGGCGTGAGCCACTGTGCCTGGCCCAGACTTACATCTTAAGTTGCTTAAGCTGACCAAAACTTACTGTTTTAGAAAAATACCAGCGATAATCCATGACATTATTCCAGTGTTTGGAATAATTTAAACCCTAAGAACATTGCTACATTAACAAGCAAAGATAATATCAAAACATTTGTCAATTAAGTTAATTAGGAAAAACCTATAAAGTTTCCAAGAGATTATAAAGGACAAAAGAGCAAAAATTTTGCCCTACTGAAAAGTTACATGATTTATAGTCATCATAAGCCATCCAAACCAGTCTTATTTGCTTTAGCTTAGTTTTGACAAAACTGAAGATGTTTAACAAAAACAGATATAAAAGTAAGAGGAGAAAATCTTTAAGAAATGCTTTGAGGCCAGGAAGGTGGATCACCTGAAGTTAGGAGTTTGAGACCAGCCTGGCCAACATGGTGAAATCCTCTCTCTACTAAAAATACAAAAAATTAGCCAGGACTGGTGGCAGGCACCTGTAATCCCAGCTACTTGGGAGGCTGAGGCAAGGAGAATGGCTTAAACCCGGGAGGCAGAAGTTGCAGTGAGCCGAGATCGCGCCATTGCACTCTAGCCTAGGTAACAAGGGCAAGACTCCTCAAAAAAAAAAAAAAGGAATTAAAATAAGTGTTAGATTATCATGAGATCTAAAATCCAAATTCTTTTATTAACCTTATTTTAAATTTTATTAAATAGCAAGTACATCAAATAATGTCACATTTCAAGCATAACAGTTAAATTTTTTTTTGACTGTTATGCTTGAAATTTGGAAATTCCCAATCCCTGGACACTACTGATTTTTGTCACCACAGATCAGATTTGCTTTTTTCTAAAATTTCATATGCATAAAATTATATGGTAGGTATGTCTCCTCTAGCTTCTTTCTTTTAGAATAATGTTTTAAAGTTTATCCATACTGATGGATGAATCAGTACTTTCTTTTTGTTGCTGAGTACTATTCAATTTTATGACTTATGATATTATGAAATATATATTTTGGTCTTTGACCCCCTTTCCTGGCATACAACTCCTAAAACACTTAGAAACTCTGAAGTGATGTCTTGTGTTTGCTAATGATTGACTGAACTTATGGCTGGTAACCCCTGGGTAACTTCAGGATGGGGGATGGGAGAAGAAAAAAGAAAAAAATAAAAACTAGAAATGCTTTGAGTTATGGTTGACAGTTTAAATAAGCATGCTGCCCATGCACTGAAACCTTTGAAAGTCACTATACTACTTAGCTTGGATATCATTTCATATCATTTAATTGCATAGCAAGTTGATTTTACACAGTTTTTTTGTCAAGGACCAAAAGAGGGAGGGGTTGGAAATAAATTCTAGTTTCTTCCTAATTTTTGGCATGATTCTCATTAACATCTGAAAAGATCAGAGCTGAAAACATCTAAAAGGACTCTTAATTATAAACATTATAGGTTGGGCACAATGGCTCATGCCTGTAATCCCAGCATTTTGGGAGGCTAAGGCAGGTGGATCACCTGAGGTCAGGAGTTCGACACCAGCCTGACCATCATGATGAAACCCAGTCTTTACTGAAAATACAAAAATCAGTCGGGCATGGTGGTGGGCACCTGCAGTCCCAGCTACTCAGGAGGCTGAGGCAGGAGAATTGCTTGAAAGCGGGAGGCGGAGGTTGCTGTGAGCTGAGATCGCGCCACTGCACTCCAGCCTGGGTGACAGAGCAAGACTCTGTCTCAAAAAAACAAAACAAAAAACGATTATAAAATCTATCATAAACTTCCAAATCAAAGAAAAACGAATCATAAAAATTCCATCAGCTATTTAGTCATAAACCATTAGTTCAATTGCTGAATTATGCCAGCTAATACTGATTACTGCAGTTATACTTTACAACATAGGTCTTCACCTCCAAAAGGCTTTCTGTAAAGTTTAACAATAAAGAAAAAAAAGATTGAATAATCTCACTAAAAAAAGATTTTCAACATCTTAGTGACTGAAGTTCATGGTTTTGATAATGATAAAAACGGGGGAAAGGGAAAACAAAGACATTCTACTGATTTCTCTTAGAAATAGCAGAATTAAGTACCTTACTGTACCTCTCAAGTTACTTACATTAATATCTCTTTCATGTATTTCATCTACAATTACATGACTGATTCCTCGAATGCCTGCTTCTAATTTTCTCAGGAGCACACCTTGAAAAGAAAAACAATCAATAAACTATAGAAAAGTTCAAAGTAGTAAATCTATGGACAATTATCTATATTTCAACTAAGAGACCCCAGCATCATTTTAGAAAATAATCA
This sequence comes from Homo sapiens, assembly GCF_000001405.40. NCBI lineage: Eukaryota > Metazoa > Chordata > Mammalia > Primates > Hominidae > Homo > Homo sapiens. Next base: position 182,866,849 of record NC_000001.11, on the reverse strand, counting down.
CATGTACATTTAAACTATTAAAAAGTGATAGTGTACTATGAAATATAGTTTTTTTCACTGATTTTATGATTTCATTTTCTCTAAGCTACAAGATCTAATGGGTATATCATACTTTCCATGAAGGAAAAAACTGCCAAAAGTTTTATTTAAACAAGAAATCTGAGACTGGCTCATTATTTCTTTCCAGTCATTCTGTTCTGCTATCAAGTTTTCTTCACAACCACAATATAAACCCCAAATGAAAAATCAAAATACATTACTGACCTACAGTACAAAACATTATACTGGCATGAGGACGAGGAAGTATAGACTCAAATCGAACGCTGTAGCCACAGCTTTTTCCAGGCTCTTCTCCTCTTTCAAATGCAACTCGCTCTGCCACAGAAACCGCACTGATTCTTCTGGGCTGAGACAGAAAAAAAGAAAAGTGACTTAACAACTACAAAGTTAGATATACTTGTTTATTAGCATTTTTGGATTATTGTAGTAAATCTGTCCTACTGCTAGTTGAATAATTAACAGAAACAATAAATGTACAAAAAATACTATTTGGTTCTACGGCAGACACTTAAAAAATGTTTTTCATTTTGCATATAAAATGATTCTATAATTTGTCATTGCCGCCAACTCTTAAAATAGTATGCAAAGTGATTTTCCAGTAGGAAACAGGGCACAGCATACGTAGGGGGGTTTGTTTTTGTAACCGATCGCCACACTAAAAACAGTTTTAGAAAATTATTTAACTGAGACCTATGGGAATCAGGAAGGTGAACAACTGCCTTCTTTGCCATATGTACTGTGACCACCTTTCTGCTCACTTATTAATTCAGTAATCAAACATTCAATGCACTTTTGCATCAGGTGCCAGAGAAAGGAAACTGAAATCACTGTTTTTGATGAGCTCACATAGCAGGAAAAACTGTGTGTATTGCTATTTCCAACAATCAATCTGCAAAACTCTAAGGGGAATGCTATAGATTAATGTTTAAGTGTTGGATCTTTTTATGAAAACTCTTCTGAAGTGTTCCATGTCTTCTAAGTACAAAAACGATCTTTACTTGGTGGATACTATGAGGACATGCCTAATGTATAGCTACAGAGGTACACGAAGATTTATATACTGCATGCTTTTAAGGTGCCTTGGATTTGATTCTGTCTATAAGTTCCTGATGACAGGCTAGATTTCAGTTCCTTGCTTGTGTATACTATCACCTGGCTCATATTTATCCTGCCCATAAAGATAAAAGATTGAAAGCTACTTTGTTAAACATACTGTGTAGAATTTTGGTAGCTCTTACTGATCACTATCTTCTTTTTACTAAACAATCCTTTTAATAATCTTATTTAGCAATGGATAAGGATTTTTCCACCTATGTCACCATTTTCTTGAATTTCTCTGTATTTCATAGAAATTACCAAAGTTCTGAAGGTTCAACTCCTGTAAGTCAGATCAGCTGTTTAAATATCAACACATTATATATACACGCACTTTCATCCAGAGATTTAATTAGTGAGAATAAAATGAGATACAGACACAGTGCTCTGCACCTCAGTTACCCTGAAAAATAGCGTTACATGAAAGTATGAGCTCTGTATCTGTCCATCAAGAGAATTCTACATACTTGAGTTAAGGAATGTGAAAATGTTATTTCACTAAAGGTACAAAATGTAACCACCAAGTTTTCTGCGTCCTTTCCAAAAGTTGCTTGTATTCTACAACCTATCGTCCCCCTTTTCTACTACTGTCTTCCCTATAGTTTTTCTTTTTTTCTTTTCTAACACTTCTACTAACAGCTGGCTTCTAGAAAGACTTAAAATATTAGGATATTTGACTCTTCTGAGGTGTGTTCACATGCTACTGGTACTCAGAGATTGCTTTGTCACCTTGGGGTTATTTTCAAGTCTACGATCCTTGTGGTTTCCAGATCACTCCTAAACTGAATATGCGCAGGAGATGGTCAGTTTCTCAAGCAGTTATCTATTTTAGTTCTTAACTACCCATAAAACACAAACGTCTTAAATCCCAAGGAAGACATGATAGAGGTTTTAAATACTAATACAGGAGGTGCTAAGAAACCATGATCAGAAGCACTTTTTTGCTGAATTTCTCTAAGTACGACTAGAACATTAATATCATGACAACTATTTCAACAGCAAAGAAATAAATGACCCCGCAATCTCTTTCCCATATTTTATATGCTTCTCTGATTTACCAACTTCCAGTTTCCTCAATAGCCCTTGACTTAAACAAAAAACATTTAAAATACAAGTGTTTTTCATCCCTAGTTGATTTGACTAGAAATCTGTCATTTTTCTTCAGGGGAGTGTGGCAAAATGCACGAAAGTTAAAATATGCATACCCTCTGACCCAACAATTCTATGTCTAGGAATTTAATCCAATTGATCAAAGGCGTATACAAGTATGTTCATCCCAGCACACATATCAAAATATCAGAAAAAATCTTTAAGCCCGGTATGGTAGCTAGCCAGTGAATTCCAACATTTTGGGAGGCCAAGGCAGGAGGAATGCTGGAGGCAACGAGTTCAAGACCAGCCTGGGCAACACAGTGAGACACCATCTCTACAAAAATAAACATCAGTTAGGTCAGGTGATAGAGGCCTCTAGTCCCAGCTACTCAGGAGTCTGAGGCTGGCGGGTTGCTCAGCCCAGGAGTTTGAGGTTGCAGTGAGCAATGATGGTGTGTCCCTGTAATCCCAACAGAGTAAGACCCTGTCTCTCAAGAAACAAGAAATTCCTCTCAGGTTCAAGCGATCCTCCCACCTCAGCCTCCAAAGTACCTGGGACTACCCTGGGGTGCCATCACGCCTAATTAATTTTTGTAGAGATGGAGTTTCGCCATGTTGCCCAGGCTGGTCTTTAACTCCTGCACTCAAATAATCCACCTGTCTTGAACTCTCAAAGTGCTGTAATTACAGGCGTGAGCCACCAAGCCTGGCCTGGGTTTTGGATTTTTAAAAAATTATTCTATTCTTAAAATTTCCCCAAGGTGTATGTATTACTCTTGTAGTACACCAAAAGCAGTAAAAAAAAAAAATCTTCTAATTCTTAATTCTTAGCTCACTAGAAATATTCACAGGACAGGCATTTTGTGTGGGAAAACAATGCCTAACGTGAGCGTATCAATGACTATTTAAACCTTTCTCAGACTGCATGCCACTGTACAGCGTATGAAGATGCTCTACTTATCCCTTAAATAATCTATCACTTTTCCCTTGATCTTCTGTGCTTCAATAATTATTTTATATATTCTGCCACAGTGAATAAATACAAGGCAAGGCTCATAGGTAAAACAAGTTCTATCTATACCTGCACGGCCACTTCTATTATAAGGAATATATACATATTCTATATTACTCAAATATAAATAAGAACCAAGAACACAGAGACATCTAGAAATCGTATTTGTGTAATATAACAGTAAAAACCATGGCAGCAAATATGCCTTATTTATGCTTCAGAATACTAGTAAAATCTTTTCCTGCTGCATTCTAGTAGATTAAAAACACAAGTTCAAAAAGGTTATTTTGCCTAAGGACACATAAATGACTTAAGACTTCAAATTTCCTTTACTCCCAATATAATCCTTTCTCCAATTATTTTACTTTTTATTATTTTAACTATGTTACACTTGGATTACTAAATATGTTAAAAATAAAACAATAACCGACAAAAGTGAGACTAGTTAGAAAGTACCAGTGATGAAAGCAAAGGATAATATTTTTCCAACAGAAAGCTGGAAGAATAGTTCCAACTGTCCTCCAGATATGTGCTTTTAATTTTCATTGCATACATCTGCTTATCTCATTTTCTCTTTAGAATTTTACTACTCTTGCCTGGAGTCCAGCCATAGTAGTAGGTAATTTCAAGTGCTAACCTCTTCCCCACACTTCTGTCTGCTTTAACTGAAGTAGCTCTAATAATATGTACTAAGCAGTCACTGAAATTACTATGTACCAGGTACTGGGTAACTAACACTTTCTATACCATAAGAGGTTGGAGATCTCTCCCAAACTGTTATTTTGTAGTATTCTAGAATCCATACCTTTAATGTACACCTCTTGCCATTTACTCAGAACTACAGCAATTTCTTCCATCTTTCAAAACTGAAGTTCTAAAAGGTCCCAACTTTGCTTTTTCACATCTAAGCGTTATATACACAGTAACATGACTAAGCTGCCACAAAATGTCAAGATTCCTAATGCACTAGATACTACAAAATGTATCAGGCTCCACTATCTCTATCTTCTAAGGTTCTGAATTTATTTTATACAAAGAACCGTTCTTATCCTGAAATGATGGTACTATGGGGTAAGTACAGGATTGATAAAATTACATTAATATGCTTGATTTACATCCTACAATTACAATTCATCTCTTTCAAATAACTTTAAAGGTAGAAGACAACTATTTCCTACTTAAAATTTTCTGCATACAGCCCACAGGTTTTAAGTGGCTTGAGTATGGATAGACCGAAGGATAAAATTCAGTGAGTTTGGTTGAGAATTTACACTAAGGCTGATGTCATGGTTTGAGCTACTCATTCTGTTATACGCCAGTCCATAACTCTAAACTTGTGCTCTGTGAACTGAGATAATACACTTAAAATCAGGAACATAAAAAAACTTTCTAATACTTAACTGATGACTTCATGTGGTTTCCTATAGATGGCTACAAGTGCAAGATAATGGAAAAATGATTCAACAGTGGTAGTACTACAAAAATAACTAATGCTATCTCAGACTGTGCCAAAAGAAGTACAGTATATTAAAAACAAAAATAATAAAAAACTGTATTCTGTAATAACCAATCAGCATGCTCAGGCCTACTTTTCATATTACAGGTAGGTGCTGATGAATTTGAGTGTGTTTAAATCTTAGACTTACTGTACCTTCATGGCTGAACTATAAATGTTTAGTTGAGACTTTCAAACTAAGTACATACTAGGACACAATATAGGTTTTTAAAATTTTGAAGACTTGTTACAGGTAAGAGGTATGAGACTGATTTTGGGACAAACGCTAGGACAAAAACATGCAAGCCACAGAATGTAGATGCAATATGAGTTATAAGTAATTCACCCCAAATCAGAAGACACAGGTTTGCTAATACATTTCCATGCCACTGAACATTTTAAAAGACAGTGAGACAAAGCACTTCTCACTTGGGCAGGAATTTTTACTCTATTTATGACATGCAGACAACTTGAGACTCCTGTCTTCACAGCTCGCTTGTTAAATTCTGCTTCTTTCTGCTATATGCCACAACTGCTTTTGAGATTAGAAATGGATAGTGGTAGAAGGGAGAGGAAGGGAAGAGAAGAGCAGAGCAGAGCTGAGCTCAAGGCTTCTCTTCTGTAAAATTGCACTCTTGAACAATGTTCTTCCTGAAAGATGAGGTAAGAATTAAGAGTAAGAATATTTTATTGGAGTATGATGACATCTGGGGCTGCAGCCTTCACTGTAAGTCAAAAAATCCATAGCCAGTTTTAGGGGTGAGTCGGAAAATCAAAGAAAATTTTGTGAACAAGCTAGGAATCCTTTCCCAGAAAAATGTCAATTTATCATATTTTTTCAAGCCTAAGGTATCATCAGCCTTAGGATGCAACATGATTCCTTCACAGCAATTTTTTTTTTCAGGAGAAAACCCAATTCTCACATAAAATATACAATTATACTAATTATACAATTATACAAATATACTAATTATAAAAATGTATCTCAATTTCAGAAATGTTAAAAAGTTTCAGATATATGCTTTATACATGCAAATGTAAATGAACATGCACACATTTCAAAGTTTGTAACTCTCCTCTGAAAACTGATTATGTTTCCCAGGTTAAGCAACATTAACCCATCGGGGAAAAAATAATTTCTAAGTCAAGATGTAAGCCTACCTCAGAGGTAGTACCTGGCTATTTGCAATGCTCTCCCACAAAGTGCCAGAAGTACAGGGTAGAGCCAACGGAACTGTTTAACCTGAGAGCACTTAGAAGAGCTAATCAGTTCTTCCCTAAGTACTGGGACAAACATGCAGGCGCTGCTCATTGCTGGTAAGGTAATACAGTGTTAGTTAAAAGGAAGAATCCTAAAAGGCGGATTGCTTGGTTTTTTAATCCTAGTTCTACCACTTTCTGTGTTAACCTTGGGCATTTTACCTTCTTTATGCCTTAATTTACTGAAAGAGAAATACTATGTGAAATAGTACTTACATCTTAGGGTCATTATGAACTTCGATTGAGTTTTTTCTAAAAAGCTACTGCTTAGAATAGAACATGGCATACAGTGAAAGTTAACCATTACCTGTCTGACTGGTTTTTACTCAATATCAAGGTGGTTAGATAGAGATGACCAAGATTTGGATGAACTTTAGGACAAAGAATTCTTAATCTCGACAGTCTGATTCTAGGCCCAGAGACTCTTTAGCCCAGATAAAAAGAATCCCTCACATAGTCCAGTTTAGCTTATTAGTGTAGCATACTAGAGATTAGAAAAAGACTACGTTGTTTTTATGTTTTCTTTTTTTAAATTTAATTTCAAGGGCACAATGCTCTCTCAATCTTAAATAATTACAAAAATTAGTTAATCAAAGAAAGAATCAGAAATAGTCTGCTCTCTAGGTATTTCATGGTTGGTTTACCACTTACCTGAGTTACTACGATGTTACACTCTGCTGCTCGGTCATTCTGGATAAAGTCATCTAGAATGAACTGGGGAACCTGTGTGGTTTTCCCACATCCAGTAGCCCCTCTAATAATGACAACTGAATTTTGGCTGATTGCTTCCAGAATCTCACTTTCAAATTTCTTCACAGGCAGTAACTCTCTCTCCTGCAAGATCTGCATTAGAAAAGTCACACTTCAGTCAAATGTCTACCAACACATTAGAAGCAACTGTCTTGATCCTTTAAAAAACTTCCATCTCTATAGACTGGGCGCGGTGGCTCACGCCTGTAATCCCAGCACTTTGGGAGGCTGAGGATCATGAGGTGAGGAGTTCGAGACCAGCCTAGCCAACATGGTGAAACCCCATCTCTACTAAAAATACAAAAATTAGCCAGGTGTGGTGGGGTGTGCCTGTAATCCCACCTACTTGGGACGCTGAGGCAGGAGAATTGCTTGAACCAAGGAGGCGGAGGGTGCAGTGAGCCGAGACTGAGCCACTGTACTCCAGCCTGGGCAACTAAGCGAGACTTTGTCTCAAGAAAAAAACAAACAAAAAAACCAAACTTCCATCTCTATAAAAACTTACTCATTTCCATTGGCTTAGTGATGAAAATGTTTTTTTCAAAAAAGAATGTGTATATTTATATCTCTAATAGAACTACTTCTTTTCACTACACTTCTGAAGAATGTATCTTTTGATGTTGTCCAAAAACTAAATTCTCATTGTCCCTGAAAGTCGCACACGCATTCTTTTTAACATTTTAATTTTTTATTTGGAAAACACTAAAACAAACAAAAAAACCAACAACAAAAGGAGTCACTGCCTTAAATCTCTCCACTTTTATTAAATTACATTAAGAAGTGAAATTCTCTCACAGGCCCTCAACTCATAGCAACTAACTTCAGGGGTAACTAGGATTAGCAGTTTGGTACATATCTTTTGATATGCCCTCCTTAAAAGGGCAAAATGTACTGCTCATTGACTTTTTACCCATACCTAGAACATTCTGAAGCTCTGAGCACTACTTGTCTAAATAATTCAGACTTACTGCTTGCAAATCATGATCCTGTTCCAACTGGTACATCAATTCATTCTTGAGGTCCATGCTTATTTGCTCTGGAGTAGCCTGTAAAACAAAAAGCCAACATAGTCAAACAAAAGCACATAATTCAGCTTCAAAATAAATCCATTTTTTACCTAGACATACTAATCAAATATAGTCTCAAGAGTAAAACACAAGACTCTGATCTCAAAAACAATATTGCACTCACAAAAGCCAGAGGCCCCTCATCAATGTTGCTACTAGTCCAAGGATTCCAGTTGGATTGTGGAGGTGACCAAGGAACCACACCCACTTGGTTTTGTCGCTGAGATGGTTCGAACTGAGCCAATTTGCCAATGTTGAGTGCAACTGGCACAGAAGGATCTTCAGGCTATTAAAAAATAAGAAAAACAAACAAAAAATATGATTTGCTTGTCTACGGAGAGTTCTACGTAAATGTGAACTAAACAGCTTTATGCTTACCGGGGGCAAAATCTCAAGATTTAGCTCTTGAATGATGTTTTGCAGCTGATGCTCTAAATCTTGAGAGAGGTTTACTTTGTAAGGCTCCACCTATGGAAAAAGGATCACACATTAACAACACTACTCAAATCTACTATAATGGGGCTAAGACTATACAGTCAACACTAGGTCTACAATATTCCTAAACCAATAGTCAGTTCCCTTTTGTGAGAGAATTACTTCAATGATTATTTACTCACTGCCTATTATGAACATCATGCCAGACACAGAGATGATTAGCAGGGCCATTTTCATTTCCTGAGGTAAGATTCTTAAAATTAAACTTCTTCAGCCAAACACTAAACAAGAGCTAAATTGAATCTCACACTATCTCACAAGTCTATTAAATCTAAAGACTCACTGTCTCTCCTTCCTTCTTCTTTGTAAGTCCGGAGTAAGCTTCAACCACTCCAAGATGGTACAGTTGTCTGACAAGTGACAGGGCACAGGACTGTGCTGCCAATTTCTTATTTGATCCATGTTCTCGTGCAAAAATCCCTATAATGTAAGGTCAGGATTATCAGACAGAAAGAAATCATCTGAGTAAAGAAACATCTTATCACAAGAAACTATGGGCTTACGTACACAAGAAGCCCTAAAATACAGGGTATGCCATGGCTTCTAGTTCCTTTTTATTCTATTAATATCTGCTAAACAAAAGAAATTGCCAAACAGCTTATCAACTAAATAACCAACAGTTTTGATTACTGGCTGATACTAGGACTCATACAAATCAATATTATGAAAGCAAATAACCTATTTCAACAAAGTTGTCACTGTTAATATCAGACATTAAAATGGGGAAGAAAACATAGTTTGAAAAGACAAAGAGTAAAAAATAAACCAGTAAAAGTAATTGGGTCCAGAGTGGTTACCTAGACCAGGATTTGGGAAACTTTTTCTATAAACGGTCAATTAATAAATATTTTAGGCTTTGCAGGCCATATAGTATCTTGTCACAACTACTCAACTCTGCCTTTAATGTGTGAAAGCAGTCACTGACAACAGAGTTTGATAAACCATAGGACTGGGAATGGCTTTACGTTTTTCAAGAGTTGTAAAAATAAAATGAGAATAACAATGTGTGACCTGTAAAGTCTAAAATGTGAGTGTAGCTATGTTACAATAAAACAGTTCTTATAAAAACAGGCAGTACGCTGGATCTGGCCAGAGGGCTATAGTTTGCTGACCTTAGCATTAAACTAAAGCTAAGTTACTCATATCCTTATAGAAAATATTAACAGAAAGTTTCCTCTCCTCCTGTATCATTCATCCTTAGGAGAGATGAATATAAAGCAAAGGGGTACAAAGGTATCTTTCTGCCTAACTAGCCAAATTAACCTCGATAAGGTAAGTGAGCTGACAGAAGTTAGCCTGCCTTTATCCTCTCTCCCTTAGTATTATCCATCCACTCAAAATAACTCATTGTATATATAAAAATGAAAAAATGTTTAAGACCAGGCACAGTGGCTCACGCCTGTAATCCCAGCACTTTGGGAGGCTGAGCCAGGCAGATCACTAGGTCAGGAGATAGAGACCATCTGCTAACATGGTGAAACCCCGTCTCCACTAAAAACAAAAAATAATCAGCCGGGCTTGGTGGCAGCACCTGTAGTCCCAGCTACTGGGGAGGCTGAGGCAGGAGAATGGCGTGAACCTGGGAGGCGGAGCTTGCAGTGAGCCGAGATCACACCACTGCACTCCAGCCTGGGCGACAGAGCAAGACTCCGTCTCAAAAAACAAAAAAGGTTTAAAATTAATTGACACTGGCAGACTCCTAATCATCCCACTGTGTCTTACCTTTGAAAGATTACACTAACATGGTCTGTTTTCACATGCAAACTGGGAGACTTTGCCTCTAATTTATATAATTACTAATATTCTAAAATATACCCTAGATGCTATCTTACATTATGTGCTCTTTCAAATAATACAGCTTCTGTATACGTGACTCAAGACTTAAAATGTGAAGATTCCTTCTCTATACAGAGACTTGGAATATTGGGGAAACAGTAACACTTACTTCTGCCCAGCTGCTTGATATAAATGGTCATTTCTGCAATAAAGCTCCTGTAACAACATATACAAGCAAGGTTAGAAATTTCACTGTTAGAAACCAGCAAATCCAGGTCTCCCAAGTCAGGCAGGCTTTCCAACTGCTTAGGCAAATCACAGAAAAAAAAAATTACCAACATTTATTTCTGCCCAACCCTAGAACAAATGAAGTATATAAACTTCAAATAATATACAACATGGCATAAGACAACTATAATCAAAGTTGATGAGCCAATTGTTCATGAAAGGAAAACGTTAGGGTATTAGATTTTATATTTACTTACTCTTATTCCAAAGGCTGGAGTCTCAAGAGCTAGAACACATTCAATGAAAAGGAATTTTCCACTTAGCTTGGAGCCAAGAAATAAAGTAGGCCCCAAATGTTTTACATTACGGTTATAATTATTTTAAGATTCCTTTGCATAGGCCACCCATTAATGACTGCGATCTATTAAGCTAATATACGCAAACTCACACATGCACATACACTTTGTGCATATCAGTGGCTCCTGAGGCAGAGTTCTCACATCTGCCTGCAGTTGGAAGCAGCCCTGGATGACAAAAAACTTAGCCTATTTTTATCACATTTATTTAAATCAGGTCCTGGAGAACAAAACACATGTTGTAACATTATATCTAAAACTGCTAGCAGAGTCTAAAAAATGAATTTAGGTTTTAGCAAGGGAAAAACTGCCCTTTGATAACTATGCATTCTGGTCCTTTCACTGCTCAGATACATTCTAACCTAGACTTGGTGGTGTGAATAAAAGGCTAGGTGAGGCTTAAGAAAAAAATAAATGTTAGACTCCTTCCTATACCTCGTGTGAACTGACCTTCAGGCACAGCGGCTTCAGGGGTCAAAGGCCACTGGCTTTCAGGGGAACAACATCCACCCTTTCATTAATGACATCGATGCCAGTATGTTTCTCAGCCAGGCTTAAAGTCAGCACTCAATCTCATTCTCCTCCACCTAGGGGGAACAGCGACACCAGAAATCAGTTTACAATAGTTTCCCATGTGATTGCTTAGTTCAGCCTAAGCAGCAGCACATGTGTGTATGAACACAGACCTCTGGTGTTGCTGTCTGTTATGCCTTTAAATAAAAGGACATACAAAGAGCAATGCTGTCCTGGCTCCCCCAACTGTCTGTGCCTCCCACATTGTCTTTTCCTGAATTCTTCACTGCTTTGTATCAGAAATCTATGATAAGATACTGATAACAAAAAATGTCTGCAACGATGAGCTTCAGGCACACTTCGGTATCTCATTGTTCTTAAAGTCACCAAGTGCTACCAAGCCCAATGCGTTCAGAAAGACAAAATATGAAAGAAAACAAATCATCAACAAATGTATCACTCCTTTGCAACCTGACGGTTTTAAAAAGGCTGACACCAGAAATATCTGAGAATTCAGGATTGAACAAAACAGTGGGAGGAAGGGGGAACCATGCTCTAAATATCATTTTGATCAGTGACAAAATTTTGTATTAATATTAATTATTTCAGGGTCGCTAGATGCATCCAATGGAGAACACTTTGATTTTCGAGAAAAATATTTTTAATGTATTTGGATAATTTATTTCATAAGTACGGACAGCAAACGGAATCATTCAAAAAGGTTTCCATTACAACCTCCCCTCCGTTCTAATAAAAATACATCGCTCCCCAGAAAAGTCTAATCCATATGAGCCTTCCTGGGAGTAATAATTACTACACCCTGGAATGCTCTCAGGAAGAACAGCAAGCAGGCTGAGAAACATACTGTTAAAATGACCTCCCTTTATATTGTTTTATACATTTAACAGGAAAAAAGTACACCCCCACATACAAAGACCAAGGCTGTTCCTTTTCGACCTTACGATAAGCCCTTAAATTTCACTAGGACTCCTAGGAAAGCTGGCAGTTTTCAAGGCTTAAGTGAAATGTGGATGTAGATGCAATACAATCTAATTCTGGGACTCAAAGCTTAAGTATCTAACCTGACCCATTAAAGAAATAGTAACTGCCTCTAACAATACCAAGGTGAAAAAAAAAATCACCACCTTTGGCTGGCTTTTACATCAACTAGGGACAAACCAGCAATTGTGGTCATGACTTTTGCCTTTCAGATTCAAATGAGCATCTTAAATGTCTAGCATGTCAAAAAGATTTACGCTGAACTTCTTACACAGCTAAAATTCACTCATGTGAAAACCATGGAAACTGCACAAATCAATAATTATTCTTGTGCAAATTAACGTTATCTTTTAACAATTCAATTCTAATCCACACAATTAACCAGACAACGTACAAAAATAGATTATATTCAACAGTGAATATCCAAAACCACCTTAACTTACTACAGAAGGAAAAGAATGAAACAAGCAAACCTGTTGTGATCAGGACCCACTTGGGTGTACTTATATTCTCCTTGGATCTTTTCTTTCTGAAAATATTGGTTTAGACGAGCTTTAGCATTTTCCAAGGTCCAGTTTCCATGAAGCCCAGCATTTAAATCCACTTCTTCTGATTCTAGAGTCTGTAGAATCAATGATAATTAAATTTGGCTGTGTTAAGTTTAGGTATACAAACAAGGCACAGAAATTTTTAATACTGTCTTTGTACTATCCTTTATAATGCAAAAGCTGTTTTTGATAGTTTATAATCCTAGTCAAAAACTGAACCAGAATTACTTTTTATTGCATCTAAAGGCCCTATTATATAAACAAGCTATTAGTTAATACATTGCATTTAAATTCTTCCAAAAAAAAAAAATGACAACTTCTTTGTGCTTGTTTTAACACTGAATACATGAAGTGGAAAAATAAGCTATACTAAAGACTTTTTTTTACTCTAAGTGCTCATAAAATAAGGTCCCCTGAGATAATTACATTTCCTATAAAGCTGAAGAGGAGATCTTTTTATTACTACCAAGAAAAAAATACTGTTTTTTTCCTCCATAGGCAATGTGAATAACAAGAGTAAATGGGTAGTTTAGCTTTATGATGACTTGTGCTAATAAGTAGTCTCAAATAACCTCTTAAAAGATGCACCCAATTATTAACTTGTGAATATCCTAATCCTAAGCTTTGCTGTTAACTAAGTCCCAAATCACATTCTCAGAGATGTAACCTACGGTGCTGGCCTTACCGCTTGCACTTCTTGTTCTTCCTTTCTTGAGTAGTAATCCTTCAAGTTGGCTCCTCGGTCCCAGGTGGGCCCAGGAACACCATAGCCAGAGGCCCCTACCTCAGAATTATTTTCTGTTAAAAGAAAAAAAATTCTCTTAATGAGTCATAACTGTAGAAAAATCCTAAATACATTAAAGAATTATCCTAATTTATGGCCGGGCATGGAGGCTCACATCTGTAATCCCAGCACTTCCGGACGCTGAGGTGGGTATCACGTGTGGTCAGGAGTTTGAGACCAGCCTGGTCAACATAGTGAAACCCCGTCTCTACTAAAAATACAAAAATTAGCCGGGCATGGTGGCATATGCCTGTAATCCCAGCTACTAGAGAGGCTGAGGTGAGAGAATCACTTGAACCTGGGAGGTGGAGGTTGCAGTGAGCCAAGATTGCACCACTGCACTCCAGTCTGGGTGACAGAGCAAGACTCTGCCTCAAAAAGCAATCATATGAAGTAGATACTACTGCTATTCAATAAACAGTAAATATGAGACTTAAGCAATATGACCCAAATCCTAATCTACCATATGGTAGACATCCCAATAAAAGCTGTGACTATACAGTAAATCCTCAATTAATGTCGCTGCTAGGTTCTTGGAAACGAAGACTATAAGCAATGTTGTAAGATAATAACATTGAAGGAAACAAAGTTATTCAAGGACCTACTGTAAGTCATTCTGCAATGGCCTGGATCCACAGGGTAAACAAACAAGTCAACAATATATTTAGTAAGAATAAGGAACAAGAAAAGGCAATTCATAAGATTCTTTCACCAAATATTCTAGCCTGTGGAAAACCTATTTATTCAGAGAAAAATGTAGTAAAAGCCAATGACAGCAAAGAACTATGCTGTACCACATGTTCTAAGAAAAAAATAAATGATCTGGTAATATGTGCAAATTTATGAAGGCCTTGGGTTGTCTCTTAACATCAAGAGTTTACTGCAGTTCTTTCTACCCAAAACGAGAAACAGAGATGGTGATCAAGATTGTGTATATCTTATTCTCCACCACGTGCATGGATTCAAGTCCCTTACCTGCTTTGAGAGCCAGATGTGGAGGAAGAGGTCCTCCCATGGTTGTTGGTAAATCTCCTTCAGCATTTGCTGTAGTGTCAGGAGTATCAGTAAGTGGGGGCGGAGATGCTACCTGCAAAAGAAAAAGTCAAGGCAGCTGTCAGTGCTTTTGCCTTCACGGGGACTAGTAAATTCTTTTAATACTTAAAAGGACCCATGTGTCATACCTCCTTTCTTTGTAATATTACCATCTTTGTTTAGAGGTTAAGTCTCTAGAGCAGTGCATCTCAAAATGTCTGCAATGAAGAACTGGTTGTTTCCCCTAATCCACTGGGAACAACCTGTCACAATACTGTATTTCTAAATGTTTACTCATTTCTGTACTTACCTCCTCACAAACTGTAACATTTTGAGTAACACTGCTCTGGGGCTCATTTTTAGTAGTGTTTACTACCTTAACACCTTTTAAAGCAGTCAAAAAAGTATCTTTCTACTCCATTTCTTAAGTATTTTATTGGTCATTAGTGTTTAATTTTATCAAATACTTTTTCAAAAGCCTTTATTAAGATGATCACGGAATAGATATTTTTCTCTTATAAGATCATTAGTACTACGTATTAAGAAAGTTTAATTACAGGGTTTTGCCTCAGATGTGCTGTTACATAAAATATATTGGTTTTCTAAACTAAGGAAAATTCTGAATTCTTAAACCCATCTAACCACATGGGTTTTAGGATGAAGAACTGAGATCTATACAACCTTTTCCTTAACTAGATGGGATGAACTATTTCTGTTTGCAAAGAACATTTAAAAATTTGACTTATTTTTACTTTCTAATTCAGCAATTTCTGATTTTATCGCTATTAATTTCTCCTGTTTCATTCTGAGATGAAAGCTAATTCATTCAAAAAGCTGTTTTTTGTGCAATAGTATAACTATTATTATTTTGAATAAATGATTGTTCCTCTGACCACTCCAGAGTTTTGCCAGACACTTATCTAAATAGTCTATGATCATAATTTAAAATTTTCACTTAGATCTAAATTCAAATTTCCAATTGTCTCTTAGGGTTTTTTGGGCGCTTTGTTACTTTTTCACATTACCACTTTGCTTCTGCCAATATATATAGCAACATGTCTAATGTTGTGTTATTAGTACATTGTGAATTTTTTTCTTTTCTGCTTTCTTCTAGAGAGCTTATACCTTGAAGGATAGTGTTCCTCCAAGGTTGGGGTTATGGAGACAAAGTAGAACCTATTCAAGGGTCAGCCCTAATAACCAAGGCACAGGAAAAATTCACTGGGCAGTCCTGGCACCACAATGCTAACTTGTCCTCCTCTTTCTACCACCTTGCCACTCCAGGACCTCAAATTCCCCTCCACCTCACTCTCTATCTACACCAACCTAAAAGAAAATTCCTAACGTATGAGAATTGAGGTGTCTGATGTAACTTCTATTTTCCAGTGATGGGGAGGATTTCCTTTTTTAACATTTCAAAATCAATTAAAATAGGTGAGGTATAAGAGTATTGAAAGTGTCACAGTGCATAATCTTGGCTCTGCCTAAGGAAGAGTCAGCAATGTGAGAAAATACTTTTTCAAGTAGGTTATAAAATAGTATACACAATATATATTTTATCACATTAAAATACACATGTAACTATCTAAACAAAAATACACAGATTTTAGCAACATTGGCAATGCTATAGTCCATTTATTTCTTTTTCTATTCTCACAATCTGTTCCCATTTAAAACCTTTTTTTTTTTTTTTGAGACAGGGTCTCACTGCATCACCCAGGCTGGAGTGCAATGGTGCAATGACAGATCACTGCAGCCCCAACCTGTTGGGCTCAAGTGATCCTCCCACTTCAGCCTCTCGAGTAGATGGGACTACGGGCAGCCACCACCATTCCCACCTAATATTTCTATTTTATTTTTGTAGAGATGGGGTCTATGTTGCTGAGGCTGGTCTTGAACTTCTGGACTCAAGAGATCCTCCTGCCTCTATCTCCCGAAGTGTTGGTATTACAGGTGTGAGCCACCACGCCATTTTTCTTTTTTTTGAGACAGGGTCTGGCTCTGTCACCAAGGCTGGATGATTTAGCCTAGATAATAGTCAAGTACTGATGCATTCATTACAAAAAGACACAAGTATCTGACAGAATACCCAAGCTTGGAGTAGTATTATGTATGAATACTTAATACTTAAGGATATGGTTCCACACTCTACCAAGAGGAAGGTTAAAAAAAATTAAGGAGCAGTCAGAGACAGAAAGATAATTAGAGAATCCAGTGCCAGAGAAGACAGAAAAATTTTGATGGGTTGGAGGATGTTATCAATAAAGCTGAACGCTGATGAAATTAAAAAAAAAAGGGGGGGGGGTACGTGTGTACACTTTACAATGAACCAGTTTTTTTGATATGGCAAAAAACACAAGTAAAAATAAAGTTATAATGGGCAAACTGAGAAAAAATATTTGTGACACATCACAGGTAAGGAGTTAATATTGCTAATATATTAACAAACACAGAGGAAAAGACCAAGAATCCAATTAAAAAAAAAGGGAAGATATATGTAGAGGCAGTACAGAGAAATATATATGTAAATGATCCTTAAAGCCCAAAAGATGTTTGACTTCACTCATAATTTTAAAAAGCAAATTAAAAGAATACTAAGGTATCTAAAACCAGTGGTGAGGTTACAGACCAATGTTTCTCAACATTAGCACCACTGACATTTCAACCAGGTAATTATTTGTTGCAGAAAGCTGTTCTGAATACCATAGTTTTTAACATCCTTGGCTTCCACCCACTAGACGCCATCAACACACCTCCTTCAAGTTCAAACATCTCCAGACATTACCAAATCAGGAAAATGTAAACATTAATTGGATATCTCATTATATTGACACTATTCTTAAATTTTTCTTTTAGGTTTGATTATAATACTTTTTTTAAAAAAAGAATTATGTTTTAGTTAAAAACTGAAATATTAACAGATGAATAAGATGTCTGGGATGCTCCAAAATAATCTAAGAAAGGGGAGTAGTTAGAAATGAGTAAAATTGAAAGTGTTGCAGCCAGATGACGGAAACATGGAGTTTCACTATATTATTCTTTTATACACATCTACAATTGTCCACAGCAAAAAAAATTTTAAAATATCCTCTACATGCTCACTTTTGGCAAATGCAATTTATGGCATGAAAGGGTAAGTTCCAGATGAAATAAGTGATTATGAAAAAGGATTTCCCTAGAATGAGGAGGTAAGATAAAGATGGTAGCTGGTAACAGTTTGGTTACGTATCGCTGCCCAAATGTCATGTCAAATTTTAATCCTCAATGTTGGAGGTAGGGCCTGGTGAGAAGTAACTGGATCATGAGGTGGGTTTCTCATGCATGGTTTAGTACCACTTTCCTTGGTACTGCTATCCTAGCAACAGTGAGTGAGTTCTCATGAGATCTGGTCATTTAAAAGTGTGTGGCATCTTCCCCTTTACTTTCTCTTGCTCCTGCTATGTAGGACATCCCTGCTTCCCCTTCACCTTCTGCCATCATTCTAAGTTTACTGAGGCCTCTTCAGAAGTCAAGCAGATTCCAGTACCACACTTCCTGTAAAGCCTGCATAATTGTGAGCCAATTAAATCTCTTTTCTTTATAAATTATGCAGTCTCAGGTATTTTATAGCAATGCAAGAATGGACTAATAATACAGTGGGGTTAAAAGTAGAAATGGGTTGTTATAATTTTTTTTTCCAAATTCATCCATTCATTTACTCAGTCAACCAAAAAACATTTAAGTATCTGCTATAGACCAGGAACCATTCTAAATGTTGGAGACACAGCAACGAACTAAAAACAAAAAAATCCCTGCCCTCACGAACTTACATTCTAATACAATGAAACAAAAATAAATTACGTTGGAACAAGGTTTCTCATCTTGGTGACATTTTAGGCTGGTTAATTCTTTGTTGTAGGAGTTTGTCAAGTGCATTGTAGGTCATTAGCAGCATCCCTGGCCTTCACCTTCTAGATGTCAGTGGCCTCCTCGAGTTACAACAACAAAAATATCTCCATACATCCCCAAACATCCCTTGAGGGGACAAAATGGTCTCCAGTTGAGAAACACTGAGTTAAAAAGTAAGTGTTACGGAGAAAAATAAAGCATTGAAGGAGTTTAGGAAGTAACCTGAGGGTGACAATGTTTATAATGTTAAATAGGACAGCTGGGGAAGAGTCCTTCAGGTATAGAAGTTTTGAGGCAGAAAGATGAGGGCTTATTTGAAGACCTATGAAGAAGTACAGCTACTGTAGCTGGAACAGAGGAAATAAGGAAGAAAGTAGGAAATCCACAGAGCATTTAATAGGAAACACCTGAGCCATGTTAAAACAATAATAAAAAAATCACCTAGGGGATTACTTCTGGTTGTAGCCAAGTAAGTTCCTGTAAGACTGACCCTCCTGCAGGTAAAATAAACTTTAGGGGGAAAAAATACAAACACACACACAACACACCAGAACTATATGCAGGCAATAAAAAATGAACGAAAAAAGCAGGTAGATTCTTGAGAGAAGTTAAAATGGGGAAGCACGGAGTATCAAGGGTCTAATTCCAGTTTACTGTAGCTTTTAGCCTGAGAGAAGCCATCCCAGGCAGCTAAACCTCCAATGAAACCATCTTTTTGGCCTGAAGAATCAGAATTAGAGTTCAGGGAAAGCAAAGCTGCTAGAAAGTGAGGGAATGCTGGAAAGGAAACAGCCAGAGAGGAGGAGCCCCGAATTCTGTATATTGAAATCTCTGGCTAACCCTTGAAAACCACTCATGTACAGGGCAGATTCCAAGCTGCCCAGCAAAGGAGACCTGAAGGACTCTTCCATGGCTGTCCTAAATGATCAGAAAACTGAGGTGAGATCTGAGTTAACATCCAAAAGACAGCATTTGCAGTTTGAGTCCAGTTAAATTAAATGCCTGATTAAAAACAAAACAAAACAAAACAAAAAAACCAAATCAATGCTCTTTGGAGGAGTATAACATTATTCAGAGTCTCCACAGCATAATATTCCAATGCCCAGAATGCAATAAAAAATTATTTGATACACAAAGAGGAAAATGTGATCCAACCTCAAGAAAATATACCTATCAAGAGAATCCAACCCTGAGATGACTCAGATGTTAGTAGTAGTAGGCAAGGATTTTAAAGCAGCTATTAGAATTAAGCTTCATGACATAAAAGAAATCCATATTTATATTACAAACATACACTTATAACGAATGAAAAGAAATGCCACCAGAGAAAACATACAGAAAAGAATAAGCTGGAGATTTTAAAAGTGAAAAAGGTAGTGTCTGAAATACACTGGGTGGGCTTAGCAAAATGGAAGGGACAGAAAAAACTATCAAAGAATCTGAAGATAATCAATAAAAATTATTCAATTTGAGAAACAGTGGAAAAAATGATAGGAAAAAAAAAAGAGAGCCTCAGGGACCTGTGGGATATCAAGTCTTTATAAATATAAACACCAAGAGGAAAGAAGAAAAAATAAAACAAAAAATATCTTAAATAATAGCTAAGTCTCTCAAAGTTGGTGAAATACATAAATCTATGGATTCAATAATCTCAGCAAACCTTGAACAAGTTAGAACACACACATACAAAAAAACCCATGCCCGGTCACAACACAAAATACTAAAAACCAAAAATAACAGGAAAAGATCTTAAAAACACAGACTACCACATTACATATGGGAGAGAGTGATTTGATTATAGCTGACTTCTTACAGAAAACAGCAAGTAGACAGTGTCATATTATCTTTAAAGCCTATCTGGTCTCTGGCTGGACTCAGTGGCTCACGCCTGTAATCCCAGCACTTTGGGAGGCCAAGGCGGGCAGATAACCTGAGGTTGGGAGTTGGAGACCAGCCTGACCAACATGGAGAAACCCCGTCTCTACTAAAAATACAAAATTAGCCGGGCATGGCGGCACATGCCAGTAATCCCAGATACTCCTGCCTGAGGCAGGAGAATCGCTTGAACCCGGAGGCAAAGGTGGCGGTGAGCCGAGATCATGCCACTGCACTCCAGCCTGGGCAACAAAAGCGAAACTCCATCTCAAAAAAAAAAAAAAAAAGTACATCTGGTCTTCAATCCCATTTCCCTGGCATAGAAATCCTAAATCCTTATAATCTCCTAAGTGGAGACTTTCTGTATGCTAACGAGTTGACTGCTGGCTGGCAGGCCCTAGGTAGCTTCAGGTGTGGGGGGATGGTCACCAGAACCACCAAGGAAAGATTAGAGGGCTGAAACTTTCGGTCCCACCTCCCAGCCTCTGGGGAAGTGAGAAGGGCTGAAGGTCAAGTCACCAATGGCCAACGATTTAATCAATACTGAATAATGAAGTTTCCATAAAAACCAAAGGACAGGGTTTGGAGGGCTTCCAAATGGCCGAACAGGTGGAGGTTCCTGAAGAATGGTGTTCGAGGCAGGGCATGGGAGCTCCCTGCTGCCTCCGCCATATCTTGCCCTACTTATTTCACCAACTGTATTTTGTAGTATTCTTTATAATAAACTGGTAAATGTAGGTTTTCCTGAGTTCTGTGAGCCACACTAGCAAATTAACTGACCCCAAAGAGGCAGTCATGAAAACCATAACTTGAAGCTAGTCAGTCAGAAGTTCTAGAGGCCCAGACTTGCAAGTGGTGTCTGAAGGGGCTGGGGAGTCTTGTGGGACTGAGTCCTCACCCTGTGGAGTCTGACGCTATCTCCAGGTAGTGTCAGAGTTGAACTGGAGGATACCCTGCTAGTGACTGCTGCAGAACTGATTGCTTGCTTGGGGTGTGTGGAAAAAGTCCCCCACCTCCACCCCACATTTAGTCACAGAAATCTTCTTTGTTGATTGTTGTGGTATGAGAGAAGAGGAAAATTGTTTTTTTTTTTTTCCACTTACATACCAAAAGAGGGAAAAAAATATCTGGTACCCCAGAATTCTACATCCAGTGAAAATATTCTTAAAGAAGGTAAAATAAAAATATTTTCAGAAAGAGAATAAGAGAATTTGTCACTAGCAGATCTACAAGACCATAGAGAAGAGCCTAAAAGATAAAGAATAGAGGGAGACTTCAAACATGTAAAAGACATTTGCAAAACTGTTTTCTCTACCAGAAGGCATTTTTAAGATGATCTTGCCCAATCCCTTCATTTTACAGATAGGCAAACCAATAAAATTAAAGACTGTAAGATACTATAATTACCCAGCAGTTAATCTACCGGAAAGTAAGTCTATCGAGTTCTTAGTCAAAGGAATGGAAGGAAATAAGATTTCTTTCATAACGAGTCAGAATACTGTCATAAACAAGGCAGAATACAAAAATTCAGTAACAGGACCCTGTTAAAACTGGCATAGACAGGCTGGGCACAGTGGCTCACACCTGTAATCCCAGCACTTTGGGAGGCTGAAGGGGGCGGATCACTTGAGGTCAGGAGTTCAAGACAAGCCTGGCCAACATGGTGAAAATCTGTCTCTACTAAAAACACAAAAATTAGCTGGGCGTGGGCCAGGCGCCGTAGCTCCCACCTGTAATCCCAGCACTTTGGGAGGCCGAGGTCAGGAGTTCGAGACCAGCCTGGCAAAAAATGGTAAAACCCCGTCTCTACTAAAAATACAAAATTTAGCTGGGCATGTTGGCAGGTGCCTGTAATCCCAGCTACTTAGGAGACTGAGGCAGGAGAACTGCTTGAACCCAGGAGGTGGAGGTTGCAGTGAGCACTGCACTCCACCCTAGGTAACAGAGCAAGACTCCGTCTTAAAAAACAAAACAAACAAACAAACAAAAAAAACCTTATTTCTTAAAAACTACTAGAGCCTAGTGTAGCGGCACACACCCACAGTCCCAGCTACTGGGGAAGAGCTGAAGTGGGAGGATGGCTTGAGGCCAAGAGTTTGATTGAGCCCCAAAAAGAAAAAAGGCAGAAAAACAAAACAAAAATCCCCCAAAACAACCTACTAGACAGAGGTATTTGTTGCATACTTACGTAATATAATTAAGATAATCATGACATAAAAAACACAAAAATACTCCATTGCATAAAATACTATTTTGTTATATAAGGACATGTCAGCCAGGTGCAGTGGCCCATGCCTGTGATCCCAGCACTTTGGAAGACGGAAGTGGGTGGATGGATCACTTGAGGTCAGGAGTTCAAGACCAGCCTGGCCAACATGGTGAAACCCTATCTCTACTAAAAACATAAAAAATAGCTGGGCATCATGGAGCGTGCCTGTAATCCCAGCTACTCGGAGGCTGAGGCAGGAGAATCGCTTGAACCCAGGAGGCGGAGGCTGCAGTGAGCCGAGATCACTCCAGCCTGGGCGACAGTGCAAGACTCTGCCTCAAAACACAAAGAACTTGCCAGAAGTGGTGGCATGCACCTGTAGTCCAGCTACTAAGGGGGTTAAGGATGAAGGACTGCTTGAGCCCAAGAGTTTGAGGCTGCAGTGAGCTATGGTTGTGTCACTGCATTCTAGCTTGGGTAACAGAGCAAGACCTCATCGCTTACGGGGCAGGGGGAGTGTCAATGGGAGCAAACATGTCTAAAATATTACTGATTTTTCTATTTTATTTAAAGTATTATCATTGGTAATGAATGGAACATAACAGACTCTGAAATTTCTGGTGTATAAATACATGAAATAAAGCCATAAGACACAAAGATTAATGGAATTTCTCAAGCCCCTAAGACAGGTATATAATAAGGATGCAATCCACATCTTCAGAAATTTTGTCCAGTGCTGAGACAAAACAAGATGCCAAATTTCATTACGAAACACGATATATCTGAAAACAGTGAAAAATTACTATCTTGAGTCTCTTACGCATATTGAGTTTGTACAACTTTACAACATACATCTCAAGTGCTTCGCCATAGGTACTTACCCCAAAAGCTGGAACTTCTTCACTCTTTATTTCATTTATTCGAACCAAATAGTTAACAAAGTCTCTGGCAGCATTGCTTTGTGCATCTTTTTTATTGGTGGAATTTCCCATGCCAGTGTAATTATAACCTTCCACCTGAACCTTTAAAAAAAAAAAAAAGTACTAAGAGACTGACCTGGGTAATTCTGAGATTTTAAAAAGTCGTAATTCAGTAGTCCATTAAGAGACAACAAACAGCTAACTTTAGGAAATATACTCTATAAATATAAATATAAAAATAAGAGAATGCATGAGCTACTGAAAAAGCTTAAATTGTGTTGTATCCAAAAATAATTTAAGTGGCTCAGATTTTTTTTTCTCATATAACAGAAGGTTCACATTAAAATCTGATTCTGTAATATCCATGAACAAGCTCTCCATTTGTATTTAAGCACTTTGATTTGAAGCAATCAAGAATTGCTCTGCTTTCTAAACGTGCTTATAAAACTGCAAACAGTTGATCCAACTTTTCCCATCCCCACTACTGGTACTGAGGAAGCTGAGGAAGATATAGGCTCTAATTAGAATAATTTACCTGTCAGATTGTTTTAAAAGTAATGCTGACTTGAAAATGATTTACAATAGCAGTCAAGTCACAATAAAGAACTGTCGTTTCCTAATGTGCAACACATTAACATCTCCAAACAGAAAACATTTTTCTTTTAACCCCAAAATGAACCTCATAAATCACATAAATGCAAACTGTATTCTTCAGTACCTCACACATGAATTTCTGCCTGTTTTTGTTCCCCACTGCTCTAATTTCATAGGATGGGGTCATCTTCCTTTTGCCACACCAGGCATACAGAAAATTTTTAACGTCACCCATGATTCAAGTGTCTTCTTCAGATCTAAGAAAACAAAAGTCAGTTAAAAACAGCATTTATAATAGCAAAAACTGGGAGGAACCAATTATCTAGATTACTGAATCTGGGTTAAACATAGGATATTCTATCATGTTGCTATTAAGACTCCCCATAAATTTTAACGACATAATTGGAACGTTTATATGTTGTAAGAAAAAGGATACAAAACGGTATGATTTGAACTTCATGAAAAGTACATATACATGATCAAGACTGGAAAGAAATACCCCCTAAAATGGTTATCTTTGGGGACTAAGAGTGATTTTTATCTTTTCTTACAAAGTATTTTATATAAGGCCCTATATTCTACAACGGGCACCTTATATATTTAACTCAGTTCATCCTCACAACAATGGCACACAGATATGGTGGGTACTATCATTGTCTTTTCAGGAAGTAAGAAACTAAGATTTAAAAAAGTAACTTCCAAGTCACCCACCGTGGAGGCCTAAATTCAAATCCAAACTACTATATATTAAGAAAGTTATCATTTGCATATAAATTCAATGTTTTATTCTCATTCTGATTATGACCACTAGCATATTGTCCCCAAAGTTGTAGGCCATGTATTAATAATATAATAAAGTTCAAATACATTAAGCACTCAGTACTGAAGACGGTAACCTATTAACTTAAATGTTCTATACCAAATCTCTCCTTTAGGCCTTTTTATTAAAATTTGAGGATATTAAAGTTTTCTTGAAGTGCAACAAGTCTATAAAATACCACAAGATATGGAGCCTATCAGTCTAAATGCTGAGTCTAAACTGTAAGCAAGATATGAGACCACATTTATAACCAGAGAAAATAAAATATGCTATGAATTTAGTTTGCTGTGAGAAGAAATCCCATTACCAGCATTAAACCGTCTGCTTCACGTTTCACGTTTGATGCATTTTGTTAGCACCTAAGTCTAACGTCATCAAACTGCACCCCTAGCATAAATTTGTTACGTCTGAGTGGCCACAGTCTAACTCTGGTCATCCATTTGGCGAAGGGAATGTCCTATTAACAAAAAAGCCGTGGAAAGCTGAAAATGTTTATCTGGAAATTCCACCTCGTGAATAATTAAACAACAAGCCCTCATGGTGAATGAGTAATATGAAATACGAAGGACTATACTATCAAACTCCTGTCTCCCTAGTCTCTTACAACCCCATAATGTTCAATACCAACTACATGCTATCGATGCCCAAATACATATATTTAAACTTTAGTCTTTTCTCTCTTTTTTTTTTTGAGACGGAGTCTCGTTCTGTCGCTCAGGCTGGAGTGCAGGGGCGAGATCTTGGCTCACTGCAACCTCCGCCTCCCAGGTTCAAGCGATTCTCCTGCCTCAGCCTCCCGAGTAGCTGGGACAACAGGCGCCCGCCACCACGCCCAGCTAATTTTTTGTATTTTTAGTAGACACGGGGTTTCACCGTGTTGGCCAGGATGGTCTTGATCTCCTGACCTCTTGATCGGCCCGCCTCAACCTCCCGAAGTGCTGGATTACAGGCGTCAGCCACCGCGCCCGCCCGTCGTTTCTCTTTAAAGTCCAAAATTAAGTTCATCCAACTGTGGCACTAACTCACCCATTTGCATGCTAACTTGGCATCTCAGTCAAAACAGAATTTTAAATTTCCCCTCAAATCTGTTCCAACACCCTACCCCTACATTTCGGTTTCCATAAACGGTACGACATCCACCAAGTTACTCCTGGCACAAGTTGAGAGTCGTCCACTCCCTTAAGATTCTCCATAGCTATCCCTTGTAGAACCCTTAATGTGTGTCAAACAATATCCATAATAGATCATCTAAATGGAACTATTTTACTTAATCCTTAGTAACCTTGTACAGGTAAGATCACTATCCCTTTAGAGAAGGGGAAACTGAGACAAAGAATATCTTGCTTCAGGAAGACAGAGCTCCTAATTATAAGAGCAAGAATTCGGGCGGGCGCGGAGGCTCACGCCTGTAATCCCAGCACTTTGGTAGGCCAAGGCAGGCGGATCACGAGGTCGAGAGATCGAGACCATCCTGGCCAACATGATGAAACCCCGTCTCTACTAAAAATACAAAAATTAGCTGGGCGTGGTGGCGCGCGCCTGTAGTCCCAGCTACTCCGGAGGCTGAGGCAGGAGAATCACTTGAACCCGGGAGACCGACGTTGCTGTGAGCCGCCATCGCGCCACTGCACTCCAGTCTGGCGACAGAGCGAGACTCTTGCAAAAAAAAAAAAAAAAAAAAAGGCGCAAGAATTCCAGAAAACGTAGCCTGACTCCAGATCTACTACCTTCCACCACTACGCATTTCTGCTTCAAAATACGTCCCCTATCCATTCGTTTCTCCCCATCTCTCCTGCCACCACTACTGCACACCCGGGCTAGTGAAATATTGTCCTACACGGTTTTTGTTTCCACTCTTGCCACCCTAAAACCCATTCTCCTTTGAAGGCCTTCTCGCCACACTCCAGTCACATGGCCTGCTTTCAGCTCCCGCCCAGTTTCTGCCCTTAAGCGATAACTAATCCCTTCCGCTTCTGCAGGCTCTGCTTTTCCTTCGCGTTGGCCGAGGTTATCAGCTCAAAGCCTCCCTCCTTCGAGACGCCTTACCTCGCTATACTAGCCAAAGGCGCTCTCCCTTTACATTCTTCAATTTTTTTTCCTCTACCCACAAGGCCTGCACGACGGCGCCAGTTATTCGTGGCTTGAATGAATGAAGAGCCCTAGGCCAGTGGCGCCCCGGCGGCAACCACCACAGGCGAAGCACCCCCTTCCCTCAGCCGCCGCGGTGCCCCGGCGTACGCAGGCCAGAGGAGGAAGCGCGCTTTGCCTGCTAGAGGCAGCAGCGGGAAACGCTGGGCGGAGGAGAGGGGAGGGGGCCACAGGCTGCCCGGACGGCGCAAGCGCATCGCGGCGAGGCGCGCACGCAACCCGCAATCCGGGGACCCGCGGGCGGCTCGTCCCTTCCCCCACCCCCAGCCGCCGCCGCCGCCCGCGCTTCGCAACAAAGCCGGCTGCGGAGCCATGGTCCACGGCGCCCGCCCGCGACCCCGCCGCCCCGCATGGTAGCCGGAACGTCTCTCCCTTACCAGCCTTCGCTTCCTGGTGCCCAGCTCTTAGGACCGTGTGTGACTCTGGCCTTCTACCGAGACAACAGAGAAACGCACAGCAACTCGCATGGAGGAATCGGCGAAATGGCTCCGACCGCGGCGCTAGGGGGCGGGGCCAGCGAGCGTACGCATGCGCAGAGCGCGTGCCAGGGCGGGGGATGGCGAGGGCGCGCCAATGGAGGGGGCGGGGCTCAGCAACCTCGCGGCGCGGAAGGGTTTCGTTGCTAGGGAGATGGGCTGAGCCGGGCGGGCATCGCGCCAGACCTGCTACTCTGGATAATCCACTCTCCTGGATAATCCACTACCCTGGATAATCGGCTGCCCGCTTTTGCGCATGTTAGGGAGTTGACGGCCTGTAGCATTCTGATGCAGCAAAATATTTCGCAGGGTCTGTCATAGGGATCTCCGGTGAGAGGAGGTTCCCTTCGAAGGCAGAACTGGAAACCTTGCTGCTAACTTGGTAGGGTTGTTGAGATAATTACATGAGATGGCATATGAAGGGCGGCTTAGTTCAATACCTGGCATGTAGTAGGTGTTCAGTGGGCGTAGTTACCGGATTGATTCAGATAGTCTGAACGCCAGTGTCTCTTGAAAGAAATAAACTGGCCGGGCGTGGTGACTGTAATCCCAGCACTTTGGGAGGCCGAGGTGGGCGAATCACTTGGGGTCAGGAGTTTGAGACCAGCCTGGCCAGCGTGGTGAAACCCCGTTTCTACTAAAAAAAAAAAAAAAAATACAAAAATTAGCCGGGCATGGGGGCGGGCGCCTGCAATCCCAGCTGCTTGGGTGGCTGGGCGGGCTCCTGCAATCCCAGCTACTCGGGAGGCTGAGGCAGGAGAATCGCTTGAACCCCGGGGTCGGGGGCGGAGGCGGAGGTTGCAGTGGGCCGAGATCACGCCATTTTCTGGGCGAGAGAGCGAGACTCCGTCTCAAAAAAAAAAAAAAAAACCATGAAAGAAATAAGCTCAGTGAAGGCGGGCATTCTGCCTGGCTAACGCAGGTCGCTCCTTGCCGTGCCTGGAACATTACTGTAAGTGCTCAGCAAACTACTTTAAGGTAGGAATAAAATCTGCAAGGTTGCTTTTGTTTAAATTGGATAACCTTTTGTGTTCCAAGTCTTTGGAGTAATTTTGTGTTCCAAGTCTTTGGAATAATTGTGTCCTTAATTATTATACTAGTCACTGTTAAATTTTGAAACTCCAGTGCGTCCCATGAAGGTAATGATACAAAACATTTCCAGCTGGGATTGTTCCAGGGAATCCAGACTAATCAATTATCTGGGCTCATTATATCTATGGATCTTTATTTTTCACCTCTTTCCTTATGTTTTTCTTAATCCTTCTAGCTGATAGTGATCACTCCCTTTAAAACTGTCATTCTTAAAATCAGAACAACATAGTTTATCATTTACTTATTATTTTCTTCATGTGATTGTTCTCCTTAATTAAGAATAAAATCATTGAAGGAAAGACCTTAATTTTTTTTTTTTTGTACCCTTCAGGGTGTTGAAAGCAGCAGGGGCCTAGAAGACATTAAACCGATACCACAGAAATACAAAGGATCATTAGAGACTATTATGAACAACTATATGCCAACAAATTGGAAACCAAATGGAAATGGATAAATTCCTGAACAGATACAACTTACCAAAATTGGACCAAGAAGAAATAGAAAACCTGAAAAGACCAACTATGAGTAATGAGATTAAATCAGTAATATAGAGTCTCCCATCAAAGAAAAGTCCAGGCCCTGATGGCTTCACTGCTGAATTCTACTGAACAGTTAAAGAAGAACTCATACCAGTTCTCAAACTCATCCTGTGAGGGCAGCATTACCCTGATACCAAAACTAGATATGGACACAAGAAAAAAAATCTATAGGCCAGTATCCCTGATGAACATAGATGCAAGAATCCTCAACAAGACCAGGTGTGGTGGTTCATGCCTGTAATCCCAGCACTTTGGGAGGCCAAGGCAGGTGGATCACCTGAGGTCAGGAATTTGAGACCAGCCTGGCCAACATGGCAAAACCCTGTCTGTACTAAAAATACAAAAATTAGCCGGGCAAGGTGGCGTGTGCCTGTAATCCTAGCTACTTGGGAGGCTGAGGCAGGAGAATTGCTTGAACCTGGAGGGAGGAGGGGCAGAAGTTGCAGCGAGCTCAGATCGTCCCACTGCACTCCAGCCTGGGTGACAGAGTGAGACTCCATCTCAAAATAAGTAAATAAATAAAGAGACTCAACTAGCATAAATGAATTGCAAGTGTTTTATAGTATATAATGAGCACAACAAAAGTATCAATATATTACATGGAAATACATTTTTCAAAGCTGGATCTTTAGCTTCCAAGGATTAAGGAGAATTTTGTTACTGAGTTGGTTCTTAATTTAGGCTCTGCACCTGAGACCTAGAGTCCCCTGGGATTTGGGTCCGAGGACTGGCATTACCTTTGTAGGTGGCTCTTGGCAACTAGCACTGTCTAAGATCTTAACATTTGCAAATGAAGCCTTAAAACATGTCCCAAAAGTATGGAAAGTGGGCCGATTTCAACACAACCATTACCTGTTCCTGGTAGCTGACCAACTAGGAGATTTCAGAGGTCAAGTGGGACAGAGCAGGGTAGGGAATTTTTTTTTAAGCTTTATTATAAAACAGGTAACTTTGTCCCTATCTTAAGAATTTGGAACTGAGGCTATAGGTCACTCAATGATCAAATAATGAAAGGTCTGCTTCAACTGGACTACTTAATATTTCACATTTACCTTTTTGACTAGAAATAACTGATGAAAGTTCACTTAGTTTGGTGGGAAATAAGAGATACAAAGATATCTTCTCCAGGATGAGACTCCCAAAAGCAAATGTTCTCTGAGTACCTCTGTCGCTCAAATTTAAGCCCTTTGGAGTTCCTTTGAGCATGGTTCTGCCCTCATATTTCTGATCACTCCCTCTAGACTCCTACTCAACTTCTCTTCCTCTGTGTGCACTCCAATTGCAAGTCACACCCAGGTTCTGTTCTTAGCACTCTATATACCCTCTACCTGGAGAGTCTTATTCTTCTATATTCCAACCACCATCCATATGCTGATATGGACTGAATATTTGTATCTCCCCCAAATTTTTATGCTGAAGCCCTAATCCTCAATGTGATGGTATTTGGAGATGGCGCTTTTAGGATATAACTGGGTTTAGATGAGGTCATGACAGTAGAGCCCCCATGGTGGGATTAGTGCCCTTATAAGAGGACAAGACCAGAGCCTTCTCTCCTCTGATATAATTACCCACATAAATCTTGACATATTGAAGAGTTGGTTGATCTCTTAACGAAGGGGTCTCCAACTCCTGGGCTGCAGACCGGTACAGGTCCATGGCCTGTCAGGAATGGGGCTGCACAGCAGGAAGTGAGCGAAGGGCGAGCAAGCATTACCGCCTGAGCTCCGCTTCCTGTCACAGCAGCAGCAGCATTAGATTCTTATAGGAGTGTGAACCTTATTGTGAACTGCAGATGCAAGGGATCTAGGTTGCGTGCTCCTTATGAGAAAATGCCTGATGATCTGAGGTGGAACGGTTTCATCCTGACACCATCCCTCCCAGGCCCCTGGTCCGTGGAAAAATTGTCTTCCACGAAACCTGTCCCTGGTGCCAAATAGGTTGGGGACCGCTGGTTTAAAGGACTGATGACTCTTAATGCAATGAGTGACACAGATGAAGTATATAATCTGGATTCCAGCAGAAATGGTAGTCTAGATTTTGAGAATGAAGAATAGAACCTATCTGATACTTCTAAAATTATTTTCTTGTTAATAATTACGGTCATTCAAAAGCCAATTTCTATTAGACGTCTTCCTTTTTTATTGCTTGTTGTACATAAGTGAATATTTATCTTTTCTATAAGCAGTTGTAACATTGGAAGTCATTTTTCTGTCTCCATTGTACCAGTTCTTCTTGAACCATTTGTTAATCTACAAGTTCTATGGCTATATAGAAATCTATTCACATTCACAGGATTTTGCAACATGTTTTGCTCCATTTTTACAGTTACATTTGCTTTCTCTGTATTTATTCTACAGGAATTAATTTATTTTATAGTTTGGCTTGCTTCTCAGTTATGTAGTCTTGAAATGCCATATTCACATTTGCTTTTACGGTTCCCACATTAAGGTTCAGGGCTTTATTTACCCATGCATTTGTATATTTGAGCATTTTTGTTGCTTGCTTTATACAAGCTTTAACTGAGACTAATACATGTCTTTCTTTTCTTTTTGTAGAGACAGGGTCTTGTTATGTTGCCCAGGCTAGTCTCAAACACCTGGCCTCAACTGATCCTCCCACCTCAGCTTCTGAAGGTGCTGGGATTACAGGCATGAGCCACCACAAGAACAACACATTTCTATAAGGTTATGGGGTTTTACTTTTTTCCAGTGTTAATTAGTTTCACATATCTAGAATTTGTAATTTCTTATTGGATACTAGAATTACTGTATTTATTTACCTGAACAAATTAATGTTTCCCTCTACAAACTACTTTAGAAAGATTTTCAATAAAGGTAAATGGGATGTAATAATCTATTAAGAAAAAATGACTCAGAGTGGAACCTGTAGCAAAATATAAATTTGCTGTATTTAAGAGTAATTGAAAGCAAAAGATTCCAAAAGCTTGAAAAAAATGGAGATGCCCTAAATAAACTTACCATTGAAAAATAACAGAAAATGTTGAATACAAAAAAAAAAATGTATTGCTGTGCTGCCAAGAAAGAAAATGCTTTAGAGGTAAACATAAATGAAGTGAATGAATGAATCCAGAGAGGCAAGAGAACCCTGACGTAAGCACCTACCCTGAAAGGGTCTGCTGATTTTTAATGAACTTGAGCTTCCTTTTAATAAAAGCTGCATTGGGGCTTACGAGAAAGGAGACAAAAGAGACTGCCCAACATGCAGAGGCTGAGAGGAGACCTACACATAAACCAGAAAGCCTTATATCTTCAGTGAAAAGTGAACAACAATAGCAACAATGAGAAGCCAAACCAACCAGAAGAGGGGTATAATAAGGAAACTTGTCTATCAAAAACTAGATGCTAGGTAGAATAAAAAGACTTACTTCCTCTGATATCCAAAAAAACCTCAAGCCAATTATTTAAAGCGGTTATTAGTCAACAGAGATAAATCACTTAGAAGGATTAAAATTATATTCTCTTTGGTGGAATATTCTTCTATCCAGACCTCAAATAATTCCTATAAAATTCCACTGAACATAAGCTCGAGTTCAAAAAATCATAAAACGGGTGAGGATCTTAAGTACCTCTGATGAGTGGCAGGGTATAAGTGGCTCATGTGGGTGATCCCAACACTTTGGGAGGTTGAAGTGTGGGATCACTTGAAGCCAGGAGTTCAAAACCAACCTGGCCAACATAGTGAGACCCTGTCTCTGTCTCTAAAAAACAAATAAAGTCCAATGAGTTGAGTGCCAGCAGAAAAAGAAAACTGACAGAATTATATATAAATGTTTTAGATACTAGAATTATCTGCTACTGAATAGAAATATACCTTTTCCTCGTTATTATGTTTAATTCACTCCTGAAAACCCTACTGCTAAGTGAAAAGCCACTAAATGAAAATAATATTTTAACTGGAAAATCATGATGCATTCTCTGTAAACCCAAGAAAACTAAACAATTTCAGACCAAAAAAATCAATTTTTCCAGAGACAAGGTTATATCAACAAGTTGAAATAATAAAGACAGTTTATTTACAAACTGTAATGTACTGAAGGCTTGTTGTAAACTTTCTTCTTTCTGTACCAATTTTTCAGTCTTTAGGGGGGCCTATAGTTATTTTACACTCTAAATTTATAGCACTTAAAGTTACAGCACAGAAAAACAGTGTGAGTTTAATGTTCCTATGACTTACAACACCTTACAAGAACTGGCTCCTTTGCAGTCCCTTTAAATTAATCACTTCCTACTCTTTCTCCCTGGTGTCTGAGCTCTGATTCATTGGCTTCTGTTCAGTTTTTCACACTCCAGACTCTCCCATGGCTCAGAACTGTCAAATATGTGGGTCCTACCACCTGGAATGCACCCTCTGCTACTCTTCACCTGACTGGTTTCTTTCCAACATTCTAACTTCAGATTAAGTCTAATGGACCCAGAGAAGCCCCCTCTCACTACCTTGTGGAAATTGGTCCCTCTTCTGCACCTCCATCTCCCACCACTTTCCTCTGGCCATATTGAAGGATCTTGAAAGACATACAGATAGGTACAGTTCTATATAGACAAATGAAAGAGCAAAAGGCAGAATATACTTAGTGTTTTAACTGAATGATTCTGAAGTTCTGCTCAAATTGGGAAGTCAAACCTGATTGAGGTTATTACCTTAGGAAAAGGACAGTACTAATTGGCCAATATTCAGGGGAGTTCAGATAGTAACTGCAACCTGAAGACCAGCTAGGCCTGTGATATGGTTTGGCTGTGTCCCTACCCAAATCTCATCTTGAATTGTAGTTTCCATAATCCCCATGTGCCATGGGAGGGACCTGATGGGAGTTAACTGAATCATGAGGGTGGTTACTCCCATGCTGCTGTTTTCGTGAGAGTGAGTTCTCACGAGAGCCGCTGGTTTTACAAGGGTGCCTTTTGCTCAGCACTTCTCCTTGCTGCCACCATGTGAAGAAGGATGTGTTTGCTTCCCCTTCTTCCATGATTGTAAAGTTTCCTGAGGCCTCCCCAGCCATGCTGAATGGTAAACCTCTTTCCTTTATAAATTACCCAGTCTCAGATACATCTTTATTAGCAGCATGAGAATGAACTAATACAGGCTATGAATATTATTTGCCACTCTAACATGCTTTAAATGTGTCCACTCATTCAAGCTGAGGGTGGATCACTTTGTTTCACCCTAGTCTGAGGATTCTCAAGAATGTAGTATGTGGTCATTATCCCACCTCCTTCTACCTGAGGTAGGATAACCTTAAAATGGTACAAACTGGTCTTGGACTGTAGACCATACTGAGATGCTGATGCACTTGCCCGCTTGTGGGAACCCACTTCCCCATGACCTCAAAGATAACCTTGTTATGTGTGCTTGCTGATAGATGAGAAGGCTTGTCTCTCACACCAAAGGCTGGCATTTGTGACAATTTCTGCGCCTATAGGGCCTAACCCAACATCTGCCTCAAACATGGGATGCTGATATTCATGAAGGGCATTCTAGCAGAATATATCAGAGAAAATATATCAGAAGTGAATGTGTGATTGATGTATAATCTCCTTAGGTGGTCCCTCTGGAATAGAACTTGAACACTCTCTGTAACTTGTCTCCAGATAAAGGTAACACATCCTGCTGGATATAGTTCTCTATGTATTTTGTTGAATCCATTCCATTATATTTATTAATTGTGTGATTAAGACTTAAGAAAATGCTTTAGGGTTTTCCTTCTAGTTGTGTAACTTAACATGCTAAAATGTATTATGTATCAAACAATTTCCTAAGAGTCACCAAGGGGAGACTCTTAGGAGAAACTACGATTTGGGTTTTTTTGTCCACCCAGATAGCCATTTCTCAGCCCCAGAAACAAAGTGTGAGGTAGTGCTCTGCCTCTACCTGGGGCTTAGCTCTGCTATTTGCATAATTTTGGTTCCAAGTTTCCCTCTTACTTCCACTGGAGGAAACTGAGGGTTGAGTCAGCATGTGATAAGGAAATGGTTAAATGGCTTGGATGTGTTGTTTCCTCTACTTGATTTGATGGGTTTGTAGATCCCACTCCATTTCCTCTGTATGAAAAAGCCTTGGTGAGCCCAGGTGGGTACCTAAACTTGGGTTGCAGTCACTCTGCAAAGCCCCTCAACCCAGCCTTAGACATCAGCCTCCTAAGAGTTTGGATTTTCCGTGCCCTTCAGGTGATCAGAAAGAAGAAATTTCTCTCAAGTTGTGGCAAATACCCTTTCTAGGAAAGAATATACATTACTCCCACTGCCCCCCAACCCTACTTGCACCTCACCCCCATGGCATTTTCCTACATCTTTCAATAAACCCAAGAGAGATGTTCTATTTTTTTTTGAGACGGAGTCTTGCTCTGTTGCCCAGGCTGGAGTGCAGTGGTGCGATCTCGGCTCACTGCAAGCTCCACTTCCCGGGTTCACGCCATTCTCCTGCCTCAGCCTCCCGGACTACAGGCGCCCGCCACCATGCCCGGTTAATTTTTTGTATTTTTAGTAGAGTCGGGGTTTCACTGTGTTAGCCAGGATGGTCTTGATCTCCTGACCTCATGATCCACCCGCCTAGGCCTCCCAAAGTGCTGGGATTACAGGCGTGAGCCACCGCACCTGGCAAGAGAGATCTTAAGTAAAACCAATTCCTAAAATCACTCCTGTCCCTCCAACCATCCCCAGTGGACTGATCTCAGATTTCTATCTTGAAACAAAGAGGTTGGAAATCAGCTTTTACTACTGTGTTGAATGAAATATTTCACATGCCATTACTGTAGTTTTAATGTTAAAAACAATTTAGGAATAGATTATAAACAAAACGGTAAGTTCATAGTATTCCAAAATTTTACTTAAGTGCACTATTAATAGCCTACTGCTATATGATATTCATTTCTTTTCTCTTCTTTTTTTTTTTTTTTTTTTTTTTTTTGAGACAGAGTCTCGCTCCGTCACCAGGCTAGAGTGCAGTGGTGCGATCTTGGCTCACTGCAACCTCCGCTTCCCGGGCTCAAGCGATTCTCCTGCCTCAGCCTCCTGAGTAGCTGGGACTACAGGCGTGCGCCACTACACCCAGCTAATTTTTGTATTTTTAGTAGAGATGGGTTTCACCATGTTGGTCAGGCTGGTCTCGATCTCGTGACCTCGTGATCTGCCTGCCTCGGCCTCCCAAAGTGCTGGTATTACAGGCATGAGCCACGGCACCCGGCCATGATATTCATTTCTAAGCTACTGGATGTTAACAGAGCTAAACTCAGACCTGGTCATTTTAAAATCATATTTCTCTTTATGTTCACAAAAGCTCACTCACCATCTTAAAAATCCTCTAAGCATTGACTTCACAAAAGCAAAAATAGAAAAATAGTTCTTTGTTTATTGGATACCCAAGAATTAATTTTAGAATTTAAATTTGGCTTTAGTATCAGTAAGTACGGATATCACATCCTCAGAACCAAAAACGAACAACTCATTTTCTTCTTTCAGGAAATTAAAAGCTACAAAGGCAAAAAGAGGGTTGAGGATATATGAATATAACAACTTTTAACTAGCTGACTAATTAAAGAGAGGATTAGCAAAGATAATTGAAGTCTACTTATAATTTCAAATTTCCATTTTGAAAAAGTTTTATTTTTAATTCAAAGAGATTAAAATAAGGAGCAAAACTGATATGAATTTCAAATACTCTTTCTCTGCCAATGATCAAAACAATTAGAGATGAAATGAAAACAAAATCTTAGGTAATTAACAGACTGGATAGTCAAGTTTAAAATCAGTAAGGGTTAACTGTCAATATACTTTGATATCAGAAAGCTTATATCAAGGTTTGTTAGAAGGGAGATTAAACAGTTGTTGATACATTACACAGAAAGAAAAGAGTAAAAGGAGGTATGGAGAGAAAGTTCTGAGTCCTTTGGGTCCTCCCCAAATCTTCTATCACTAAACAAAAGTCACTAGTTGCAAGTGTGACAGGATAATAACATTAGCCCCTGGGCTCACTGCAGAAAGGAAGTCAGCCTTCGATTTCAATAATTCAGGGTCCTGCGGGAGAGACAGTCTTCTCAGTGGAGGAAGGGGAAGTTTGTGGTGCCCAGAGGAAGAGTCCTTTGGTTCTTTGAAACTTTGAGTTTTGAGTTTTCTGTATAGAAAAAAGTGGAGACTTAAATTCATCTTTGGGGAAGACTTTTTCCTTTGTTATGAGAAAGCCGCCCTTTACTTAGTTATAGGAACTGAAACAAGTCCTCACCTGACCCAGTGTTTTTAAAGAGCGAAAAGTGGTGACATCGAAATGAATTCAAAAGCATCCATTCTAGAGTTAGACTGAGCAGCCAAATGAGCTGGTGTATTTTGAGTTGTATACAGTTGAGACATGTTACAGTTTGGTATTAAAGTGCCTGCCTAAATGCAGTAGCTCAGAGTTTTCCTAGATTCCAAATGAATATTTATTAAAATGAAGACATATTATAGTGGTTTAAAATTAGACAACTTTAAAATAGGATTAGGAACCAGAGACCGAGATAATGAGAGCTCCTAAAGACAGATGGAATTAATCAATTACAATTTTCCTCTTGATTCCATTTCATCCATATAAACAGAAATTTCTCCACAAAAAAATCTGTGAAATGAATGACTGAGAGTTGTGACTCCTAGAGTTTTTGCCCCTTCACAAAATAAGACTTTTTAAGGCTCACAAAAGGTACCTCAATGCTTATTGTGAGATTTCATTTGCTAGGAGAGTTTATTCAAGTTCATCTAAAATTCCCTGAGAAAAAAATGCACTATTTAAGGTAGATTATGTCTCAAGGTGCAAACCCTGATTTGATAGAGAGGCACTAGCTACCAGCTTCCAAGTTTCCATCCTTTAAATCAGTGAAAGAAAGGAAATCCAGGCTCTTCAGTTTAGCTTCAGCACTATCAGTAAACTCCCTGGAGGCTTTCTGCAGTGGAAGCCGGGGTGGGCCCATTGGAATCCCAGAGACCAGAGTCATGATGGCTTTGGTCTGTGACACTCCAAAACCTAGACGGGAAAAACAAATGAGGAAACATGACTGGTACCGTCTATCTCTCCACAAAAATCCCAAAGAAGGAGATCATATGCTAACAGCAACTACTACAACAGGGTAAGATTAAAACAAAAGATGGGAACATTTCTAGTCAATATGACAGATGAGCAATCATTCGAAATCCCTCTTCCTGCTTCAAACACAGAACGCTGGAAAATTTTAAAAGTTGATCACAGTAAAAGAAAACAAAGACTCAAGGTTAATCTTAAACCCAAGAAGGAGAAGCCAAAGGTGTCAGGAATAAAGAGGTCAGAAGGGTGAGGAGAAGCTGATGCCAAACAGCCCTTGAGGATAATCTGATTTAGGAATATACTATTGTTGATCAAAGGAGGTAGGACTTTATTGCCAGCATGAAATTTAGTTTAAGCTTATTTAGGAAGTCCCTAAGAAATGCAGTACTTAAGGTGGCTTATGACTCAACGCTGCTGTTTTCATGCTGGTGTTATACGGCTGGGATGGGAATGGAAAATGAAGCCTTAGATCTATGCATGGTGAGAAGCTGGAATTAAACTACCTATGTAAAACTGGTAGTCAGCCTTCTGTAAAAAGCAATAGAAAAAAACCCAGCCCACTGGTCTGGGGATAAAGAAGAAAGCTTGACTTCTACTAGGCTTGTGGATGGAAACAGATCTCATGAAAGAAATCTCAAGCCTGAGCCAAAGGTGAATGGTGGATCTCAATGTATGTCACACACTTAGTATAGGTACTATACTAAAAAATTAACCGAAAGACTGGTTAGAACTGGTGGAACTACAGTGTCCTAGCAGAGGCAAATGTAAACTCACTTGATAGGGCACCTTACAACCTAATGTTCAATGGGTTACCCAGAAAACAACAGTCTCTGAACATGAGCTCAAAGCTAAAAATTACAAAACCCATGAGGAAAAGCAGCAGCAGGAGAACCAGCACATTCAAAAATGACAAAACTTACATCCTGAGAGTAGATGACAGAAAATTCTGAAAGAGACTTCTCAGAGATAAAAGAAGGAATAGAAGCCATAGGCTAAGAGAAGTAAAGAACAGTAGAGTATAAAACAACAAGAAATACTGAAAAAAATATATATATTTAGGGAAATCAAACAGTAAAAACATAGCTAAAGAAAGAATTAGTGATTTTCAAGGTAGATCTAAGGAAATAATCCAGAATACAGCATAGAAAGATATGTTAAATGTTTTTTAAAATTGAGATACAGATTGAGAAAATCCAAAATACAACTAATAGACTTTCAGAATGAGAGATTTGAGTAAATGTAGTCAAAACATTCTTTACAGATAACAGAGAATTTTTTCAGAACTAAAGAAAGACAAAGCCTTCAGATTGGAGAGGCAAATGGAAGATCAGGTACACTGTTAATATGTAAAAAGCATAACTAATAATTATCCATCATAATCCCCAATCCCCATCTTCTAAAATGTCTGTAATTTGTTTTCTTAGCTGGCTATTGCGTTCAGATTCAAGATAGAAGAACTAACTTTCTTTTGCTAAGTTAACTTAGTTGCAGTAAAAACTGAGCATTGGGAGGGAAAATATTAGCATGATCGAATATACAGTAGGTCTCCCTTGTCTGCAGTTTCACTTTCCATGGTTTCAGTTACCTGTGGTCAACTGCAGTCCAAAAATAATAAGGTATTTTGAGAGACAGACAGAGAGACTGACCATAGTTATATAACTTTTATTGCAGTATATTGTTATAATTGTTCTATTTTATTATTAGTTACTGTTTATCTCTTACTATGCCTAATTTATAAATTAAACTTTACCATAGGTATGCATGTACAGGAAAAAACATAGTATATATAGGGTTTCGTATTATCTGCAATTTCAGGCATCCACTGGTCATCTTGGAACATATCCCCCTGAGATAAGGGGGG
Organism: Homo sapiens; assembly: GCF_000001405.40. Lineage (NCBI taxonomy): Eukaryota > Metazoa > Chordata > Mammalia > Primates > Hominidae > Homo > Homo sapiens. The sequence goes on along the minus strand of NC_000001.11, from coordinate 182,826,805 downwards.
ACTACTACACACATCAAGCTTTTAGTTTGTCTAAAATTTTAACAGTTCAATACCTATTTTAATGTATTTTAGGAACATAATAATTATCACACCAAACCCACAATTTTGTGAAACCATTGCTTAGAAAAATGGAACAATAATAGGTAGTTCATAGCACTGGCAGCACACAAATGTGCAAAAATCACGAAAGTGGAAAAACAAACAGAAACGTCCTTGAAGGAGTAAGAGAGTGGGTTGAGAACCCTGCAAGAATGAGGGGCATAACACAGAAGAGGTGCTTGGGGGAGAGGGAGGAGTTGTCAGAATTATGCAGGACTCTGACAGGGAGCAGGGAGGTCTACCAAAAATAAACTTAAAAATTTTCCTGCATTAACGCAGATTCAATTGGCCCAAGGGCCAATCTCTTGCAGAAGAGTGGATAGTGGCATTTGTCATTTGTTATAGAAGATTTAAGAGACTCTGGAGCGGTTTCTCTACTCAAATTCACTGTATTTCTCCCCACGACTGCTCCCCAATTTTACTTTGTCATATTATCCAAACCTCCATCCATTTAGGCTTACTTGTGTTAATAAACTCTGTTTAAATTGTAAATACTCTTGGGAGAGCTGTCAGTCATTCACAATTTAGTAAAATCTGTATTTAGACTGCCTTCCTCCAAGCACTTAGGCTGAAATCAACCTCAATGCAGTAGTAGAATTTTAATGAGCTGAAGCAAGTAAAGGGAGGGAGTGCTGATGGTTTAGGAGAGAAAGAATGGAAAATGGGGTAGGCATGTGCTAAAATGGAGAAGGTTGCCAAAGATTTTCCAACTAGGTTTACTTCACAGTTTTATATGGTTGGCCCCGAGGGTTAATAAGGGAAACAGAACTCTGCTTGCAACAGACCATTAAAAAGTGTTCTTGTTGAACCCTCAGAGAAAGTGATGGTATTCCATTTTCTTTACAGTCTCCAGCAGCAGACAAAGCAGAAGATGGGTGGCACTTACCTAGTTTGACAACAAAGTTGATAAATCTCTGGATACAAAACTAGAAAAGAACAACATATCTATAGTTAGTATTATTGAACTGTGTAAACAATGTAAATAATGTAGAAGTCAAATTACAGAAACCCTAAAAAGTCTGCACACCTTCATTTACTGAAGGTCTGTCAGAGTGGAGAAAAATAGCCAAGTGAAGATGGCTGGGATCCATCCAGGCTAAGGTAAGATCTTTTCATACATGTAGGCTTTACAAAATGGGCCCGTGCAGAAAAGAAGCTTCAATGATGGAATTCTACAAGAGAGTAAAGATGGGAATCACACCCCTTATCCATCTGGCTTACATAGGTAAACTTATCAGCTAGTGCAGTGGTTTTCAAACTCAGGTGCATATAAGCTCTGGGGCACCTTCCAGGATGCCTAAGGAGCACATGGCTAAGGCTAAGATTTATGGGAATCAATTTCTAGATCCTCAACTTCCATAAGTGCTGTTTTCTAAAATTGATCAGCATAAGAATCTGCATGAAATGGAGGTGCAGGTTGTTCTTTTCTGTTTCCCCTTGCACAGTCTTTTCTACTTTTGAAAAAAAATAAAGACAGCCTTCTATATCACTGCCTTGGGATACAAATCAAAATATCAGTATTGGTATTGATAAAGAGAGGGACAGTGATTCTTCTAATTAATAGGTAATAAGTCCTCTCAAAAATCAGAGGTTTTTCAATGATTTCCTTTCTACACTGCTACTCAGGTTTCAGCTGAAAATCATTAAAGCATTCTGTGATTTTGGCATATGACTCAAAAAATGTTCAAAGAACTGGGTGACACTGCTATAACAAAATTCCTTCCATTATTATCTAACTTACATGAACACAGTTTTGTAGCACTTACTTCTCTAAAAACAAAAATAGTATTGATGCTGAACCTCAACTTATCCTAGCATTAAGTAATATTCATCCACGGATTCCAGACAAACTGATTTTTTAAAAAAGAGCCTCATGCATCTTTTAATTTTTATTTTATTATTATGTTTTTGAGACAGAGTCTCGCTCTGTCACCCAGGCTGGAGTGCGGTGGCATGATCTCGCCTCACTGCAAGCTCTGCCTCCCAGGTTCATGCCATTCTCCTGCCTCACCCTCCCAAGTAGCTGGGACTACAGGCGCCCGCCACCACGCCCGGCTAATTTTTTGTATTTTTAGTAGAGACGGGGTTTTGCCACGTTAGCCATGATGGTCTCAATCTCCTGACCTCATGATCCGCCCACCTCAGCCTCCCAAAGTGCTGGGATTACAGGCGTGAGCCACCGTGCCCGGCCTTAGAACCTCATGCATCTTATTAAGAGATGCATTTTCAATAACATTTTATATTTAAAAGTATTTTTCAAAATGCTTAACATATTTGTTTTAACTGACTGTATACTAGAAATAAAATGTAGAATAAAATTTTAATACCCAGAGACTTACAAACATATATGTTCTACCCCATGAACAATATAGCACATTACATTTACTATCTTATATTTTGCTGCTTTTTTCCATTTAACATAGCATGTAGATCTTTCCAGGTCAGAATACATAAAGCTATCTCATTTTAAGAGCTATATATAATTCAATTGCATAATAAAATGTATTTAACCATTGCCTTATGGATGAATATTTGGGCTGTTTTTATCTTTTGCTGTTACAAACAAAGCTGCAAGGAATATCTTTGTACATGTGTAATTTCACTCATGTAAATATAACAGATGGCACTTAAGTACATTAAAGTGAATGAGATAAATTTAGCCCTAACTTTTTGTCTGCTTCTTCACTTGACTACAAGCTCTTTAAGAGCAGAAACCACCTTTACTGAAATTATGTACTGAGTAAATAAGACTCACTCACACGTGCTTTCTTAAGAAGAAACAGAGAATGTGGTAAAATAAGTTCCTTACCAACATTGTTTTCAATGGGATGATTTATTTGAAACAGAGAGTGGTAAACTAAGTTCCTTACCAACATTGTTTTCAATGGGATGATTTATTTAGAGTGGGACTAAGAGGGGAAAAAAGATGGAGACTAGATTAACCAATAAGAGAAGTCACTGAATGGAAGGGTCAGCATTATAGCTGCTTCAGTCTACTCCATCTATGATTTCCATGTTCTGCTCAGAACAGGTTAGAATTTTCAGAAATAACCTTTTCTAGGAAACTGGGCAGGGTGGAGAGAACCATCAATGCAAGGAGATGGCAGAGTCTGCACAATTCATTCTTCTCACCCTTATCTAAACCAAAGTCTTGTCGATGTTTAGTTTATTTGGCACAGCTTCCTAGATCCCTACCCTGTTCCTGTTCTTAGCTTCACTTGGTCTGAGGACAAAGGCGAATATTACATATGGTATTTAAACTTTAAGGAGGAAGTAGATTTATGATGGCTCAACTTTGAGGCCTACGGGTAGGGAATAAACCACTCTGGATTCTGCTTCTTCATGTTGTCTTTGGGTTGGGGCTGCAGGTCACTTCCTTTAACCCCCAGGATACTTTGTACTTCTGATCTGTAATCTCTGATTACCCTGATGGCAGCCTGTCCTGTTCAGAAAGATCCCACAGCCAAGCTTTATTAGGACCAACCATTTGCTCCAATCTTGCTTCTGTCTTTCCATTCCCACTTATTTTCTTGGGATACTCCTCTCAACCACTTATACTATCCTGAAAATCCTCACGCCTCTCAGACCCCAAAAGTCTTGCTCTCATATCCACCCTACTTTCTTCCAATTCATTCCATTTACACTTTAGAACCATGGGTTAGAACCAGATGTTAGCTGGGCATGGTGGCGCATGCCTGTAGTCCCAGCTACTCAGGAGGCTGAGGCGGGAGGACTGCTTGAGCCCAGGAGGATTCAAGGCTGCAGTGAGCTATGATCACATCGCTGCACTCCAGCCTGGGCAACAGAGCAAGACCCTATCTCTAAATAAAAGACAACCAGTTGTTGAGACTGTTCCACCCTTCACTGAGGCTCTTCTTTCCCTGATGGCTAGGCTGTCCTCCATGGAACATTCACAGCAGCCACTATGTCCTCTGGGGTCTTCCGTGCAACATATCAGCTTCTGCTGGTTTTTCCTTCCTGTCTCAAATCCTGTATCTACTTTGGATCACCCACTAGGCTCTTATTTCCTTCCTGGTGGATGTTCCTAGTTCTCAGCACATTTCCAGGGTGGACAAGACTGACCTGCCCTGACTTTGAATGAAGCCTTCCCCATTTTAGGTTACCATCTTCATAGCTTCCTCATATTCTGTGATAACTCTGATGTGATGTCCTCAAGGGGACAGCCTGTGGTCATTTTCCCAGAAATCTATGACCATTTTATTATAGTCACAAAAGTACTTTGAAGATAGAGTAAAAATAAGATCCTTTCTAGGAGGAAGAGAGGAGCCATCCCTGTATGGGTCCTGTCCTGATTAGACATGTCGGGAACACAGACAATGGGGACAGCTTTGGTTTTAAACAAGAAAAAGTACAAAACAGAAGAAAGGTAAAGAAAGAAGTGGCTGGGCAATTTTAATGAGGGCAGGCATGGTAGAGAGAAGAAAAAGAATCCTCAAGTGGGGAAGAAAAAAGGCTGTGATTTATGGGAAGAGAAGAAAACGTTTACCTGATAGTTCAGGGCTAAAGAGAAGTCCTTTTGTTCAAAAGCCTCCAACATCTGGTTTGTCTTTTTTCCCAGGTAGTTATAGGTACTGGCAAGACAATAACAAATACTGCAGGTTCAATAACTCAACAGGAAAGGTCCAGATCTTCAAATCCCTCTGCTGTTTAAAAGGGAAAAAATACACCTAGTCCTCCTAAAGTCTGTTTTTGAATCCTAATCTATTAGGGGACAAGACTGTCTTCAGTTCTGAGTTTTCCAGCAATACTGAGCAGTACTGCAGAGAAGGAAGACAGGCAAAAGGGGATAAAGGAAGAAAATCAGAAAAAAGATAAAAAAGATGGAGGTGTATTTGTTAGGAAGCGACTGAGGCCAGCTCTTGCCCTAGGGTACACACAGGTGCAATGCTAGACAAGAACTGTGGATAAAAGGTAGCATCTGAGGTGAGTCCTAAAAGCCTTATGCTGAAAAACTGGGTGGATGGAGCACCATGAAAATAGGGGCAAATCCCAATAAATTACCTATATTCCTTGCTAATGTGTATATTACTTAAAGACTAGTTTCTAGATAGTAATATTAATAATGATGATAATAAAATGAGGGATCATTTACTAAGTGCCTATTATATTATAGGTGCTTGACATAAATCATGTCTAATCCTTGTAAAACCCTGCAAGGTAGGCCTGGTTTTTATTTTGATTAAAGAAGGGCTTCAGGGTTTCCATGAAAGCTTTCCATTGCTTCATGTTGTCTTCTATAACAATTCAACAAAAATGAAGGTGAGAATTTGATCTGACAAAATATTTTTGTGGACTTAAAAAACTCTCCAACTCTACCTATAAAGATAAATATCTTAAATAAGTCACTGAATTCTTAGAGAAACCAGCAAGGTAGAAGGTTATAGAAACTCATAATAAGGATATTTCCCCAAGTTCTTTAAATTCAAATGGCTTCTCTCATAGTAAGTCGGTATCAGAAAAAGTATTTATCTTGATGTACCACTAACAGAAATGTTGTTGGACTTGTATATATAGAACTGGGGTCAACAGCAAGGGATTCCAGGAATGTGAAGCTCATGTTATCTTGTGGCAATAGAGCAAGGAAGAACAATGTCTGAGGAGTTTCAGAATACTAACATTTGAATCCCAATGGTCTTAGGTGTATCCCTGGTTAGACAGAAAGGTGATTATAACTAGGGAGAAACGAAGTCTAACCAAATGTACTTTGCTTATAGATTATGTTGACAGAATTAAAATGCCTAGTATGGAGGACAAAAAGCAGGAGCCAAAAAAGAAAGAATTTCCAGGCGGAAAAAGGTTTAATGGTGATATGGTTTGGATCTATGTCCCTGCCTAAATCTCAGGTTGAAATGTAATCCCCAGTGCTGGAGGTGGGGCTGGTGGGAGGTGATTGGATTACAGGGGCAGTTTCTCATGGTTTAACACATCCTCCTTTGTGCTGTTGTCGCGATAGTGAGTTCTCGTGAGATCCAGTTATTTAAAAGCGTGTGGCACCTCACTTCCTCTCCCTCCTGCTCTGGCCATGTAAGATGTGCCTGCTTAGCCTTCCGCCATGATTGAAAGTTTCCTTCAGAAGCCAAGCACACGCTGCCATGCTTCCTGTACAGCCTGCAGAACTGTGAGCCAATTAAACTTCTTTTCTTATAAATTTCTCAGATATTTCTTTATAGCGATGTGAGAATGAATTAATACATATGGTCAACAAATACACATTCAAATTTCCTCAGTAGAAATACCCCTGAAGTTACAATGGCTGTCATAGGCCATCTTGGCTTGGTGAACAAGCCATTTATATTATTCAACTCAGTCACTCTTCCTCACAGCCAGGCTCACCAAGACATGTTATAAATGTTATTTTGCTCCCCTGGTACCTTTCAGTTAATGCAAAAATTTCATTCAATCTGCTTGGAAGCATATTCTTATGAATCAGGTTAACATGTGCAGTGGACATGCTAATTGAATTGCCTGTCTTTTGCTAAGTAGGCATTGGGCCACATGCTTCTGGTTGGACCTGACATGGACACTTGCCTAGGTAGTGCTATCTAATGATGTCCCGAGATGCCACGCTTGGGCAGCCATGACTGGCCATGTGCATGCTAAAGCAGAGAAAGCCCATCTGGATACAGAGAGAGAGAAGAGAAATAAAGAGATGTGCAGAAAGATGTGGAGGTGAGTCTCTCCAAAAAACCACATATAGAAGATAATCTGCCTTGGCTATTGAGATTCTGCAGTTCTTGGCTTTCATCTTCTCTGAGGCCTGGTTGTACATCCTCCTCTTAGGTTCTATGTGATTTCCCAGTATTTTATAATAACATATCTTCTTGTACATAAGCTAGTTCAAATGGGTTTCTGTTACTTGTAACCAAATAAGTTCTGACAAAGATAGAACTCACAAAGTGTGAGTCCATCCTTGAGACACTGGTCACCAGAGTCTATAGCACTAAGGGTCAGCTCCTGCTAAGGTGTAGGCCCTGTGCATGTGCTCAATTCATGTGGTCATGTGTCTCACCCGTAACTGCAACAGATGCTTCTAAACAATGACTGAATTTTTCTTTTTCTTTTTCTTTTTTTTTTTGAGATGGAGTCTCACTCTGTCACCCAGGCTGGAGTACAGTGGCTTGATCTTGGCTCACTGCCACCTCTGTCTCCTGGGTTCAGGTGATTCTCATGCCTCAGCCTCCCGAGTAGCTGGGATTACAGGTGCCTGCCACCACGCCTGGCTAATTTTTTTTTTTTTTTGAGATGGAGTTTCACTCTTGTTGCCCGGGCTAGAGTGCAGTGGTGCGATCTCAGCTCACTGCAACCTCCGCCTTCCGGTTTCAAGCGATTCTCCTGCCTCAGCCTCCCAAGTAGCTGGGATTACAGGCGCCCGCCACCATGCCCAGCTAATTTTTGTATTTTTAGTAGAGACAGGGTTTCACCAAGCTGGTCTCAAACTGCTGATCTCGTGATCCACCCGCCTTGGCCTCCCAAAGTGTTGGGATTACAGGCGTGAGCCACTGTGCCCGGCCCATTTCTTTACATTTTTAGTAGAGATGGGGTTTCACCATGTTGGCCAGGCTGGTTTTGAACTCCTGACCTCAAGTGATCTGCCCACCTTGGCCTCCCAAAGTGCTGGGATTACAGGCTGAGCCACCATGCCCAGTCCAATGACTGAATTTCTAACAAACAGCTAAGCAGTATTTAATTCCCTTTCACTGGAAGAATGTGGAAAAGAAAGGAAACTTCTATTAGAAAGGATACACATGCAAGAAATACAGCTACTTTGGTGATGAATGCCTTTATGGGGGACTTTATAACCACTGGGAAAAATGAGTCATGCTTACCTGCCCACTGCTCCAGTTGCTCCCATCACCAGAGCACTCAACAGTTGCTAATCAGAAACAAAAAATATTCACTTGTATAAAAAAGAGAAAGAGAAGAGATGCTACTATATAGCTACACAAATTGTTTTGGAGGGAACTGACCTGCTGCAACATGCTAGGGGGTGACTTACCTCATCCACCCCAAAAAGGAAAGCAAACTGTTGCTGGCGATTCTGATCAACACATTGCCCGAAGTCTAAGAGATCTGTATCACTGAATTTCAGCCCTTGGAAGGTGGGGATCTTATCCAGAATCCCATCCAACAACTCCTCAGCACGAACTGCTCAAAATAATAAGTGCCTCATTAATCTGCACATCTCTAGGAAATAACATCTCATATAGTGTCATGCATCTGCAGTGAGCTGCCACACGCTGCTGTCAGCCAGAACTGACTGCAGACTAGGCATAATCACTGGTCCCTGACTAGCAGCTCCTATGTGCTTGTCCAATTATAATGCTAAACTTCCCATTCCTTGAAGGCAGTAGATGGATATTTGTGAAGTGTAAATATATATTTGGTCTCAGTCCCTGGTTCCTGAGACAAAGTACCCAAAACCTTGTAGACAGGGGTGCTAGGAGAATATTTTATTCTAATACTTGGTCTTTGACCCTGATTCCTGACACAGAGCTCCCAAGACCTTTGTAATTTCCTGAGAGATAGAAGCATCTGACACAAATCTCCTAAATCCCTTGGAATCTTCAAAGTGATATGTATATTTCTGTATGCTATGAAGTTCACTGATGGCTAGATCACCTAGATTGCCTCAGGATGAGGGCTGGTTGCCAGGGGAACCAACCATGTACTTAGAGGGGTGGAACTTTCAGTCACACCCTTGGCCTCTGGGGAGGAAAGCCGGGCTAAAGATTGAGCTGATCACCCATGGCCAATGAGGTACTCAATCATGCCTATATAATGAAGTCTCCATAGAAACTTAAAAGGACAGGGCTTCTGGGTTGCTGAATACGTGAAGGTGCCTGGAGGATGGCTTGTTCAGAGAGGGCGTGAAACTCCATGCCCCTTCTCACATATCTTACCCTATGCATCTCTTCTTCTCTGGTTGTTTATCTGTTTCCTTTGTAACAAATGGGCAATAGTAAGTAAAGTGTTTGAGTTCTGTAAACTGCTGTAGCACATTAATTGAACCCAAGGAGGAGGTAATTGGAACCCTGATTTATAGCCAGCTGGTGGGAAGTACAGGCCACAACCTGGGACTTGAGACTGGCACTGAAGTGGGGGCAGTCCTGTGGGACTAAGCCCTTAACCTGTGGGATCCAGTGCTAACTCCAGTAGACAGTGTCAGAACTGAATCCAATTAGAGGACACCCAGTTCGTCTCTGATGAAGAATTGGTTGTTGGTGGGGAGAAATGCCCACACACATTTTGGTGGCCAGAGGTAAAATGTTTTGCGTTGAGTTTGCTAAGTATGAGAGTAGAGAATAGGAAAAGCAGTTTTGTTTCGTTTTTTTCCTCAGAATGTTTATAAAGTACAGCCTCCATTTTTCCTCTTATGGAATTTAGAAAAGAGTGGGATTTTAAAAATAATCTAAGAAATTTCAGCTAATTGTAAAACTCTTCTCTCGGAGAAATACAGTAATAATAAAAGAAAAGCTAGAAGAGAAGTCAGAAGAGATCAGAGGACTTTCCTATGTGCTACAGGCACTAAGAATACAACAGGTTCAAGGTAGATACACTCCTGTCCTAGTGAGGCTTACAGACTCATGTCTTCTCAATAAGAAGAAGGGGTGTGTGTGTGATAGAGATGAAAGGTATGTGCTACAAGTGCCCAGAGATCAAATTTCCTTTCATACCTAACAACTTCCATTATACGGCAGTGTGAATGATTGATAAGGGCTGGGACTTTAGAGTGACATTTAGAAACAACTGGAACTGCCCAGTCAGTGGTGGTGTGCTTTTGGGGCATGGGGTAGGGTGGGATGGAGTGGAGTTTCTTAGCATAATAGGGTAAGATGTGAGAGTTGGAAGGAAAGAAAGATCAACAGAAGCAGTACTTACTCTTTACCCCTGTCAAGGCAGGAATGTGATAGTAATAAAATGGCAGGGCAGGGGCGGCAGCAGCCACTTCCTTTAGGAAATTAATCAGGATATCTGAAAGAACAGTAGGAACAGTCATGGTGTGAACAGGTGTAAAACAGTGGCTTTCCTGGTAAAAAAGAGAATCATCTGATGAAACACAACCATGTTTCTCAGAAGCCTCAAATTCTCAACCACTTTTACTATCCCTGCTACTGCTACTGCAATGTTTTTGCAACTCACTTCCTTCAAGTTTTATTTTCCTTTCTGTAGAAAGCCCAAAGTAAGACGATTATTCTCCTACCATACTAAACTCTATTAAAAAATTGATGAAAACCTTCCCATATATTAAGAGATGATCATGAAAAACAAGTCCATCATGTGAGACTCTTGTCGTCTTACCCCAAAAAGGCTAAGTGTGAACAGTAAACAACAGAGACTACTATAGGATAATAATAAGATTTTAATTGAGAAAATCCTGTAACAAAAAGATAAACAATATCTGCTTCAAGAGGGAAATTATAGCAGTAGTGGCACATTTTGCAAGAATTCCAGCAAAATTTGGTACTTTTCCCTTTGGGGAGAAATCCAGATACATCAAAAGAGAGCACACTCTGGTTTGCTGAGTAAGTGGGGTTTCCTGCATCATCTCATGTGAGCTTCGCCTGCAACACTACTGCAGATGATAGGTCCAGCAGCACTCCTCCTGCTTTGGATGCCACTGGGTAATAGGAGAATTTTATGTACTTAATACTGTTACGATGTGTATTCAAGTCTATGATAATATTTCTGACAAATTATTATGCATATATTCATTATTTTTCCTTTTAGGAAACATATTCACGTAAAAATTTGTAAAGCCATGTGAAAAAATTTTTAAATGTTGGGCTGGACACAGTGGCTCATGCCTGTAATCCCAGTACTTTGGGAGGCTGAGGCAGGAGGATCAAGGCCAAGAATTCAAGATCATCCTGGGCAACATACCAACATCCTGTCCCTATAAAATTTTTTTAAAAATTAGCTTGGCATGGTGGCATGCGCCTGTAAGTCCCAGCTACTTGGGAGGCCAATGGAGGAGTGTTGCTTGAGCCCAGGAGTTTGAGGCTGCAGTGAGCTATGATCATGCCACTGTACTCCAGCCTGGGCAACAGAGCAAGACCTCATCTCTAAAAAATAATTTAAAAAATTTTTAAAACTTTAAAAATGTTCATTTTAAACTCGCAATTTATAAATATTAAATTGCTTACCTAAATGAACTATTTTCTATGTATCAATAATAGCTGATATTTCATGATGATTTAGACCTATTCTGCATTTAATTACGGATTTATTTAATCATGTAGGCAAATAATGTCTGTTTTTATCCTTCTAAAATTTATACTTCTTTTTTTGCTAATCAAAAAGGATTAAAAAGACTTGGTATACTTAGACACCATAAATAGTTTCTGCAGAGAAGACAGTAGAGAAAGAGAAAGCAATACTTTGGTATTCTAGAAGGCAATGAATATTTCTGTGAAATCTCTTAAAATTCATCATTCACTCAACCTTGAATAGGATGTGTAGTCTCAAAATGCCCATCACTTATATTCTTCTAAGAAAAATGGTCCCATGCTTTGCCATGTGACTGACACCCTATGCAACTCACTGGTCTAGGAGCAGACACTTGACCCAAACAGGCATCTACAGATCAACCAGGCTCAGTGGATGACCCAATCAGATCAATTACTGGGCAAAAGAACTGAAGTACTTTAATGCAGTCTCTTTTATGGATCCAGGGAGAGCAAATATTTCAGAGAACCACTGTACCATTGCGACTTCAAGCCTCCAATCTATAGTGCTTTACTTTCACAAATTAAATATAACCATTTTGAATGGAGGCAAGAAGAAGTGGACCATGTGAGATGCCATGCATTCAGACCTATCTACTTACCTTTGGTCCATGGCTTGAGGAAGAACGGTGCAATGACAGCGATGCCATCAGCTCCTATTTCTGCTGCATGTTGGGCCTTTAAAGGAAGAAAGAAGACCATATTGGAGCAAGTGATTTACTATAGTCACCTATAGCTTAGATACTAAGATCAGTAACAAGCTCTTCAAATTTGCTAACTGATGTACCACTGGAAAGTGGGAAAATTAACCAAATTTAATGAATGTCATTGCCAGGAAAATCCCAGGTCGCAAAGTAGAGCTCCCCGATGAAGGTGAGCTGTGCACTTAATCTTATACTTCATATTTTGTCAGTACAAAAAACCTTGCTAAGGAGACGTAAGTGGTTCATTTTGATAAGTTATAACAGTTAATCGAGATATCTGCTCATGTAATTTCTGTTCTGTTCAGCCCATTGATGATACTGTCTTTTCTGTCCAATGACAAGACAGTCATATTGTAAAATTTGTATTAGATTGGGAATGCAGTTGAGACATGCTGAAAAGGAAAAGATTATATACATCACAGAAGATACTCTGCACCATGTTTCTGATATTTTCTCAAATTCCTCCAGAAAAAAGTAACATTTCCTCTTGCTGGACCCTTATAACACTATGTATCTATTTCAAATAAAGTACCTAAACCTACCAGGTTCTAAGGCAGTTGTGTATGGTGACTGTCCTCCAACTAGAGTGTAAGTCCCTCAGGGCAGGGCTCAGATCTTGCTTACCCTTGAGTCCAGGTCAATCATGGTGCTGGGCACATAGCAAGGAACCAGTAGATACTTGTTGTTTCAGAACGTGCCCCACTATCTAAAAAGGGAAAAGGGCCTTCCTTCTGAGACTTTGACTTGTAATATCTATATCTAATAGATGTGATTATCTTTCTGCAGAAGTAAACTAGAATAGTTAAAAGGAGAAGACTGGGATATAGCCCAATTAAGGCACTGGGAATAATTTCATTAACACAGGATCAGAATGTGACATATTTAAATCATTTGCTTACTACTCTGTTTAGAAAAAGAGTAGATTAACCTTAGCTGAAAGCAAGGAAAGAGGAAACACCTAAGAGAGTTGATGGCAGTGTCCATTCAAGCATCATCCAATAAAGAGTTATGGCTAAGCAGATACCGATGTTATTATCTCTTTGGCAAGACTACCCCTATACCAGGAGATTATCCCTATTCCAGAGGATTATTCATTCCAAGATTACCTCTATACTATTCGGGTGTTCAGTCCAATGGATGATACTGTCATTCATGTCATTACATGATAATATTTTAAAATTTGTATTATACATTGGAAAAGCAGCAATTGAAAAGAGAGAAAAAAGAAAAATATACCCTACACCACACTGCCTTAGTTGAAAAACCTTTTGTAAGAGAAGCAAATCAAATGTAAGAGGAATAAATCAAGTCTCTAAATTCTGATTCCACACTTATTATGGCTAATGATAGATATTCCTTTGCATCTTGCCTAAAGCACTAAGTTGCAATTTTTTGCAAATATATTATACATCCCATTTCTAAATCTAAATAGCCAAAACAATCAAACAAAACCCATTAAGAAGAAGCTGGGCCAGAAAAAGTCATTGTAATCTTTAGAGGTAGAATATCTAAGTTCTGGAAACTTGGTTAATTTATAGCAGTCCAGGTACAGGGCCTTCTGATAAACAATTTTAAACATCTTTGTGCTTTTTTTTTTTTTTTTTGAGATGGAGTCTCACTCTGTTGCCCAGACTGGAGTGCAGTGACACGATCTTGGCTCACTGCAACCTCCGCCTCCTGGGTTCAAGCAATTCTCCTGCCTCAGCCTCCTGAGTAGCTGGGATTATAGGCGCCCACCACCATGCCTGGCTAATTTTTGTATTTTTAGTAGAGACAAGGTTTCACCATATTGGTCAGGCTGGTCTCAAACTCCTGACCTCGTGATCTGCCTGCCTCGGCCTCCCAAAGTGTGTGCCTTCTTTTCTTAACCAATTCACCCAGGCCTCAGAATCACCACACCACCTGCTTTTCTGCCAGGAACTTTAACCCCTTCCTCTCTTGCCTCTGCTCCACTTAACCTGCTAATCTCTAAAGTGGGAGCAATCCAATTGTCTCTGTTCTTGTTCCTATATTCTGGCTAAAGAGTGTACCCAGAAAAAAAAAATTCCACAACGGTGCTGAAGGGTGGTATGACAAATTTATAACTTACAACTTAAGTTGGTCTTCAGCACCACCAAGCAATCCTTTTGTGTTTTAGCTCCCTCCTTTCTCCAATGCAGAATTCACATTTGCCATTCTTCAAGCCTTTACTCTATCCTTTGTCCCTCTGTGCCCTGCAGATGGCACTGCCTTCTACTTCCCAGAGAAAACTGAAATTGGCTCAGTTCTGCTCCTTACCTGCAAACTCAGCTACAGCTGCATCCATCCTTACTCTCCTTGGAGGAAGGTGCTTCCATCTCCTATCCTACAGTCATCATCACCTGGAGCTACAACCTTTTCTTTATGGCTCAATGCCTGCTTCTATGCAGTAAGCCCCTGAGATCCCACACCTTATTTCTTCAGGCACACCATCTACTACATAGCAAATATAGTACTGATTTTAACTGCGGCATAAAAATGGAGGCCCCTTGAATGGTCTCTCCCAGATGGAACTGCATACATACCAGTTCCTGTGACTCCTTCAAGCTCAGTGCTCCTACGTGAATTATCACCTGATCCAGCCTGCAAAAGAAAAAACACTGCTGCATCGCTTAGAGTTTAGAGGCATGCAGAAGGGCTGCACTATCCTGGTTTGTGCTGATTTTAGCAGTTAACTGATGCCTTATTAATCTCACTTATTAAGTTCTATAGCAATATATTTAATCTACTTAAAGGGGCTTATGGTGATCTTTTTAACCTAGGTCATTGATATCAAAGTCTTGTCATGTTACTGAGAGGTTGGTTGTGATTTGACTGTGCCTAGGATGATTCTGATTTCACAGCAGAGAATATTCAGCCCCCAAAGGAGGTATTTAAAGGCAAGGTTAAAATGGTATTCATTTCTTCCTTTCTGTAGGAATACAGCCATTTCTGCAATGACTTCATTTAGAGCCAATGGGAAGGTGGTATGTTTATACAGTATCATGGAGGTTTCATGTTACCAACAGCAGAAATATATGCTGAAAATCGTTAAATGTGTACAGAAATGGGATTCATCTCTCATTAAGTTAGAGGCAGAGGATCACAAAGATAATTTAGTCCGAGCCCATTATCTTAAATTGGAGTCTGTAGAAATTCGTCTTATATACATGCTTACAAAAAACACTTCTAAGTTGTGATAAAACACACAAAATTTAAAAATCAATTATA
This sequence comes from Homo sapiens, assembly GCF_000001405.40. Taxonomy (NCBI): domain Eukaryota; kingdom Metazoa; phylum Chordata; class Mammalia; order Primates; family Hominidae; genus Homo; species Homo sapiens. The sequence continues at coordinate 182,811,528 of NC_000001.11, read as the reverse complement.
GGTTAGGTGCAGTGGCTCATATCTATAATCCCAGCAGTTTGGGAGGCTGAGGTGGGCAGATTGCGTGAGCTCAGGAGTTCAAGACCAGCCTGGGCAACATGGCAAAACCCTGTCTCTACCCAAAATACAAAAAATTAGCCAAGTGTGGTGGTGTGTGCCTGTAGTCCCAGCTACTTGGGGGCTGAGATGGGAGAATAGCTTGAACCCAGGAGGTGGAAGCTGCAGTGAGCCAAGATCACACCACTGCACCCCAGGCTGGGCAACAGAGCAAGACCATGTCTCAAAAAATAATTAAAAATAAAAATAAATAATAAATTCTAATGGAAAGAAATGACCTAGTTTAATCATGTTTAGAATCAATTTATGTGTCAGATATTACATATGATTTTTGTAAGTAAATGATATTGCACATATTTATGTAAAAGTGCTTTGCATATATCTGGCACTGGCTAATTGTTGACTTAGATCAAATGTAAATTTAAAAAAAATCAAGATGCCAATGGTGAATCAAGCACTAGGGAAGAAATCTAATTGAGAGGTGGTACAACATAGCTGTTAAGAACTTATATCCCAGAGTTAGAGTCTTGAGCTTGAATCCTGACTGTTATGAACCAGCTGTGAACTCCTCAGAAAGGCACTTAACACCTTTACACCTCAATTTCCTGGAATAATTCAGATAATAACATTACCTGTCTCACAGGGCTATTGTAAGGATTATGTGAGTTCATGCAGGTAAAACACAGCATGGTACATGACACAGTAAATGCTTAATAAATATTAGCAGTTATTACTGTTAAGCCTTAAGAATAGAGACTTAAAGAAAAAAAAAACAAGTTTGGGAGGAAAAAAAGAGAAAAAAGAATAGAGCCTTTTAATGCTGCAAAACTACAGAAAACAGTAAAGATAAAGAATCATTAGGGATTTTAAAAAATGTCTAGGGAATAGAATTTAAGGTTCAACCAAGCAGAACTTGAAAAGCAATAATTGATTAATCAATACATGAGTACTTATTTTGGTTAAGCATTGTTTTAGATGCTGTATTTGGTGGTATCACATAAATGAAGATAGGTATGATACTGGGATATTTTTGGTTGGAGAGAAAAATAAAGAGTTTCCTCAAAGAGTAAAACCAGGAACTAGTCCTGTGAGAAGTGAATTCACTATAAAAAGCAATTTCCTATTTTGCAAATCTCCTCAGAATTTGGCCAAAAGGCGATATTTGTTCTGATACCCCGATGTTCATTTTTGGGGGTATACCATGTTCCCATCTGGGGAGAGAGAGGCCACAGTGAGACTGGTCATCTCAAAGTGGGATTAATAATGTTCAGCTGTGAATGCAGTCTTCCCAGTGAATCTTCTGAAGGACCTTGAATAACACATGCCCTCATGAGACAGAGACACCACATTCCTGTTTAGGCCCAATCACAGAGTCCTCCAGGGGTTCTTGGCTAGCTATGTCTTAGGTAAAACAGGACCTAGCTGAGAAGTGACATGATCAGGTTTGTATTTTTAAAGGATAATAGAAGACTTCTGAATGGAGAAAGGAGGGCTGACTGACCTGTTGAACTCTCACCAGCAGTTTTATTGCACGACCCCTCCCTTCACTACCCCTTTCTCTTGGTTTAGGTGAAGCCAATCATCCATTTGCTCTTCCTCTTTCTCCTGGGCTGCTAGGCACAGCTACCACTGTTGGAAATTTAAAATACACATTTCCTAGTAATCTCCCAATCCAGGAGGAGGCTCCAACGAGCCTTCTGGCTGTCATGACTCATTTCTCTGGAGTGGCTACTCCAAATCTTGACTATTCCTGTCAAGTTCTAAATTCTACCCAACTCCTTGTTCTGGGCAGATGTCCTAGAGTCCCAGAGACCAAAGATGAAGAAGCTTTCACACACAGACTCCCTTATCCTTCCTTCTCTCCACCTGTGTGTGGGGCTATATCACCATTTGCTTTCCTCCTAGCTTCTCAACTTTTTTTTTTTTTTTTTTAAGATGGAGTCTCACTCTGTCGCCCAGGCTAGAGTGCAGTGGTGCAATCTCAGCTCACTGCAACCTCCACCTCCAGGGTACAAGTGATTCTCCTGCCTTAGCCTCCTGCTTAGCTGGGATTACAGGTACCTGCCACCATGTCCGGCTATTTTTTTGTATTTTTAGTAGAGACGGGGTTTTGTCAGGTTGGCCAGGTTGGTCTCAAACTTCTGACCTCAGGTGATCTGCCTACCTTGGCCTCCCAAAGTGCTGGGATTACAGGTGTGAGCCACTGTGCCAGGCCTTCAGCTGTCTTCTAAAGCTACTCCGTCTACTTTGGGTTGTGCGGATGGTCCCCAACTTATGATGGTTTGACCTTAAAATGGGGTGAAAGCATCATTACACTCCCTGACTTATGACAGGGTTATGTCTTTAAAACCCAATGTAAATTGTAAGTTGAATGAATTTCTGATCAATCCATCAGGATGTAATGCTGTCATCAGTGGAGGAACATCTGTATGTCAAACCCCTAGCCAAATCCCCCTATCCAAGACCTTCCATCAAAGGTATCAATTCACCACTTTTTTTTTTTTTTTTTTTTAAGACAGGGTTTTGCTCTTTCACCCAGGCTGGACTACAGTAGTGTGATTTTGGCTCACTGCAACCTCTGTCACCCCGGGCTCAAGTGATCCTCCTGCCTCAGCCTCCCAAGTGGCTGGGACCACAGGGGCATACCACTATGCCCGGCTAATTATTATTTTTATTTTTTATAGAGACAGGGTCTCTGTATGTTGTCCAGGCTGGTCCTGATCTCCTGGGCTTAAGCAATCTGCCTGCCTTGGTCTCCCAAAGTACTGGGATTACAGGCATGAGCCACTGCACCCAGCCAAGGTTTACCAGTCTTTTCTGTATCTTTAATCTCTTCTTCCATGGCAGTGTCCTTTCAGCACAGAAACACGCTCAACATTTTTCCACTTAACAAAACTACCCTTCTTTCAATCTTGCCTATTCCTTCCTTCCTAATGTATGACTCCATCTCTCCTTCCCTTTGCCAGAAAACTTTTTGTGAGGATCAGCTGCACTCACCGCTCCCACTTGCAGATGTCTGCTGCATTCTATAACTCAACTGCAGTCTGGCTTCTCTACAATAACCTGACTGGCCCTGCTCTTTCAGAGGTCATCAGTGACTTCCTATGATGTGTCAAACCTAGTGGTCTTCTCAGTCTTTCGTGTGCTGACTTTCATGGCATCTAATAGTTATTATAACAAACGTTATAATGAACATAGCATTTACTGCATCTAAATAGTTACAATGAATTCTTACATTAGCGTGAATGTGTTATGTGAACTGTGCCTGCCAGGCACTTTTCTAATCCTCACTACAACCTCATAAGTGAGATATGATTATTACTTCTATTTTAGGGATGAAGCACACAGAAGTTAGGTGATGTGCCTGAGTTCCCAGAGCTAATAAGCAGAGCTGGGCCTCTAACTCAGGCAGTCGGGCTCTATGGCCCCTGCTACACTGACAGTCTCTGAAATCATTCTCTTCCCTGGCTGCAGTGACAGGACTCACTCCCAACTGGCCTCCTACCCTCTGAGGGCTTTCTGTCTCTGCCTACTTCCCTGTCCCTCATTTTTGGTACTGTTCTTTTTTTTTTTTTTTTTTTGAGATGGAGTCTCACTCTGTCACTCAGGCTGGAGTGCAGTGGCGCGATCTTGGCTCATTGCAAGCTCCACCTCCCAGGTTCACGCCATTCTCCTGCCTCAGCCTCCTGAGTAGCTGGGACTACAGGAGCCCGCCACCATGCCTGGCTAATTTTTTTTTTTTTTTTTTTTTGTATTTTTAGTAGAGACGGGGTTTCATCCTGTTAGCCAGGATGGTCTCGATCTCCTGACCTCGTGATCCGCCCGCCTTGGCCTCCCAAAGTGCTGGGATTACAGGCATGAGCCACCATGCCCGGCCAGTACTGTTCTTAATGTGTGCCCTTAGCCCTCCTGTTTTCACACTCTGCCCATGGTCCTTAATATTTTTGGACCCTAGATCTCACGAAATTAACTGAAAGCTGATGACTCACCAGAGAATGCTTCTGTGGATATGCACTCAAATTTGGCACATAATTTCAGAGTACTGGAGCTGCCCTGAAGCCATTAAGGATTCCCAAGGTCATCATGGGCTTCACACTGACAACCTCTGCTCACTTGGAACTTACCTCCAATCTTTTACCTCCACCTAAGACAACGTCAATTACTCCCTTTTTTTTTATACATTCATCAGAAGGGTTGGGGTGTTAGTTTTCATGATCTAACACCCCTACCGGATGGTCAGCAACCTGAAGGCAGAGCCCTTACTTTATACTGCTGGTGCCTAGCACAGTACATAACATATAACACTGTAACAGACAAATCAATAAAACTTAGTTGGCCGGGTGTGGTGGCTTACACCTGTAATCCCAACACTTTGGGAGGCCAAGACCGGTGGATCACGAAATCAGGAGATCAAGACCATCCTGACTAACACAGTGAAACCCCATCTCTATTAAAAATACAAAAAATTAGCCAGGTGTGGTGACATGCGCCTGTAGTCCCAGCTACTCGGGAGGCTGAGGCAGGGGAATTGCTTGAACCCCGGAGGCAGAGGTTGCAGCGAGCTGAGATCGCGCTGCACTCCAGCCTGGGCGACAGAGCAAGACTCCGTCTCAAGAAAAACAAAAACAAAAACAAAAAAACAAACTTAGTTAAACTGGAAGTGCTATGGAACTGATACTATCCTGTTTGTTCAACCATGGCATGAATTGGGTGTTACAAAAATTTATCACTGCATGGAAGTTTATGGGCTACAGAAAGTCCTCCAACAGCGCAAGAGGAAGCACCATAAAAGAGCACATTGAGTTGGATGCACAGAGACCTGTCAGGAGAAGTGGGCCAATACAAGCATCAGGCGCTCATCCCAAGAAGGGAAGGGGTGTGAGTTGCTCAGTGGAAGAGCCAAGTGACCAGCAGAGTCCGTCACCACCCTCCCCTCTTACCTTTCAGCCCAAAGACGGGTAACTGTGAGGGGACTGGCCTTGTAGACAGGTAAGAAGCAGTTTCCCAGCGGAACCTCTGGGTGGCAGGTGTGTCTAGCAGTTTGGCTGCCCTTCTGCACAGAAAGGGAGGGGGCTCTTCTCCAAGAAGCCAGGATCCCGGGGGCCCTGCTCATCTTCCCACCAGCTGACCTCAAGCCCCGGCTCTGACCAGGAAGCAGGGAGGGCGTATCCTCTGGGGAAGAGGCTCACTGAATACAGCTGTTGCCAAAGGGCATTTTTATCCTCATGCAGCCACTCACTTGTCCTTCCCTTTTGTCACCCACTCCTCTGCAACCTGGCGACGCTCTGAGACGCTCAGGGACAGGCCTTCTCCTGTTGTGCCATTCACTGTTCAAACAAAGAGTAAGTCAGCAGGACCAAGGAGCACCTCTGCTTCTCCAACCCCGAGTCTGAAAGTGCAGGGTCAGAAACCACTGCACTGAGGATGGTCAGGAGGGGAAAATGCCATGTTTCCATTTTCACTTCAGACTCCATCTTTTTTCCACTTTCACCTTGTCAAAGGCAGTGGGAAGGTTAATTGTGACTTGTAATTATAAATCTGACCTTGATATTAGGGACAGTCAGGAAATATTTTAAATAAAGACAGAGATGACTGCCCACATTTTACGTCAATCTCCAAACACACTACCCAGTTTTATATCTGGGCTTGAATGGCAGGGAAATCAACACTATCTAGTACCAGGATGTCAAATAAGTGGGAGTTACTCATGCGGGTGCTTTTGTATACTACAGATCTCAAACTATCTCCATTTACAGTTTGACATGATGGTAGTGCTCTAGGACAACTCGTTTTTTAGATAAATATTTCATAAATAAGCACAAAGGATATTAATATTTCTTATACCAAGTGCTCTTACATATCCACTTACTCTCACAACAACCCAGCAAAGTAGAAATTATTTTTCTCATTTACAGATAAAAAGATAAAGTCTGAAACAGAAAATAATTTAAGTTTGAATCCAGAGTTGTGTGATTCCAAAACTCATCATCTTTCCTCTTTTCCTTCTACTACAATCATTTCTATTTTATTTCATTTTTTTGAGACAGAATTTTGCTCTTGTCGCCCAGGCTGGAGGGCAGTGGCGCCATCTTGGCTCACTGCAACCTCTGCCTCCCAGGTTCAAGTGATTCTCCTGCCTCAGCCTCCTGAGTAACTGGGATTACAGGGACCCACCACCATGCCCAGCTAAGTTTTTGTATTTTTAGTAGAGATGGGGTTTTGCCATGTTGGGCAGGCTGGTCTTGAACTCCTGACCTCAGGTGATCTGCCCGCCTCAGCCTCCCAAAGTGCTGGGATTACTGGTGTGAGCCACCACACCCGGCCTACTACAATCATTTCTTAATGGATCACAGAAAGATGCCTATGGCAGTAGGATACATTACTGAGGTCTCATGCATATGGTGGCACTCTGAATCTCTAAGCACTCAGCACTGGGTTGGAAGAAGGGAGGTTGGGGAGGCAGGGGAGGGAAGTCGGAAAGTATTTTTAACCACTTCTTTGAGGTCTTGACTTCAAGTATACTCTGGTCATAGGGATATTCCTGCTTTTTCCTCATACCCAGGGGAGATCTGCTGCCCTTTGTTGAGTAAGAATCTGCCTTCTCCACTATGGCTTAGCGCTGTAGAGGGACATTGAGTGGTTTTGTAATCAGGTCTCAGTTTTGACCTGTGGCCCAGGACACTTTTTCCACACAAGTTTTAATCTGCTCTGATTATTATTACCAGGTACCTCTGGCTCTGGAGGGGCTCCTGTTGGTAGAGCAGTAGGTCAGGACCAAGGTGTAGTGTTCTCAGAATAAAAATGCATCCAAGGGTCCGAGAGCCCAGAACACTAAGCAAGGGACAGCTCAATCGCAGGTAAGTATAGCTGTCAGGCTTAAAATGTTCAAGATCTAATTTTTTAAACTTTCACTTCTATGAAATAAAAGGGGATAACTACTAGTCCTGTGATTTCTTTGTGTGCTACACTTAGAGTCTTTCTTCCATTCACAATTTGAAAGGCCAGGGGAAGACAGAATAAAGCCCATTCTTAAGAGAGAGAAGAGGCTGGGCGCGGTGGCTCACGCCTGTAATCCCAGAATTTTGGGAGGCTGGGGCAGGCAGATCACCTGAGGTCAGGAGTTCGAGACCAGCCTGTCCAATATGGCAAGACCCTGTCTCTACTAAAAATACAAAAATTAGCCAGGTGTGGTGGTGTGCGCCTATAGTCCGGCTACCCAGGAGGCTGAGGCAGGAGAATTGCTTGAACCCGGGAGGTAGAGGTTGCAGTGAGCTGATGGTGCCACTGCATTCCAGCCCAGGGGGAGATAGAGCAAGACTCCATCTCAATAAATAAATAAACAAAAGAGAGAAGAGTGTTTAGTTGTTACTTAAGAGGGTTTGGTTGTTACTCTACCACTTCTTGGCTGAATGGCCTGGGGCAACCTAGAGTATATCTGAGTCATATATTTTCATCTCCAAATGGGGATAAAAAATAATACCTTAAGTGTTGGCACACTATCAAATGAGGTAATCTCTTGAGGTGCTTTGTAGGTCTAAGATTGGTGGGCCTACAAATTCACAAATTTTAGTTAGCTTAGCCAGGCTCCATCATAACCTGTGACACCATGACTGTGTGACCTCTTGGCTGGTAACCAGGTAAGATATACCTTCTAAAGACTGAGCTGGAGACATGCAGCGACATCCCCAGAGTTGACTTACCAAAAATGTTCTTCACTCCCTGTTCTTTCACAAGATAATCCACATACTGACCAATTACTGAAAAGTTGATTTCTCTAGAAGACATGTGGAAAAAAAGGCATATTTAGTCTTTTTCAGATTATTATTCAACAAATGCTCAGGTATATAAACTGCTCCCTCTTGCTAATAGTTATTAAAAATCCACTCAATTTGTGAAATTCTTAGCCTGCTGTAAATAATGCCTGGGGTTTTTTTCCCCCCCTGAATCTGGTGATTTCTTCACTCAGCCATGTATGCCTCACTTCTGTGAGCAAAACACTGTTAGTTATCAACAGAGGCTTTATATTTACACCTCATGACAAGCAGTATTTAAAAAGTAGTTAACGAACTATCTTTTGCCCAACGCTCTCTCTTTAAAGTCCATATGGCCACACATCTTTTGCCCTTTTAGGGGAAGATTGATGGTTGCAGACATGGTTAAATGAGAACTTAACATTTGCCATTTGATCCCAAGTACTGGGATTACAAGTATGAGCCATCATGCCTGGCCTGTCCCTTCTTGCGTTTTCCCACCCTACTCTTAGGGTACTTAGGTCTATTTTCATCGCTGGAGGCCATTATCCATGATCAATTATTAGGAAGTCATTACAGAGGATGGAAACATTCATTTCTTAGGCTCACAGGATAGGAAAAGTCAATCTTAATATTATAAGAATTTTAGCACTTAATATTTGGGACAAACATGGAGTCTTAAACCCATCTGTATTTGCTGGTTTTACATTGAACAAGGTTAGCAGTTAGAAGGGAACTTTGTCATCACTTTGCCTCTCAAAGGCGGAACAGCAGCATCAGCATCTGGGGGACTTTATTAGACACATGGAATCCCAAGCCCCACACAGTCCGGCCCAGTTAGAATCTGAATTTTAACAAGATCGCCGTGTGATCTGCATGCACTTGGCAATTTGAGGCACACTAACCTTGTAAGGATCTGATGCTTAAGGTTAAGATCTCTTAAAATCATATTGATTTCAAAATCTAAAAACTGACTCCTCACAAGTTGTATTAGGCAACCTGTCCTCAATCAAAATGCAGGAGGGGAATGATGGGCAATGAAGAGTGAAATTCAAAGGAAAATGGTGCAGCAAGCCTGCATTAAATGGTTACACTGTGCCCATGGTTACCCTGCCAAGAACACAGAGTGCTAGCTGGCTGCCACCGCACTTTTGTCTGTAGGGCCAGAGAATCCTAATTGAAGTTTGGCCTTATTAACATTCTTTTCACCTTTACCTATGGTAATTCCTTAAACAACAAAAACAAAAAAAAAAATCTGATGCATCTAGGAAACAAAGGCATCAAAATGTACATGTCAAAAGGCATAAGAACAAAATGAGGAAAGATAGAGAACAGCTGACTCTGAGTTTAAAAGGAAAGCTATTAAATGCAAAGAATGCACAGGCAATCATGCCTATAACAAGCTCAGAGAAAAGATAGCAGGCCTGAGCCTGCCACTTGGGAAAAGGTGTGTTAATGCAATTATAAAGCCTATAAGGGGAGCGAACTCCCTCATTATGGCACATGCCTCCATATCCTAACACTGCTCCCTCCTGACCTCTGTCTGCACCTGGAACAGCCCAGGTGTTCAGCAAAGGCTGGGCAAAGGAGTGGTGATGTGGGAACTTACAATGATGAAATCACCACAAGCTCTGCCTTTACAAGCAGGTTAGCACCACGCTTGCATAATATTTTGAAATTTCACTATTACATTAATTAAAGAAGATAGTATACGTGATTAAAATAGCAAAATATAATGAAGGTTATGACTGAGGCAAAAAGTAATTGTATGGGGGCTCAGAAGAGGACTGATAAATGACAGCTAGGGAGGCTGGAAAGAAGACATTGGATAAATAGGACAAAACCCTATGTCCTCCTTCCCTCCAACATTTTTTTGTTTTTTTGGAGACAAGGTCTCACTCTGTCGCCCAGGCTGGAGTGCAGTGGTGTAATCGTGGCTCACTGCAAGCCTTGACCTCCTGGGCTCAAGTGATTCTCTTGCCTCAGCCTCCCAAGTAGCTAGGACCACAGGTGCAGCTAACTTGAAAATTTTGGGTAGAGATGAGACCTCACTATGTTGCCCAGACTGGTCTCGAACTCCTGGGGTCAAGCGATCCTCCTGCCTTAGCCTCCCAAAGTGTTGCGATTACAAGTGTGAGCCACTGAGCCCGACCCCTCCAACATTCTTGAGAGATACTGTTTGCTCTGTCCTATTCTAGTATCATCCTCTTTTTAGGGAGTTGGCTGCACCCTTAGGCAGGTCTAGGCCAGTATGTGAAACTAGAAGCTCCTTTTTTCTCCATGAACTTCACAGTTTTGATGGCCTCAGTGGATAGTGCTTCGACCTACCCTCACCTCTCTCCCTCAGGCCTTGCTGGGAGGCAGGCTATTCAGCTGACAATTTCACTCAGGGTTAGAGGTCTAATGGGTTTTGCATTATCTGTCCCTTCAAGAAAGGAGAAAGTAGGTTGCTGCTTCTTATAAAATGCCCCTAACCTACAAGAATGACACTAATGGCAGAATTTTGGGGGCAGTGGTCATCATCCAGAAAATGTTCTTGGACTTAAGTCCTTTTGGAACTACCAGACCTCTTTAGAGAGATCTAGGTTGAAAAGGGGCTAACTCTAAATATGTTTGACTTTGACGATATTGTATTTTTTCTTTAAAAAAATGAGTATTTGAAAAGCCAGAAAAATCTAACAATGTCAGGGCTGCTGGGCATGGTGGCTCATGCCTGTAATCTCAGCACTTTGGGAGGCTGAGGTGGGTGGGTCACTTGAGGTCAAGAGTTTGAGACCAGGCTGGCCAACATGGTGAAATCCCGTCTCTACTAAAAATGCAAAAATGAGCCAGGCGTATTGGTGGGCACTTGTAATCTCAGCCTGTAATAGGGATGCTGAGGCAGGATTGCTTGAACCCGGGAGGTGGAGGTTGCAGTGAGCCAAGATAGCACCACTGCACTCCAGCCTGGGTGACAGAGCGAGACTCGGTCTCAAAAAAAAAAAAAAAAAAAAAAGCCAGGGCTACATTTCCATACAGCTGGAAATTAGAAAAAGCAGCAGTAGGCCCTACTTTAGAGGACTGGATGCCCCCAGGTCCCTCAGGCATTTCAGATCCCTGCCTGACTCTGCAGGTGCAAGTTTGCAGCCTTGGGCTGGGATGCTCAGCAGCTCCAGGCACAAGTGGGGGTGAAATCATCCAGGGCTGCTACCACATTTGTTACATAGGTACCCAAAAGGCAGGGTTAGGGCGAAAATAATTCTCCTTGAGGATTCTGTCCGTTTTTTTTTTTTTTTTTTTTTTTTTGAGACAGGGTCTTGCTCTGTCACCCAGGCTGGAATACAGTGGCACAATCACGGCTCACTACAGCCTCAATCTCCCAGGCTCAAGTGATCCTCTGGCCTCTGCCTCCCCAGTAGCTAGGACTACAGGTGTGTGCCACAACGCCCAGCTAATTTTTGTATTTTTTGTAGAGACAGGGTTTTACCAGGTTGCCCAGGCTGGTCTCGAACTCCTGGGCTCAAGCAATCTGCCTGCCTCGGCCTCCCAAAGTGCTGGAATTACAGGTGTGAGCCATCATGCCCAGCCTGTCCCTTCACTTGTTTTCCCACCCTACTCTGATGGTACCTAGGTCTATTTTCATCACCAGAGGCCATTAACCATGATCGGTTACCAGGAAGTCACTAGAGAGAATGGAAACAATGAGATTGGATTATTCTTCTGCCCACCCACTGGGCATTTGGAGCTCAGTGCTCACAGAAGTGAGTTGACAGAAGTCAATTCACTTGAATAGGCTGCACAGCACCTTCTCTTCTTTCATGAGCCCCAAGAACACATCTAACAACTGGGCACATCAGGGGAGAGTGACCCAGAACCAAATTCCATGCTTGCTGTAGTCATTTTTATATTTAAACCCAGTTTAATGTCTTAATTTCAATTCCTGGGGATTCAGATTCTTTGCGTTGGGTTTAGATTCATGCCTTGGGGCTTTTTTTTTTTTTTTTTTTTTGGAGACAGGGTCTTGCTATGTTGTCTAGGCTGGCCTCAAACTCCTGAATTCAAGTAATCCTCCCACTTCAGCCTCCCAAGTAACTGGGACTACAGATGTGTGCCACTGTGCCCCACTAATTTTATTTAACTTTTTTTTTTAATTACAGGAGCTATATAGTTTACTTTAGAAAGTACATACAATAAAAAAAGAAAACCCACTCAGGATATCTCTGGAGATGATTCCTCTTAGTTTGATATTTTTCTATTCACAAATACACATTATATTTTCTTGTATAAATATGGCCGTATTAGACACAGTTTTATACTTTTCATTCAGCATTCTAATTTTAACATCTTCCCACATTTTTAGATGGTCCATTACTATACCGGCTAAACAACATTCTATTTTATGGATGAGTATAATTACTTTTTCTAATTGTCTGTTCTAATTCCTTTTTCTAATTGTCTGTTTTTAGACATTTAGTTTGCCCAAACTACATAAGCGGAAGAAAGTCTTCTGTTCTTTTTGCCACAAATTGAGGTCCAGAGTGGGTGGATTGTGAAACTGCAGGTAGACTCTACAACTCTTCTCTTACGGTAAAAGGGTAATAGAATTTTTCCTAAGTGGCTTTTCAGGGAGAAATCCCTATTGCTGTTTGTTTCCTCTCCTGGTGCACGAACCACCATGAAAGACTTTCACTTCATCTGAGAAGACAGAATCCACAGGACAGGCTATTTTCATACCTGACATGATGTGGCATGCATATCAGAAAATCTGATTTTCCATTTTCTTTTGCCTTTTATACATATCTCTCAGCATTCAATCAGATAGCAGTTATATGCACTCTTGGCAAAACAGCCACTGGTTATTTTAAAATTCTTTCAGCAGGGAGGCAGGCAGGGACTAACCTGCCCACCCTGTTGGAGGTGGAAAATGTTCTGTTCTGGGAGTCTGGGTCCCCTCGTCTCCCAAAGACTGTTAAAAAGACAATAATCTATGCCAGTCTGACTCTAGCAGGCCAGGCCTTTCCTCACTGGGGTAACAGCTTTGTTTTTACCAGAGGGTATTGTGAAGATTCCCCAGGGTGATGCCAAGAACATTTGAGGGAAAAAACACAACTTTTTTCTCGACATTTTAGATCTGAAATGGACTTTCTGGTCTAATGACTGTGAGCCTGCCCAAAGAAAAAGTGAGTTCTTAGAACAAATAAGGAAAGCAAGTCTTGGCTGGCGCAGCTGCTCATGCCTGTAATCCCAGCACCTTGGGAGGCCGAGACGGGCGGATCACTTGAGGTCAGGAGTTTGAGACCAGCCTGGCCAACATGATGAAACCCCGTCTCTACTACAAACACAAAAATTAGCCGGGCAGGGTGGTGCATACCTCTAATCCCAGCTACCCGGGAGGCTGAGGCAGGAGAATCACTTGAGCTTGGGAGGGGGATGTTGCAGTGAGTCGAGATTGTGCCACTGCACTCCCGCCTGCTGCGAGACTTTGTCTCAAAAAAAAAAAAAAAAAAAGCAAGTCTTTCATTAGACTTACTAGTGTATAAAAAGGCAAGGGTTGGATAGGTAGAGAAATCCTACCTTTCTAGCTGTGTGGCTTGGGGCAGCTGGGCTAGCCTTTAGGATCTCCGTTTCTTCAACTGCCAGGACAGAGATACCTATGGCTCCCTCACATAGCTGTTGTCAAGATTAAGTGGGAACATGTAAATGAAAATGCCTGCATGATGACTGACATAGCATCAATCAGTGTTTGCTTCCTTCCCTTTTTCTCGACTATCAGCACTAGTAATTCCTGCAGTATATTCACTCATAAAATAACAAAAGCTACCACAACTATGCCACATGCTTAAGATATAAGATAAATAAGATAATTTCTCAGTTCTTGTATATTATTGGCATTCAATATCTATTGAACAGGGCTAAGCAGCTCAAAGCCTGCTGGAAGACATAGACAAGTAACAAAAAGTTATTGTAATAATAAACAAATAATTCTGATGCAATACAAAAAGGGTGCTATGGGATCACAGGGGAAGAGTATGGACAGGGTGCTATAGAAGGGTCATCTAACTCCTTTTAAGAGAATTGGGGAAGAATTTCTAAGGATGGTTTTGATAGATGAGTAGAAGTGTTCAAGTGGAGCAAGAAAGAAGAAGATGGTGGTAGAAAAAGGCAGAGGAAAGAGAATGAGTGAAGGCATGAAAGGCAGAAGAGGTATGGTGACAAAGAAATGAAGCAGGAAAGGTAAACTGTGAGGACTTCCTATGCCATCCCAGGGAGTCTGGGCTTTAATCTTTAGACCGGCTCATCTCAGACTTTAATGCGCTAAAGAATCATCTGGGACACTGTTAAAATGCAGGACTGATCTGTAGTATGATACAGCCCGAGCTTGTGCATTTCTACCAAGTTCCCATGGTGGTGGAGCAACTGGTCCATGGGCCATATGATGGGTAGCAAGGCTTAGACAAAAGAGAGTCAAGATTCCTAAAGAGGAGAGTGACATGATCAGATTTATTTACTAGGAAGCTCACTGAGCTACAGTGTGGACGATGGACTGGAATTATAGGTACTTTATACATTCTTATTTAATGGTGATCCCCACAATATCCCCAATGACATGAGAGGACTGCAGACTCTTAAGAGTTGGAAAGGGTCATAGAGATAATGTGGTTGAACTTCCTTTGGAGAATATGAAAGAGCTTTTTTTTTTTTTTTTTGAGACATATTCTCACTCTGTTGCCCAGGGTAGAGTGCAGTGGAATGATCTTGGCTCACCGCAACCTCTGCATCCCAGGTTCAAGCGATTCTCCTGCCTCAGCCTCTTAAGTAGCTGGAACTACAGGTGTGCGCCACCACGCCAGGCTAATTTTTGTATTTTTAGTAGAGAGGCGGTTTCACCATGTTGACCAGGATGGTCTCGATCTCTTGACCTTGTGATCCGCCCACCTCGGCCTCCCAAAGTGCTAGGATCACAGGCATGAGCCACCGTGCCCGGCCGAGAGAGCTCTCAAAAGGTGACAAGATCTCCCCAGGGTCGGAGAGCTAACTAGTGGCAAAGCTTGGGATCCAGGACTCACATCATTTCACTAAGATCTACTTACCCATGTTCTTTCTGCCAGCTACCCTACTCCAGGACATCAACTTATATGCAGAAAGCTGAATTGTTACTGAGCTTTCATTGGAATTGAGAAGAAAAAAGGATATAGGGAAATAGTCCTTGTTCAGCCACTCAGAATTATGGAGGATATGTATATGTACATGCCAGGTTAGGAGAACTCCCACAATGGCAGGTCACCTGGCAGTATTTCCAGGTATTAGATTCCATGTGCCCCTTCCTTCCATCTCATGTCTTAGAAACATGCCAGAAGTGCAGATTCCCTTGTGGGTAAGTACATTAAAGCCTACGTGTTCTTGGTGGGTGTTCCAAAGCTACTTTATACCTACAGGAATGTTTGATGAAGCAGGTGGTGGGAGAAAAGGGAACTAACATGGCTCACATGCCTACTCTGTGCTATACACTGACCTACACTATTTATTTCTTAAAGAGCCTACACATAATGCATTCTTTTTTTTTTTTTTTTTTTTGATTTCACACCTTAGGAAAGTAAGGTTCCTAGAAGAAAAACGCAGAATTGATGAGAAAATAGTAAAATGGATGCAGCAGGACCACAGATTTTTGGGAAACGGAAAAAGATCCAGAAAAAGTCATTTTAGTTATCTCTATCATGGGATCTGGCCTTCCAGGAAAACGGCAAAACAGGGAGGAAGAACACACTGACATTGTCCGTGGGTCCCTGATGAACAAACAAGACTGTTTTAAGAAGCCACTTCCAGGATAAGAGGGGTCTTATTAAAAGGTTAAAGTAGTATGGACCAGATGCAGTGTTAGGAGATTACAGAAAGGATCTCACTCTGTAACAGGAAGTAAATCCTGCCGATTCATGCAATCACATGTCTTCTGTTTGATCTGCGAACAAGTGACTGATGCATTGAGAAACAGCTGATGCCAGTCTTTCTTAAAACTTGTGGAAAGGGGAAGTAACAGAAAAAAAATTATTATTAACCAGCTGAGTAATCTAAATGCCGTATCAGCAAGAATCTTATTTAGACCTAGTAAGGACGTGATTTTTCATGGATCTTAGAAGCCAGAAGTCTTGGACTCATTGGAGAGTCTCTAAGGTAGAACTGCAAAATGGCCAACTTTGAAGGAGAATACTAAAAGACATGAGAAATTTCATCTCCTTTAAAAGGGTAAGATGAACGTTTATAAATTCAGCAACAGAAGACCAAAAAGAAAGTCCCTTGTAAAAGGTGTACTAAATACATCTTCCTTTTGCCTCTGCCTTATGACATAAAGGCAGTTCAAACTTTTTGACCTAAGTGCGTATTGACCCTGTGCCAAGCACTGTTGTATGAATTATCTCATTTAATGCTTATAATTCATTATGTAGGTATGATTATTATTATAATATTACATAGAAAGAAAGGAGAAGCTTAAATAAGCCAGCATTCTAACTTTTTGGCAGCCTGACTCCTCTGACAGGTCAAAAACATATAGATCCAGGAGGTGGATGAACTCTCTTTTGTCAGGGGTGATGTTCAAGGAGGAGTTATACACAGTGCATGGCTCCCTATGTCACAGGGCCTTTTTGTTATCTGATTTTTTAGCAGAAGGACTGCCACTGTATTCATCTGGAGGTCAAAATACTTGCTTGGGGTAATGATTAGTCAACAACGGACTGTTGTTACTTCCCTTCCCCCGCTGCCCAACATCTAGTCAATGTTGAAATGAGGCTGTAAACAGGAAAAAAGAGTCCATCTTGCAGATAACCTCCCACTTTCCTCAGGGTAGGACATTTTTATCAAGTCTATGAACAGCCTGAAGTGGAATCATGCTGACGTCCAGAGACAGCATCCTGAGAGGGCCTAGGTCAGTGCTTGATATCCAATTATGCTAAAATGGGATTCTCATCCAATGCTACTGGCCCTGTTTAGAAAGGCCAAGGCTGTGGTGAAATCCAAGGAGAATTTGCTCTGTGGTGCTACAGACACTGGGAGAAAGGCAAGCTGCCATTTCTCACCTTCTCCCTTTCTGCAAGGTGATATAGTGCTTCTCTGACTTTGGGGTCAGAGATATAATGCCTCCTCAGACTTGGGGATCAGAGACAGTGCAGAGGGATGACAGACAGAAGCTGCCTTTTGGCAACAGTTCTACAGAGGTGCAGGGTCTTAAGTGACTGTTGTTACAAAGAACTTCTCTCCTTTTTGGTTGAATGAGAACTGATCCCCTCAAGGCCCCAAATGATAGTTACCCATTCTCAGTCATTGGCGTGATGGTTGCAGCCACAAGACCCTGAAGTTTCTTCTTTGGGAAGGCCATTGAGCTGCTGGTAGGTCTGGAAAACATACAATGTAATTTCTCTCTTTCTTCAAGGAATGTCAATGATAAAACTCCCAGGCAAAGTCCATTTCTAGTTTAGAACTGTAAAATGTGCTTACAAGTACACAAACACACAGAGCAAGTACAAGATGGTAAAATTTTAGTGCTTAATTCTATTGAGGAGGAAACTTTAAGACAGGAGAGGGTAGACTTGAGAAAATACTACGTGGACAGTCTCCCATTTTAGCTATACAGATGATGGAAGCAATCTAACACCTCAAAGGATAGAGGTTAACAGCAGCAGACCCAAGAAAGAGCTTGAACCTAACTCAGGTAAGTAAAACATACAGTGAATTATAGTCATGCCTCAGTATACACAGAAGATCAGTTCCAGGACCTTCGTGTATACCAAAATCCATGCCTACTCAAGTCACACAGTCAGCCCCAAGCCTGGCATATGAGAATTCTGCATCCTGCAAATACTGATTTTCTATCCGTATTTGGTTGAAAAAAATCTGTGTAAATGGACCTGCACACTTCAAATCAACGTAATTCAAGGGTCAACTGTACTATTACTTAAACTGAAATATGGTCATAAAAGGGGACATTTTCTCTTTCCATTGTCTTCATTCTTAGAATCTCACCTAAAACAAGCCTGTCTTAAGGTTTCATCATGATTTACATAACTACCTTCAGATTTACCTATCTTTTTATATCCTAATTTTGCCCAGTTTTGTCCAGTTTTCCTAGTTCTAGTTAACCATGTAGACTGCATATTCACCTCCCTCTTCCCCACTACAGCAGGCTCCCAGGACAGGGATGTTTCATTTGCCTTTGCTCTCTGCAGTGAGCCCTCTGCTTGACACCAGGTGTTCAATTCAAGAGCGAAGAATATGTGGGTGACTGAACGAGGTGTTCAGACTGTGACTGGATGATGGCTTCCACAGATGGGTAGCGCACTGCTGGAAGAGTCCAACTCACACCACTCATTTGGGGCCAAAGGATCTCTCACCATCTGGCAGAGAGTGTACCTGCCCATAATCAGTGTAAAAGACTCTGGATGGGCCACAAGAAGCAACAGAGCAGACTGGTTAACAGCCTCAGTTCCATAGGCAGACCACCTGGTTCAACTCACAGCTCTGACATTTGCTAGTTCTAGAAGCATTATTGTTTTTTGAGCTATAAGACATAAAAAGCCACAAATGCAATTTCAGACCACAAATTTAATGTCTAACAATTGAAAATGAAAATAAAATATAATCAGATAGTATTTGATGACAATTCTACAAAAGATAGTGGTCTTGTAGCAAATAAAGTGATGTCTGTAGGTGACCAACAAGAAGGGTTATGCTATAGTTCTGACATTACTGGCACATTCAAAAATGCAATGCCCACTATACTTAAATCTAACCCACATAATGTAGTACTTAGTTATAAGCTATCTTGTTTTGTTTGCTCTTCTAATTGTTCATCTTATCTTCCCAAATAGGAGAATAAACTTCTGAAGTACAGAGACCATATCTTCTATTTTTCTTCCCCAAGAGTCTTGGCTCAGGTAAGCCCTTGAGAAACACTGACTGTTTTCAGTAGAAAGACAACACGATACTTTCCTTGCAAACAGACATGTTCTCAGCAAGAGTTGCTCCTAAAATCAAGACCAAGTCCTGCATGTAGCTTTGCTCTGTATTTCCTAGTTCAAACATGAGACTAAAAGCAGATTGGAAGTTTAGAAAGATGAATCCAATAACCTGGCCCATGGGAAAACACAAGATAATAAATCATAAGATGTGGCTCTAATCACTCTTTGAGCTTCATGTGACCACCCTCAGTACAATAAGCAGGCCACTTAGCCTCTGAGCCTTAAAGGCCCATAACCTAAGCCATCTCCCCACTGGAGGGATGTTTAAGTATCAAAGGAGATTGATGCTATGCCTGCTGTATATCTTCACCTAGCACTCCCACAAACATCTCAACTTAACATGCCCAAAGGGACCTGCCATCTCCTTTGTTCCTTACTGTAGAGGGGTGAGAGGGCCAGCTCTGGAGTCAGACCTCATGGATCTGCATCCTGGCTCCACCACTTACCAGGTAGGTGACCTTGAGCCCATTAAGTAACCTCTTTCTGCTTCAGTTTCCCCTTCTGTAAATGAGGATAATAGTAATTATATTTCATAGGGTTGAGAGAATTAAATGAACTAATTCATGTAAAGTGATTAACAACAATGCTAGGCACATAGTGAGTACGTGTTCAGTGCTCTCCATGAAGTCTTGCCTGATGTGTATAGGACAGTAGAAAATACTATCATGCCCTTACCAGCATCATCTTCCCAGTCATCTCTGCTCTGCTAGTGCCTCCTTTCCAACACTCACTACTCTTGTCTATTTAGGGACTAAGTCATTTCAATTCTGTTATCTTCTTCCCCTGCTATTCCTCCTTTCGCCTTTATAATTTTTCCCTTCGTTACCTCTTATCTAGACAAATAGGCAAAACCCCAGGTCCACAGGGCCCAAGAAGGTTCAAGTGATAAGAGTCCTGAGAGCTTGAGTCAGCATTAAACACCTCCTAAATCCAACACTACTAGGCTGTTCAGGCTAAATAAAACTCCGTAGTCTTGTGCTTTTGCCTGCATTTATTTGATACTAAGGACGGTAACACTGATGTTCTTAGAATCATCAGAAGCTCAAATTGGCAGTTTTATATGTCTTTAATGGAAAGAAATAAAACTAATTACCACAAATGTAGTTTGATTAGTTCAAAAATTCAAAACAAGGGGCCGTTGGGAGTGTAGGATAGGGGTTAGGAATCACTGTCCTAATCCCTCTTCTCTTCTTCAATCCACACCAGCTGTCAGATTAATCTTCCAGTAACACCAGCATTTCTGGTCTTGTCTTTGTCCTGTTTAGAAAATGCCAGTAGGCTAAAGAACCAGCTCCCTGGGGTCTGGGTCTCTATTGAAATCTTCGTGCCTGCACTATACTTGCCCAGCTGAACAAACTGTTTGCTGTTCCTCCTATCTACCTTTCACTGTCTGTCTGCTTGCCTTTGTTCCTGTGGTTCTCTCACTTCAATCTCTTCGGTCTGATCAACTTTTAAAGCTCACTTTATCCATTCCAGCAGGTATAGCTTAAAAACAAAAACAAACAAAAACCAAAAAACCTCTCATTTTAAAAACCAGGGGATTTCCTGATACCCCAGCCGAAAATAATTTCTTAAACCTCAGAATTCCCCCAAACAGTGGCTTTTCATTAAAAACCTTACATCAGAGTTATTAAGCAGGGTGGTTTTGGCTCCTCTCCTAGACTGTCTGCCATCTGGGGGCAATGGCAGCTTGGAAAATTTCTTTGCACAGATAACTACACTACGTAAAAGTTTGCTGCCTTTGCAAACTTTGAAACGCCTACAGGAAGAAATGGGATAAAAACGACTTTGGCCGGGCGCGGTGGCTCAAGCCTGTAATCCCAGCACTTTGGGAGGCCGAGGTGGGCGGATCACCTGAGGTCAGGAGTTCGAGACCAGCCTGGCCAACATGGCCAAACCCCGTCTCTACTAAAAATACAAAATTAGCCGGGCGTGGTGGCGGGAGCCTGTAGTCCCAGCTACTCGGGAGGCTGAGGCAGGAGAATGGCGTGAACCTGGGAGGTGGAGCTTGCAGTGAGCCGAGATAGCGCCACTGCAGTCCGGCCTGGGCGACAAGAGCGAGACTCCGTCTCAAAAACAACAACAACAACAACAACAACAACAACAACAACAACAACAAAAGACTTTAACAGAGAATGATCAGTATTTTTAAGATTCAAGTTTTTAATAAACTTGGGAATGTTATGCTTTGAAGCATAACAGATAATTATCATTATTTTTAAGATTCAAGTTTTAGATAAACTTGGGAATGTTATGCTTTGAAGTTTTCAGAGCTCGTAGCTAAAGCGAATAGCTCAAATGTTCTCCAGCCTAAGGCTTAATGTGAATTTAGATTATTACTGAAACATTGGGAGGGGGTATTACTCTTGAAATCTTATACCTCCATCCACAGATAAGAACACTCAGTGCAAAGAATTAAAGCTGCCTAAGTCAAATTCTTTTTTAAATGGCAAAGTTGTTTTTTTAAGAGACAGAAAGTGAGGGCAGAATGTACCTCTGGGCAGAGAATATCTTGAGGGACAGGTACTCGGAGAAGAGGAGATACAAATAGGGATTTTTAAAAAAGCAGAAAACCACCAATTTCTCCTCAAGTGAAGGGGGGATGTATCAGGTTTAACTTTAAGCTCTCTTCTGCTCAATTGCTAACTCTATTTTGAGGAAAGGACCTTTGGAGACCCGGCAGATATGCTGTCTGCAAACAATCCGGGGGAGTAAGTTCTTCTGCCCCCGTCTGTCCCTACACTTTTCGCATTCACACCTTCCCCAGATCCGTTTCCCAGCGTATCTGCCTTCCCTCTTTCCTCCGGGTCCGTCAACGTCTCACCCACCCGCGAGTCAGGCCCCAGCGCCCCTCCGCCCGAACGCCCAGGTCGTCGGGCCGTCTGCGTCCGTCTGTCCTAGCCCGTGCCGTCGCGGGCCGCGCTCACCCAGGCCTCCGCTCTTGTCCGTGCAGCCGCTCCGCCCGGCAGCCGCCGCCGCGCTTTATATCCGCGGCCGCCCGGCTCGGGCCCACGTGCCGCCACGCCAGGGAGCCTGGGGGTTGTAGTTCTGCGCCGCCGCCCGCGAGGCGCGCCCGGAACCGCTGGCCCGGAAACCCCGAAACGTTTTGCACACTGGAGTCTGCTCTTCCCCGGGTGTCACCTGAACAACATGGGCTGAAGTGACTCCGGCGCAGCGCCCCGGCTCCCCGAGGATCGGAAGCATCCGAACTGGCGGCCGGGTGCCCGAGAGCACGCGGCTCACCCGCGCCACGCCGAGTGCAAACCTCCCCCTGCCTCGTCTGCACGCCAGTCCTTCCCGCGTGCGGGCACCTCCTGGGCTCCGCTGCGTCTTAATTTTCCTTCTCTTGCGCAGGGCTCTGCAATCCCCACTATCTCGTGGTTCTGCGTTGTGAGGTTTGGGCTGCTGTTTCCGAGGCGTACGGAGAATCCCAACTGCCCATCGGCGTTCAGGTCTCTTCGGGTTGACGCCGCTGCACCAGCCCTGCAGACTCTCGTGTTAAAGAGAGATGAGCGAATTTTAAAGTGAATTATCTACTCATACGGGAGCTTTCCTGGCTTCTTTTGGAGAACATTTGAAAGAGTTTTGAAAGGGAAAATTATTTTTAACCCAACCGCCTCTACTTTCAGGAGTATCAGGAGTCTTATTCTAGGATCATGTACTGTGTGAATAAATCAGGAACAGAGCCAGAGACAAGTCCTCAGTTTTCTCTTGCTGATGTGATTCCACCTCAATTTTCCATAAAAGGCGATGGCTGATGCTTATTATTACATTTAGAGAAACTAAATTGTTCAAAGGGCTTTCTAGTTTGCAAAGTGCTTTTAAATGTATTCTAATAGTTCTTTCGTTGCACAGAGCACCAGAGATAATAGCTAATAAGTACTGTGTTCAGTGCTTACTCAGCCTGCACCGTTCTAGCTGTTTTAACATTTAATTCATAAAATAATCCCATTGGTGGGTCCTGTTTTATAAATGTATATATTACAGATGAGCAAGGATCATTCCATTTTACAGATCAGAAACAGGTTTAAAGAGTTGAAGTAATTTGCCAAAAGCCATAGAGCTGGTTAAGCTGTGGTTTGATTTCAAGTAGTCCAGAAGCTTGTGCTTTTAACACTATGTTATCCTACAGGAAAAAAAAATACAAAAAGAAAAGAAAAAGAAAAACCCTTAGTTACATGAAGCAAGTTCTCCTAAGGCTGCAGCATGGTTTTTGTTTTGGTTTGGTTTTTGTAATATTAACAAGAATATTATATCCTAATGGTACAATGAAAGTTTTTTTTTTTTTTGGAAAGTCACAGTTTAATAAGTGCAAAATTAAGTATGTCAGTACCCAAAAGGTATAGGTCATTAGGCTTAACATTGTCAACCAACAAACCAATATTCTAAATGCATGAACTAACTACTTTTTGTATAAATATGGTAGTGCAAAGTAATTCCTTATAATAATTTGTTAGTGTCTACCAAGAAGCAGATGCTAAGATGGGATTAGATGTGCAAGAAACTTACTGGGGGAGGGATTTGGAGCAGACAGGAGCAGCCTGCAGACTGATGTAGGGCTGACATCTGTGGAACAAAAGATGGAAGAAAGGAGCATGGAGTAGGGAGAGTCTCACTGCATTCTTACAGTATCCACTCTGTGCCGTTATGAAACTCAGAGCCTATACTGTGAAGTGTTGGGGAGACGTTGTTTTAAAATATGGTAAATGCAGTGATAGACTGTACAGAGATATTACAGGAACACTGAGCTCTAATCTGGGCTGAAGGGGGTGGTGTGTGTGTGTGTGTGTGTGTGTGTGTGTGTGAAGAGGCAGGAGGGTGTTCCAGAAACGTCTTACTGGGGAAGGTCACAGCCAAGCTAAATATCAGACAATGAGTAGGGCTTAGAAGAAGAGAGGCAACAAAAGGCTCAGTGCTGAACTGCAGGCCTCTAACCCCCTTCTGATAAGCGGCAGTCTCTGTGAGATTTCTTCTATTATTATGTAGTATTATTTAATCATTAATTTTCTTGCTTTTGTTTCTTGCCCCCAACTCCACTGCAAGGTGTTCAAGGCAGGCATCATGTCCTATTCCTTTGTTTTTCCCACAGTGCAGGACATAGTGTCTATCCAAGTGCAGGCCAAGAGGGTGAGATTTAGAAATATTACTACCATCAACTCTTCTTTGTTTAAAACAAATGTATGTCAGGGTTTTGTATCAGATTTTGTTTGCTACAATTCAAATTTGAAACCCACTGGTGCAGGGGAAAGAGCTTGGGAGATATGGTGCAATGAACTTGGTCAGAACAGTCATATGTTCTATCCTTGGAGCTGGAGGTGATGCCCCCATCACAGGCTCCTGAACTGACTGTGGGTGAGGGGTGGTCCCCCAGAAAGTTTCCCCTTATCTTCTGGTAAGGCTATACTAACCTGAAAAGAGAAAATGGGTTTTCAACAACTGAAACACTGCTAAATTGCGGAACACTTATGAAGGAAGGAGACCTAAGTTGGATCTTGAAGTGTTGTTACCCATTGTGTTCCAGTAAAAGGTCTGTCCACAGGTGGACAAGAGTCTGTTCCATTCACTGTGAAGAATGCGTAACCGGGTATGAGAGTCACTTCTGGAAATTCTGGCTTGTATGGGTGTGTCAATGGGGCTGATGGAAAAGGTAGGGTTTATTTTTTCATCAGAGTCCAGAGGTCTTCAGAGAAGGGAACAGGCCACGAATAGAAGTTGAACTGATTGCTGGCCCTGAGACAAAAACCCTTGTCCTTTAGGGTTTATCTTCTGAGCGTGAGTGCTAACTAGGAGAGGGACATCTCTTGAGAAGGGAAAAGTCCTGTGCATAAGCTTGGGTTCAGAAGATCCTTTGGGATCCCAGGAGGGGGCAGCATAGTGCGGCCATGCTCAGCTGTCTTTTGGCTTAGCCCTTTAGTGAATGCTTACTGGGTTCTTAAGGAGAAAGAGCTAGAAGGAAAAAAATGAGTTGAACACAAGAGATATACTTCCATATTTGGCATTCTTAAACCTAAGATCTGTGACTCCAGATTTTTAAGTAACGACTTTATTGACATATATTTCACTATGATACAATTCATTTAAGTGTATAATAGTTCAGTAGTTTAGTCTATTCACAGAATTGTGCAACTTGTGTCACCATTTTAGAACATTTTCATCACTCCCTCCAATAAAACCCTAGCCATTAGTAGTCACTCATTTTTCTATTTCCCCCTCCCCACCCCCAGCCATAAGCAGCCACCAATCTATTTCTTTCTTTCTTCTTACTTTTTTTTTTGGTTGCCCAGGCTGGAGTGCAATGATGCAATCTTGGCTCACCACAACCTCTGGCTCCCAGGTGATTCTCCTGCCTCAGCCTCTGGAGTAGCTGGGATTACAGGCATGCGCCACCATGCCAGGCTAATTTTGTATTTTTAGTAGAGGCGGGGTATCTCCATGTTGGTCAGGCTGGTCTCAAACTCCCAACCTCAGGTGATCCGCCCACCTCAGCCTCCCAAAGTGTTAGGATTACAGGCGTGAGCCACTGTGCCTGGCCGCCACTAATCTATTTCTATAGATTTGCCCATTCTGGACATTTCATATAAATGGAATTATATGGTGTGTGTGTGTGTGTGTGTGTGTGTTTTGAGACGGGCTCTCACTCTGTTACCTAGGCTAGAGTGCAGTGACATGACCACAGCTCACTGTACCTTTGACCTCCCAGGCTCAAGCTATCCTCCCACCTCAACCTCCTAAGTAGCTGGGACTATAATCGTGTGCTGCATCTGGCTAATTTTCTATTTATTTTTTGTAGATACAAGGTCTCACTATGTTACCCAGGCTGGTCTCAGACCCCTGAGCCCAAGAGATTGCCTGCCTTGACCTCCCAAAGTGTGGGATTACAGGCATGAGCCACTTCACCCAGCCATGCTATGTGGTCTTTTGTGTCTGGCTTCTTTCATTTAGCATACATAACATTTTCAAGATTTATTCATATTGTGGATTGAGTTAGTATTTCATTCCTTTTTATGTCCATTGTATGGCTATACCACATTTTATTTATCTTTTCCATTGTGACAAGGATGCTTTTCATCTGGCTGACTTCTACTCAGATGCAACCTTCCTAAAAGGGACCTCACTCAGATCTTCCCAATGTAGGTGACAACCTCTCCTCATAACACCCAGTGCTTTCCCTTCTGATCACAACTTCTTGGTGTGGATGTGGTCTATCTGTTCTGTTTCATGTGACACATATAGTGCCAATACTGCATAAATGGTTGAAATAGTATGGCATGCAGAATGGATGTTGATAACAGAGAGCTATGTGCTGGCTCTGTCGCCTGAACATAGACTTTATCACTGATGGGAGCAGGGTGCCTCCCTGTTGACTAGGGTTAAGGCAACAGTAGGAACCCTCCTGGCCAAGAGGGCTGGTATCACACAGAGAGTAAGGACTGGACAAAGAGGACTGTAATGCCTCTTTGTGACCAAGCAGGATGGATTCCTGGCATAGATTAAATCTAGGGAACATTGTCTTGTTGCTGAGTTTGTGACTTCCTTGTCCTGAATCGTATCTCTAGGCCAATGTGACCAGTGGGTTACATACACTCTTTTGTCACCACCTAAAAATGGAGAAAACTTTAGAAAATATGGGCCTAGTTTGACCATTAGCAAGGAGAACACTGAGGGTGCTATGAGTTGTAAACAGAAGAGAAAGTTACGAATCTTAATTTTGCCTACAGGGCTTCTTTGACAATATTCAAATAATTACAGAGGCAAAACTTCCTTTTGAAGGATGTGCAACCTGTTTTAGCTATTGCCGACAAGGACATTAGACCTTTGGGAAGCACAAAAGTGAGTTACATTCTGCTTGTGACAGTATTGTAAAAGGTTCCCCGGAGATCTTAAGGAGTAATGAGCATGTTTTCTAAAAACATTCCAAAGCTCAGCAGCCACTTATATTATGAATAAGGTAAAAACCCACCGCTAGGTGACAGTCTATCAGCAGAAATTGCTCCTTTATGACTCTTTCTAGACTGAAAATTTCTGGGGACATCAGGGAACAACAAAAGTATTAGATAATAGTTTTCTGCTCCCATTCTGTGTACTCTTCCTGTGCAGTTTACTCCCTCAGTTTTAAATGTTCTTCTTCAATCTCTGCCTCTCTCTCATTTATATTAAAATAATGAAAATATGTTGTATAGAAACAGAAATGAGACATGGAAAATTAACACTTGCCTCCTGTCCCATACTGGTTTTGTTTTTGTTTTTGTTTGTTTTGTTTTTGACATAATCTTGCTGAGTGCAGTGGCGTGATCTCCGCTCACTGCAACCTCCACCTCCCGGGTTCAAGTGATTTCCCTACCTCAGCCTCCCAAGTAGCTGGGACTACAGGAGGACACCACCACCATGCCCAGCTAATTTTTTTTGTATGTTAGTAGAGATGGGATTTTACCATGTTGGCCAAGATGGTCTCAATCTCCTGACCTCGTCGTGATCCTCCCACCTCGGCCTCCCAAGGTGCTGGGATTATAGGCGTGAGCCACCATGCCCGGTTGGTTCTTTGGGTTTTTTAAATAAACATACCTGTAAGAAGAGTACACCTAGTGCTCTTGACTTTTCAATGTGTAGAATATACTGTAAAATCCAGTTCAAGTTTAGTTTATAAGTATTTTCTCTCTCATGAATAAAACTCTATGTTTCCTTCAGCATTTGAGGTAAAAATGGGACAATTAGGAGAAATAAATTTTAGGTCTTTTACGAAGAACTTCACTTTATATCTCTTTTGAATGAAGGAAAAACTCCCTGGAAAAAGTTCAGAGTGTGAAATTTGAAATTTAACTTGGTGCCACCCGAGGCTGGTTTGATTCTCGGTAACTGCTGTATTTAGGCACTAAGAGTCAGGGCTCTAGGAAGCTTAGATCCCTCCTGGGCAAATGTGACTGATCTTGTCCCTCCTTTTCCCTTTTGCCCAAGCCTGCAGGGCGCTGTTAGCCTGGACTAGCACACTCAGATTCCATCTTTCAGAGTGGTTTCCCCAGTCGCCATTGGCCTGGTTCACTGGTGCCTAATGAAAAGCTCCAAGAGGTTATTCCAAAGTCTCTCGTGTTACTCCTGTGCTCCATATCTCAGTTTTAGGTATTCTGTTATCTCTGTAACCTAAATTCTGTTATTTCTGAAAGAAAAACATACGATGTATATTCATGCATTTAAAGATAGACCAAGTAGGCACAAAAAAAGGCAAAATGTGGAATGCTTTTTATTCAGTTCTTCCATTTGTATGAAAAGGAAAAAAGAGGTGTTGTAGGGATATACTTGTATATGTGCACATATTTCTAGAAGGATACCAGTGATGTTCAAAATATTTAACAACTGGTTCAGCACTGACACACAGGGATGGATGCTGGTTTTAGAGCTCTAGGGATCCTGGAGTTCCCCTAACATTTATGCTTTCACCCTGTAATGACGGTCAAGACTCTGGGGGGCAGCACTCCAAGACCATGCCAGGCAGCCACCAACTGCTTCCTGAGGGGGCTGAGGCAGGAGGGACTTATTTTTCAATGTGCCCTTTAGTGCTGTTTGAAAGGTTATTTTTTGTTTGAATTCTATTTATGTGCACATAGGTAGATTTTCATTTTGTTTAGCTTAGGAGATAAGTCTTATTTTTAGAATTTGTTTGCGGACATTTCTGTCTAGTTATTTGCCTCCAGCCTGTCTCCAGCCTCAGGGCCATTTCCTTTAGTTCCGTTTTGCTGACTCCTCCACTGAGAGCTCTCCTTAAGCTTCTTAAGCCCCTCTGTTTGAGGGGAAGGGAAGGCCTGGCTGAACTCCCTCTCATCATCTCTCAGTTGCCCCCAACCCCAACACTGTGTCTGAGTCTCCTTTTATTACTTATCTTGGGCCTCTTGTCTTTCCACCTACCAGACCTCAATTCCATTATTAACCAGTATAGGCATCACTCTGCTTAATCTTGTGATCAGAAAATAAGTGCTTTTTTTTTGGTGTTCCCACAACTTTTGTGCATATGGAGAATTAGGTTTCCTATACACACCAGCCCTAATGAGAATAGTTATTATATTAGTGGTAATACTCACATGGCATTGGCTTGAGACTCCACCTGCCTAATGCAGACACACTGCTCCCTTCCAACTTCCCATTATTAGTGGGAGGCACGATATAAGTGATCCCTGCAATGTGCTTCCTCTCTTGCCTGTGCTTCCACTTTGAGCTTCTTGTTGACCCCCCTGCCACGAGGCCACTGGGGGGCAGTGTCTCTTCTCAGTCAAAGTTGCTTTCTTCCTGTGCCCCAAGGCCATCAACCACACTGTTCCTAAGTTGTGGAGAGAAGCCTCTTCTCTTCCACTTTGCCTCACATTTTTTCACCTAGGCCCCAAAAGAGCATGACAAGTGTTCATTGTCTCACTTGAGCCCCTTCCCTCTCTACCTGCAGATTCTGTCTCTGTAGAGGTCAAGCATGAGTCTATGGAGCAAATACAGGGAACCAAAGTCACCCCATACCCATCCCAAGGCTGTCCTTTCCCACTCTCCTTTCTCCACCCTAAGATACCACGAGACCATTTTCCAGCAGTCCTCTTCCCTTCAGGCTATTCAGCACCTACAGCCAGGTCAACTGCTCCCTTAGATTTACCAGACCAAGTTGACTCTTTGTGGTGGTCACTACTGGGCTCAAGCTGATAGCCTGGCCATGCATATTCTGTTAATGCTTATCTCACTGTGTGGCAATTGTCTGCAGACGTGTCTGCTTCCCCTGTTAGACTGTGGCTTCCTTGAATGCGAGCTCCTAACCGTGTGGTGTTCATTTTTGTATCTCCAGCATGCAGTCCCCTGTCTGTTACACAGCTGACCTTGATAAATATTTTTGAAAGAATAAATGAACACAGCCCAATTAGCATAAATATGCAGAAAGAAACAGCCCATCTTTGCCAAAAGGATATTCAGGCAACACATGCAGAGGGAGAGAAGCTCTTCTTAAAGAGGACCCACTTTCTTATAGAGCAGCCACTCATAGCTCTCTAGACTCCTTGGACCCTCAGGGTTAGAGAAGACCCAGGGTTAGAACAGCACTTTTGGGGGAGGTTTCATTGACCTTGTTTTGAAACAATAACATGTTGAACGGCCAGGTGACTAGTTAACATTTTATTGTGTACCTGCCAGTTGAAAAAAACAAGGTCAAAAACACAAAAGGATAGAACATGGCAAAACATACTGATTAGACAGGGGAAAGCAGATGACACACAGGGACAGGACATTTTATTTGTATCATTCCAAATTCAGAGAAATATAATTAACTCAATGCTTGATTCACCTAAGTTTTTATAGCAGAAGTGAACGTGACAGATTGAGGCACAAATTTGTTGATGCTGAATATTGGGCATTTCTTCTCTTATTATTTACTATACATAATCTGATGTCATGTGATAGACCACAATATGTAAATGACTTCAATCAGGAAAAAAGATGACTTATGTAAGTCTGTCTGACTTTATTCTCTACACATACTGAGAAGCAAACCCATTAATCACAGCCTAGGCAGAAACTCTTCAAGTAGTGTGTGAAACAAACAGAGGTATTAATTATGGTAATAATAATACTTAACACTTCCTTAAAGGCATGATAGTTACAGAAATTGGGAAAAATAAGAATACTCCAGCAGGCTTACAGACACTCAGTGGCAATATCACAAATAATCATAATCACAATAATTTCAGAAATGAGGAAGCAGAGAGAGGGGGAGAGGTGTTAAACAATTTGTTGAACATCACACAGCTGGTAAGGAGTCTCTCTAATTCCAAAGCATGACTTCTTTCCTGTACACAGCAGTGCCTCCCCAATTAGAGAAAGTTATAGTGTAAAATCATCAGAGGAAAAATGTGGTTTCCGGTGATTTTTAAAACGGTATTGTCTGGTCACTTGTTCTTGTTTCCCTGTTCTGCTTAACAGTTATGCACCCCATAAGGACGTTTTGGTCAATAGTGGGCCGTATATATGGTAGTGGTCCTGTAAAATTATAATGGACTTGGAAAATCCCCATTGCCTAGTAACGTAGCTGTTGTCACATAGCACACTCCCGTGGGTGTGGTGATGCTGGTGTAAACAAACCTACCACACTGCCAGCCTTATGAAAGTATAGTACATACAATTATGTACAGTACATAATACTTCATAATGATAATAAACAAGTGTTCCTTATGTGTTTACTATACTTTTAATTGTTATTTTAGAGGGTACTGCTTCTACTTATATTTTTAAAACTTAACTGTAAAAGCACCTCAGACAGGTCCTTTCACAGGTATTCCAGAAGAAGCATTGTCATCATAGGAAATGACAGCTGCATGTGTGTTATTGCCGCTGAAGACCTTCCAGTGGGACAAGATGTGGAAGAGGAAGACAGTGATATTGATGATCCTAACCTGTGCAGGCCTAGGCCAAGGTGTGTATTTGTGACTTAGTTTTTAACAAAAATATTTAAAAAGTAAAATAAATAAATAAATAAATAAAATACAAAAATGCTTATAGAATAAGGATATAAAGAAAGAAAATATTTTTGTATGACTATACAATGTTTGTAAGTGAAGTGCTATTTCAAAGGAGTCAAAAAGTTTTTAAAGATTTAAAAGTTCATAAAGGAAAAAAGTTACAGTTAGCTAAGTTTATCATTGTTGAAATATTTTCTAAAATTATGAAGTACAGCCTACGTGTACAATGTTTATAAGGTCTGCAGTGGTGTACAGTATTGTTATAGGCCTTCACATTCACTCACCACTCACTCACTGACTCACCCAGAGCAACTTTCAGTCCTGCAATCTCCATTCATTGTAAGTATTCTATGCAAGTGTACTATTTTAAATCTTTTGTATTGTATTTTTACTATACCTTTTCTATGTTTAGATAAACAAATACCATTGTGTTATAATCACCCACAGTATTCAGTACGGTAGCATGCTATACAGGTTTGTAGCCTAGGAGCAACAGGCTATATACCATATAGCCCAGATGTGCAGTAGGCTACAGTGTCTACATTTTTGTAGGCACACTCTATGATGGTCACACAACAATGAAACTGCCTAATGACGTGTTTTTCAGAATGTATCCCTGTTGTAAGTTATGTGTGACTATATACAGAAAAATTTAAGTGGAGAGAACCAAATGACTTACTAGGCAACAAAGCAGGTTGGACAGATGGACAGTGGGTGGAATGACCATGGTGCCTGAATCTTCTGTTACCCAGTACCTTATCAATTAATATTTCCTACTCTGCCTTCCAGATAACTCAGCCTACTTAAAGCCCACCAGAAAGTCAGTGAACAAATCTCCCAACCCACTCACCCACCATCAACCCATAAACTCACCAGCATGTATTGAAGGCCTACCTTGTTGTGCCTGGCACAGTGTTTGGTGCCATGTGGAATGGCAAAGCAGGACCAGACAGCGTCCCTGACACCCTGGTGCTTGTAATCTAGTTGGAGAGATATGATAAAAATAAATGACACAATTACAGAATCTGACAGAATGTAATAAAGTGCTAAATTGTGTGGTACAGACAATTAGAGAACAAGACAGTATATAATAAAGTGCTAATTGTGTGGTACAGACAATAAGTATAATAGGAGTTCAGTGAAGGGATAGATGAGTGTGGGCTGCAGTCTTCAGGGAAGGCTTCTCATCATGTCAGTGCTGCCGTGTTTATCCAGTGCATGACGGGAAATGGAATATGAAATAGAAGATGGATTATGAGCAGAATAATGGTGCTGAACTGTGGTATCTCTTCTCAGGCTGGATGAACACAGAAAGAGAAAGAGTCCTTTGAAAGGTAGCATTCTCCATTAAAAAAAATCAAATAGAGAAATATTTTATTTTCTTTATTAGTTTTGTTATAGAAAATTTCTACAGAAACTTAAAATCATATTTTAAATTGAATAATGTTTTAAATGTACCAGGAAGCTCACTGTTTAAAGGAGCCATGTTGTAAATCCTTTTCATAAATGAAAAATACTTTTGCATTATTGATGATCACTTAGTTTATACAAAATTCCTCAAAGCTGATAGTAAATAGGTACTCTGATACACTACTGGTGGGATTGATGAACCTTTTACAAGGTAACTTGGCAATGTGTGCCTAAAATTTTGACAATGTGCATATTGTTCAACCAATCAGTTTCACTTCTGGGAATTTATCCTAAGGACATAATAATAATAGCCAACTGCAAGAATAACTTTACTACAGTGATAATTATCACAGAGTTAGGAGAAACTGGGAACAATCTAAATGCCCCCAAAGAGAGGACTGATGAAATAAACACATATTTATAAAATGGAATGTATAGTCACTAAAGTGGTACTGTAGAAAAATATGTAATGTTGTGGGAAATGTTCACAATATATAGATAAGTGAAAAAAGCAAATTTGAAAACTTGAAGAGTATGATTACATTTTGTTAAAATGTGTTTTATGCATAAAACATGTTTTATTCACAGAAACATGTTTGAGTGGTGAGTTGATACGTGATTTCCATTTCTTTATGCTTTTGCGAAATTTCCAAATGTTTTCCAAGTTACATGGTTTATTTTGTAATAAGACATATATTAAAATTCTACGGTTCTCTGATTTAAGTTGCTTTGAAAGTTGGGATAGTCATAATTTAGACTGCCATCTCGTGATTTTTCTTTGAGTGGCGTAGACCTAGAGGGAGTAATCCTAGGAGGTGATTAGAGCCAAAGGTCTTGTGGGACAAGTAAGTTCTGGGACCAGAGACAAACACGAGAAGTATTATTCCTTTTTCTTTTGAATTATAAATGATTTCTATTAGCAAAATGTATACCTTCTTTTCTTAAACTCATATTCATGTGGGAGCTGTTTGGGAGGGACACACACTCTTTAAGGCTTATACAACGTGAATTTTTAGCAGCAGAGCCTGCCAGAGTGGGTGGAAAGCCCAGGGCATGGATTAATTTTTAAGATGTCTAGAATACTAAAAATAAAAATAAGAAAAATGTAGAAATAAGTGTAGATGTGCTGAAACAGAGTTTCAAAAACTGTGATGATTTTAAATGTTTACCTTGAACAAACTGATACCTTAATACACAGTATATAAGAACAGAAAGTAAAACTTCATTGTGACATTATGTCAAAGGCTTGAATTTGAGATCTTTGGTGCATGCAGGGTCAAGGCCAAATTAGGCTCTGCCTGGAAACCATGTAGAGGATGTGGAATTATTGAAAAAAATCAGAAAATATGCAGAGAGGATTTTGGAATTTCTGGTCCAGGGGATTTTCCATGTCTAAAGTGAAAACAAAATAGTTTTCTTCTGTTCCAAGAACTTTATTTAGAACTGTTTTAAAAGGGGCCTTTCTCTGAAACATTTCAATACAAAACCACATTATTTTCTCATCCTATGACTCTATGTCTTCCATTCCCTAGGTTTTGACTAATTTAAGGTCTTAAAATAGACGTTTCAACCCTTTTTAGTTAATAATTTTCTATTTTAACCTCATCATCTAGCCTTTCATCTTTGACTTGGCCCGGTAAAACGTAGCAAGTCAGAATTTTACTTCCTTCCTGTGCCCAAAAAATATAAAGAAAATCCTTGAATACCCATGTTTTTGGGAAGTCCAACCTTAGCCAAAACTGGGAGCTGTTTGCCTTTCTTTGGAGAACCCGTCCTGTAGAAAGAATGAGCTGGGCGGCATCCCTGAAGTACAAGTCAGGAGGACTTGTTCCTGGACATTCCCTTGTCTCCAACTAACTTGGGTGAATTCGCCACTCTGTGCTTCATTTTTTTTTTTCATGGCATAGTACAATGCTCACGTGGAGGATGAGGGCAGATGTGAAGTAATTAAAATATTTCTGACAACATGGCAGACTAGCTGACATGGGGAAACCTTCCCTCCACCACTGTCACATAGAAAATCTAGATAATATGTGGCAGCAATTTAAAATATACAACCATGTTTGTTTGTTTGTTTGTTTTTTATTTTTTTTTATTTAAGATGAAGTCTCACTGTGTCACTCAGGCTGGAGTGCAGTGGTGCAATCTCAGCTCACCGCAACCTTTGCCTCCTAGGCTCAAGCAATCTTCCCACCTCAGCCTCCCAAATAGGTGGGGCCACAGGTGCATGCCACCATGCCTGGCTAATTTTTTGTATTTTTGGTAGAGATGGGGTTTCACCATGTTGCCCAGGCTGGTCTCAAACTCCTGAGGTCAAGAGATCTGCCCACCTTGCTTCCCAAATTGCAGGGATTACAGGCGTGAGCCACCACACCCGTCCATTACAACCAGCATTGAAAAAAGTAAGGGAAATCTTCTAGTTCTCAATGTGAAAAGAAAACTCAGAGCCAGAGTAATAACTGTGGCTGATGTTGCTAGAACGGCACATAGGTCCCAGGATCTGGGGTCTTGGGTGTGGAGGCCCATCTGGAGATAGGACATGGGACCTCAGGCCAAGTTTAGGCAGGACACTATGACTAGAATTGTCGGATTTAGCAAATTAAAATACAAGATGGCTGGTTAAATTTGAATTTCAGATAAACAATGAATCATTTTTTAGGGTAAGTATGTTCTACAAGTTGAAAGGAACATATTTATGGTAAAAAAAAAAAAGGTTGTTTATCTGGAATTCAAATTTAACTGGGCTTCCTGTATTTTATGTGGTAATCCTGTGACAGAGTCTTGTCAATAATCTCTGGAGCCTAGGAGAAGGGGTGCCTCATCTGTGAGGAAGGGACTATGGAAAATACTGACAATTGTTATGAAGAGGAGGAAGGAAACTTGTAGTTGGTCTATGGCTGTGGGTGGGAAAAATGTGTTTCCCAGGCATTTACCATGAGTAGATGTAGGATTTGGGAGATACAGAAATCTCATTCTAAGAAATTACCATGAAATCTGGTCCAGGACAATTGAATCCTTAGAATTTCACCAGAAACAAAGTGCCATGTTGGGCTGTTTCTACGATTTAGGTACACAGGTGTATGGTCAGATAACAAGCTCTGCTAAAGATGAACTCTTAATACAAAATTAAGAACAAAATGAATCACCCTGAAGGGAAACCTGAAGATAAAATAAATAGAGAAATCACAATCCAAGAACTGGGTTAATTTAAAAACTCTGAATGAGACTATGAAATAAGTATTGTCTTGATGTGTTTGGGCTGCTATGACACAATACCGCAGACTGGGTGGCTTACAAACAACAGACATTTATTTCTCACAGTTCTGGAGGCTGGAAGTCCAAGATCAAGTGGCCCACAGATTTGGTTTCTGATGAGGGCACTCTTCCTGGTTCATAGAGGACAGTCTTCTTGCTATGTACTCTTATGGCCAAAAGGGTGAGGGAGCGCGCTGGGCTCTCTTTTATAAAGACACGAATCTACCAAAGGCTCCACCTCCAATGCCATCATGTTGGGGATTAGGATTTCAACATATGATTTTTTTTTTTTCGGGGGGGACTATAAACATTTGGCCTAATGCAAGTATCTCTTAAATGTCAGAGACATAAAGGAAGGAATAAAACAGAAGACTATTTTGTCATTAGAAAAGACCAGGCTTATTTGTAAAAGAACCAAATAGAAAGTGTAGAGATTAAGAATATATTTGTTGACATTAACAACTCAAAGGGACATGTTAAATAGCAGATTAGACTTCTGAAGAAAACAAGTAAACTGAAAGAAATAACTAAGGCAATCACCCAAAATGCAGCACAGAGAAATAATGAGATAGAAAAATATGACATAAAGAGGAGAAATTGAAGTAAGAATGAGGTCACGTGCATTTATGTATTCACACATGTATTGTTTTGTTCTACCCAAGTGGTGGCTGGAGTCACCCCAAAAGCAGTGCTGGGGAGTTCTCACAAGAGAGTGCCCCAAACCATCCTGAGATAGGGCTCATTGGGATTCCAAAGAAAGGAGCACTAAATGCTAAGGTGACCAGTCCAAAGCATTTATCAGGGGAACTTGTGTACAGAGTGGGCTGCAGCAATCCTTCCCATGAACAGCGAGAGGAAAGGGATGTTCTACTTAGGTATGTCAGCAGCAAGGGGGTCAGGGTATGGAGTTTATATGAAGGTTTAAGGAATTTGGCTCAGGTTCAGGACCAGTTTCTTTCTAGTAAGCCTAGATACCTTTAACAATACCTGGGAATGTTCAAGGCCCTGCTTAGGGTTAAAATCCGCTGGGAAAAAACTGCAACTGGCCAGGTCACATAGCAGTCAAGGCACTCTGTGGATTTTGGTTAGGACCCAGAAATAAAAGTGAAGGTAGGGGTTGGGAGTGTGTACCAGGGCACCGTACACATCTATATTGAGGAAGGCATAAGGAAAGGAGAGAGCAAAGCAAGCAGGGATACAACTGCTAAGACATAGTAGACATTGTTTTTTTTAAAAAGGATAGACCCCAAAATATAGAGCCTTAAAAGAGATAGAAATTTATTTCTTTCCCATGTAACAGTCCAGATGTCAAGGGCTGATAGAGTGGCTCTGTTACTCTCAATTTGCGGCTTCTATTTTAGGATCCCACATGGCTACTTTAGCTGTGTCCCTCAGGTCTGCATCCCAGGCAGGTGCAGGAGCAGGGTAGTTTGCAAGGAAGGCAGAAGGGACATACATGCCCATCTTTTAAAGATACTATCCAGAAAACACACATCATTCAAGAATGAGGCAAAAATAAAGGCATTTTCTGATAAATAATTCAAAATAGACCCTGGCTGAAAGAATTATTAAAAGATGTACTTCAGTAAGTTGAAAATTGAATACAGAGAGGTGTGGGATGCAAGAAATAATGGTAATCTCTTCTCTGTATAATATTCTTGAACACAAATGCACTTAAAAATTAGTTTCAAAATACATAAAGCAAAATGTGATAGGATTATGATGATGAGAGGTGTCATAGAAAGCACATTAGATTACATAGCAAAAGATTTGGGTTGTGGACTCCACTTGATACTTTGTTATTCAGAGCTTTAGGTTAGACTAGATCTTTCTATAATTTATACTAACTTTAAAACAACTCAAGCACAACTCATTAGTTTTATGACCTTATGGTATACTCTTTTTGCATCAGAATATGGGCTTGAGATTATGACAGTCCAGGTACAAATCTTTGCCCTGTCATTGACTGACTTTGTCATCTTGAGCAATTTAACCTTTAAGACATAAGTTTCCACATTTATAGGAAATATAACTGTATTAATCAAAGTTCTTGGCTCCAAACAACAGACGCTGATTCTTGTTGAATCAATAGAAAAGCGTTTTATTTAAAAATATTGGGTGGATCACGGGACTGTTGAGTGAACTGGAAAACTGGGCTTGAGAATAAGCCTTGAGGAATAATATCCCAAACTAAACAGCAGATTTAATGGAAAAATGCTGCTGTTCCACAGCTATTGCTTTTATCTCCAAAATACCCTATTGTAAACCCTGGGAAACAGCCACCACAAAAAAATACCAGATACCTCTGCATCCCCTTCACCATCAAATTTGCAAAGATTCAAGGTCCTTTTTCTGCAGAGCCTTTTTCTTCTTATTGCTTCCTTCTGAATCAAAAACATTTTTAAAAATAAATTGGTGTCATTTTATTTTTTATTTATTTTATTTTTTATTTTTATTCTTGAGTCTCACTCTGTTGCCCACGCTGGACTGCAGTGGCACAATCTCAGCTCACTGCAACCTCTGCCTCCCAGATTCAAGCAATTCTCCTGCCTCAGCCTCCCGAGTAGCTGGGATTACAGGCGCCTGCCACCATCCCTGGCTACTTTTTGTATTTTTAGTGGAGACAGGGTTTCACCATGTTGGCCAGGCTGGCCTCAAACTCCTGAACTCAAGTTTTCTGCCTGCCTCGGCCTCCCAAAGTGCTGGGATTACAGGCATGAGCCACTGCAGCTGGCCTTGAATCAAAATCTTATAATGATATGGTGTCCTTGATTGACACCAAGTAATTCATGTCCCTGAATCCTAGCTGCAAGGGCAGCTGGAAATTTGCATTGTGAATCCTATATAACAACTCATAATTTGGATATGTCTCCAAATATAGAGAAAAGACTCAAAAGATGATAGGCTCCCATGGGTAGAATAGATGCTTACTATAATAGTAATAATAATATCTACTCTTCTGAATTTAAACTTCCTCCTGTGTTTGGAGAATGTACCATTTTTTGTCTTGTTAGATGAAGGATTTTCATTTCACAGCAGAAGCCCAAAAAATACAAGCTGCCGGTTCACTTGAAATCTCGCCAGTTAGTGTACGTACAGGAGACCTAAGCCCGGTTAAGCAGATGTTCTTGTTTTGAGTTTTATGACTGTAAGAGTGATGCAAAGAAGTAGAGACAATTCGACCATCATTCTAGTGGCAGCATTATCGATGGCTATAACAGTCAACATCTAATGTCCAGGAACAATAATGACAGCAGGGTCCAGATTCCAGTAGCTCTTCTTATCATGTGAGTGTCTTCTTCCTTGTCTGAAAATGGGTATGCCTTGCTTTGGGGGTGTGTATAACGATTAAGTGAGGATTGCATATAGGAAAGGCCTCTGAGAAACATCAAGCACCTTACACACACAGGCATTATTCTCTTCCCCTATCACAAGCACCAGCCTTGAAAACCTAGCATAATGTTTGGAGTTCCAGAAGAAAAGGAACAATCCATTTAAACGATAAAAAGAACAAATAAAATACGCATGAGGAAACAATATGACCATAATGTATTGAAAAGTTATAAGTGCAATATTACTTTAACTCATTGGGATAGAAGACAACCAAGAATGCATTTTTATTCCATCCCGATCACCTATTTGACAAGCTAGTTGTTCCACCATTATATTATCCTCAATATGCAATCAAGATATTTGCATTTCTGCTATAATATGACTTTTGAATATATTCATTTGAGACTACAGATAAGGCTGATTCAAAATTCTCTGGCATATTACAGTTATTCTTAGTTTAAAAAACAAAAAAACCCCCAAAAACCCTCAAGATACTTCATTGTCAGATCTCCGTGTGGTAGGAATGTGCAGTTGATATACTAAGATTTTTTGGCTTTTTGTTTTTTCTCCCTCCTCATGGTGTATCTTTTCAGTGTTTCCCATCTAGTACTTATGTATATGGTCAAATTTTCATTTTTGTGGCATTTGTAGTGGAGAGTGATGGCTGGAGGAATCTTGAGTCCTGTGGACCTCAGTCAGAGGTGTGCTCATAAGCAAGCTCCTGGAGACAGAGAAGAAAAGACACCCTGATTTGTAGCATTTGTCAATTACCATGAGGTAAACACTTCTACCAGGGCCAATTTCAAGGAGGTGGGAAGAGACGTGTGCAGTCAGCTCTTGCTAGGTGGGGATAGCAGCTCCAGCAGTGCACCACAGGCGGTTTGCATTTTTAACACTTGAGCCTAACATAAGAAAGTTCCTCATAGGCTGTAAGTCACACTGTGTGGGTTTACATAGTGCCTCCCAAAAGCAGATTCCTAAGCAAATTCCTAGTAAGTTTTGTCTCATGAAAGCCTCCAATTCTGTTGCCCACCCTCACTTCTTAAGAACCTGCTAATTTAAATCAAAAGGAGGCAGAGACATCCCTTTCAGCCCTCAAGTGGAGAAGATGGAAAGACCTTGTTCAGAGTGGGAACCCTTTCTGTGAATTACTGTGTGAAGGGGCCTTTCTAACAACACAGGATAAATTTTTACATTCATAGTGTGCTTCACAGTTTTCTTTGTTTCAGTCTCCATTTTATTTTATTTTATTTTATTATTTTTTTTTTTGAGATGGAGTTTCGCTCTTGTTGCCCACACTGGAGTGCAATGGCGTGATCTTGGCTCACTGCAACCTCTGCCTCCCAGGTTCAAGTGATTCTCCTGCCTCAGCCTCCCGAGTAGCTGGGATTACAGGCATGTGCCACCACACCTGGCTAATTTTGTATTTTTAGTAGAGACGGGTTTTCTCCATGTTGGTCAGGCTGGTCTTGAACTCCCGACCTCAGGTGATCTGCCCGGCTCAGCCTCCCAAAGTGCTGGGATTACAGGCATGAGCCACCACATCAGGCTGGGTCTCCATTTTAAAGAGGAGAAAGTGCGCTCATCAAATGAAGAACTGAGACTTGATTGTTCAGATTCCAAATCTGGTGGCTTCCCTGCTGCTCCATGCTGCCTTTCCAAGGTGGCTGGAGCCTTCCCTGACTCCCCCTCCTGCAATTCAACTCAGACAGGATGTTTTCTTTTCACTGCCAGTAAGCTTCTTATTTTATCATCCTTTCTTACTTTCACAAGGGGATGTTCCCTTGGCCTTCAATGAACTTGCTATTTTCAGTGTCTCCTTGGATCACTTTCTTGCCAAAACCCTTCTCTGATTGCAGATTGACCGTGACTAGCCACTGGGAGATCTCTTCTGGGAGCTGCGACATGTCCCATATCCCAGCAATGCTGGAGGGATGCACTGCTGGAGAGCTGCCTAAGGAAACTCTAAGAGTCCACTCTATAGATGACACATGCTGGGCCAAGACACTGCTGTCCCAGCAAGGATATTTATCCACTCTATTAACAGGGATAATAATGAATTTTTATGATACCAGTGATTATTGTACAGTCTCTGAGATAACTGAAAACCTTACCTTGTTTGGCTTTAGAAGCAGCCACAGAAATAGCCATTGCTCGACAGTTTCATACAAGGAGGGGAAAATACTGACTTCATGAGAAGCTTGAAAAGTTTAAATGACATTTAATTAATGATTTCATACATTAACCAAATATTTGTTGTGCATCTGCTATGTTCACAGCTCTGTTGTAAGGCTTGAAAACTCTAAAGGTAAGATGGGCTGGGTGTGGTGGCTCATGCCTGTAATCCCAGCACTGTGGGAGGCCGAGGTGGGCAGGTCATCCGAGGTCAGGAGTTCCAGACCAGCTTGGCCAACACGGTGAAACCCCATCTCTACTAAAAATACAAAAATTAGCCAGGCGTGGTGGCATGCGCCTGTAGTCTCAGCTACTCAGGAGGCTGAGGCAGGAGAATCGCTTGAACCTAGGAGGTGGAGGTTGCAGTGAGCTAAGATCACACAACTGCACTCCAGCCTGCGCGACAGAGTGAGACCCTACCTGAAAAAAAAAAAAAGGTAAAATGACTGCCTTTGTATTTCCTATAGTTCTGAGTAGTGGCAAGGGAGACATACACACTAACCTTTATAACTGAATGTGATACATATTACAGTAGAGACGAGTACAAGCATGGAGAAGGAGGTGCATAACCCTGCCCAGGGGAATGAACAAACCTTCAGGTTTCTGTGAAACTGGTGCTAGGACTTGAAAGACAATAATGACACAACTTATGTAATGCTCACTCTGTGCCAGAAGTGCCCTATTCTATGCATTTTCCGAATATTAAGCTATTTATTTTTTTCCAAAGCCCCACAAGGTTGGTGTAACCATCATCCCTATAGGAAACTGATTAACAGGGAAGTTAAATAACTTTGCCCATTGTCACTCAGTCTGGGAAATATGGAGCTGGGATTTGAATTCAACTACTAATCTCTGCACTATACAACTATGACTCACTGGGATTAAGGGGCTGGGTGAAATGGGAGGTGTGGAGGACGTTCCATGCTCAGGGAACTGTATAAAGATCTGAGAAAATATGGCATGTTTGTGGCTTTTGTTCTGAATTTCAGTGGGAAGGCAACATAGAGGGACTGATGATAAATACATGCTTCATTTTTCTTTCATCATAGGAGTTTTTCTGGAGAATATTTGGAAAATGATTTATCAACACAATTTCTTGAAATTGGAGCGTTTTCAAATGGCTGCTGTCCAGCTGGTCATCCTGTTGAGTTGTTGGCTGAGGGTTATTTTATTTGTTTTTTTTTTTGTTTGTTTGTTTTTGACATGGAGTCTTGCACTTTGGCCAAGGCTGGAGTGCAGTGGCGCGATCCCGGCTCACTGCAACCTCCGCCTCCCGGGTTCAAGCAATTCTCCTGCCTCAGCCTCCTGAGTAGCTGGGATTACAGGCGTCTGCCACCATGCCCAGCTTATTTTTTGTATTTTTATTAGAGACAGGGTTTCACTATGTTGGCCAGGCTGGTCTTGAACTCGTGACCTTGTGATCCACCCACCTCAGCCTCCCAAAGGCTGAGGGTTATTTTAAATATATCCCCAGAAGAAAGACAACAAATTTATTGATTTTCCATGATTCCCAGAATTGACTTATTCTAATGCTACCTGAGGCCAAAAGTGAAAGATTGAGTGCCACAGAAAACAGCATTTCCAGAATAATTTTTTTTGGGTATAACCATAACCTATATTCTTCATTATGGTCAAAGTTTTTGCTAATGTTGACTATTGGTCACCAAGTGGGACAGTAGACATGACTCCATGTAGCACCTTGCTAATGCCTCAGGGTATGTGAGAAGTACCTGAATGTATGTGTCTTTTTTTTTTTGAGATGGAGTCTCGCTCTGTTGCTCAGGCTGGAGTACAGTGGCATGCGATCTTGGCTCACTGCAACCTGCACTTCCCAGGTTCAAGTGATTCTCCTGCCTCAACCTTCTGAGTAGCTGGGATTACAGACGTGCATCACCACGCCCAGCTAATTTTTGTATTTTTTTAGTAGAGATGGGGTTTTGCCATGTTGGCCAGGCTGGTCTCGAACTCCTGACCTCAGGTGATCTGCCCGCCTTGGCCTCCCAAAGTGTTGGGATTACAGGTGTGAGCCACTGTGCTTGGCCTGAATATATGTGTCTTAACAGCAAAAACAAGGTGTGGCAAAATTTGGTCTGGAACAGCACCTAAATAGAGAATAATCTGGTCATTTTCTTGTATAATCTTCTGCTCTTGATGGACCAGAGGG
This sequence comes from Homo sapiens, assembly GCF_000001405.40. Lineage (NCBI taxonomy): Eukaryota > Metazoa > Chordata > Mammalia > Primates > Hominidae > Homo > Homo sapiens. The sequence continues at coordinate 182,767,922 of NC_000001.11, read as the reverse complement.
TAAGACAATCATTCATTCATTCATTCATTCATTCAGCATTTTCTAAGTGCTTACTATAATAAAATCTAGTAATAACAGTTAACGTTTAACAGAAAGCCTACAATGTGACAGGCACTGTGCTAAACACCTTAAAATGAACGCAACTACTCCTCACTAACCCCCTGAAGTAAGAGTAACATTATCCCCAGATAAGAAAACAGGGGGATTAGGAAACTTGCTCCATGTCACATAACTGGCAGAGCTTAGTTTCCATCCCAGACAGTCTTAGCTAAGAACCTGTGCTCTCAACCACTGTGCCATGTCATTTCCCTATGTCCAAGGTTCTGAAGTAGGCCTGGTTAGGAATGCAAATAACAAACTGTAATTACAAACTGTAATTAAGTCAGAATGGAACAGACATAGAGAACTGGTTCTTAGATGTTTGCCCGCTGAAACATGTACCAGCTGATATGCTTGCATGAGATGCATTCTCTGTGGCAACACTAGCACTGTCATTGATCCACCCTTTCCCCTCCACTTTTTGCCCTAGGAAAGCATACTGAAATGCACGTAATACATGTGAGTAAGAGTGACAATATTGTAGGAATGACATTGAATCAGTACTCATTTATGAAAGTGATGTATCCTTTGCACATTTTTGTATAAGATGATAGTGGTTATAAGTCTTAGTACACAAATGAAGGCATTCAAGAAATATAACTTTTTTTTTGCTTTTATAAATCAACTTCATTTTGGCTCTGGACACCCAGCCTTTTGAGCTGGCAGGAAATTTAGTCTCTGCCATTTTGGGCTGATCTCCCTCATGCCCTGTGAACGTGTGCCAAGATCTGGGTCTTACGCAGGGCCAACATATTGTATTGCACAATTATCTACATTGATTCCACTGAGACTGCTGTGGTCTTTCACTTTCCCTTTGGCTCTTGGAACCCTGAAACCTATAAAACTGGGAGCCCTGGGCCCAGAATCCAGGTGCCCAGCTTCCCAAGGCTGCACATGACCTTTCTTCCAAGGCACCTTAGATCTCTCTTCCCCATAACCTAAGGCTTTTCTTTTTCTAGAAGGAAATCCCTTGCTCACCTTCCATCTGAGGCACTTTCCTGTCAGCAGGCCCTATTCTCCTCAATGGGTTTTGCTCTTTGAAAAAAAGAAAGCCATGAGGTAAAAAGTATCTTTTTTGTTCTCTTTCTTGCTGCAAACCTTTTGCAAGACAAGTAAGTAAAAATCTGCTTGAATTAGGAGAGGAAAATAGTAACAAAAATAATAATAACTGGTCTTTAGAGTAGAGTTTACCTGGAAACAGATGCCCTTTTCTTATTAGCCTTCTCTCCCTCTCCTTCTTTACAAAATATAAGTAACTTTTTTCTTAATTATAAAAGTTGCCATTGAACGATTTAACAGTAAACATAACCGCAGTTTGGTAATTATTTTTTCAGACGTTTCCCCCTGTGTGTATATATTTAACAATATTCAAGAAACATTTGTAGAATGTTTACTGTGCCTTGTAAGCTTCAATGAGGAGGCTGATCGTATTTGAGGTATCAGCCCATTGGAGAGTTTGCAGGGCAATAACCTGATCATCTTTATATGTTTGAAAGATCACAATGGCGGTCCCATGAAGAATGGATTGTAAGGACAAGAGGCTCTTACAGTGTCCAGAGAAAAGATGCTGGTGCTGGGGGTAGGGTGAGAGTCATGAAGGTGGAGTGATAAGCAGGGATTCTGGATCTGGTTGGGAAGGCAAGCAGGCAGGACTGGCTGGAAACTGGATATGGAGGTAATGGGCAGTGAGGAACTGAGGATGATTTCCAGATTTGGGGCTTGAGCAGCTTTGTGGACCTGGGTGCCATCTACAAGAAGAGGGGAAAGGCTAGCAGTAGGGCAGTATCTTTTACTTCTTAAAATGCTTCTCTAGAAGGGCACTTCCTAATTTCCAGGACCTCTTGGAGTCTAGAGTAGTGAATCTAGGGGGTGAATCCTGACCATGGGAGGCACAGATGATGCAATGGGCTGCAGGAAAAACAAAACTTCTATTTAATCTTGTTTTTCTCATCCTTTATAATTTATATTTCTGTATATGCCTTACAATATGCATATTATTACAGAGTTTTGTATATATATACACACACATGTATATCATTTATAAATAAATAAGAATGACTGAATGAAGGAATGAATAAACTGAGAATGTGGCAGACAAACAGCTGTTCACCAAAATCTGTTCTTCATTTCAGAATATACAGTTTTAGCTGGCAAGCTGCTGCCCAGCCCAAGGCAACTTTTTCCAGATTGCTTGCATGTGGGTGTGACCAGTTCTCTAGTTATTCCCAACGGGAGGTGAATGGAAGTTATAAATGTCAGTTTTGGACCAAGGCTTTTGAGAAGCAGTCATGCTTCTTTTACACTCTTTCCCCTTCTGCTGGCTTACATGCAGAAAAGGAACAGGCCCTGGGAATGTCGGAGGCCTGAGATAGACGGAGACTTCATCCCTGAAACATTGCTGGGAGGGGACTGCCAACTTACCAGGAGCATTCACTTCATGCAATTTTATCAGCAAGAGATAAACTTCTGGGTATTTCAGTCATTATACACATTTGGGTCTCTTCGTTACCACAGCCTAGCATAGAGGGAGCATGCTTAACATTTTTCTATTGGCTTGGAGCATGTGCAAAATATATGGAGGCCACTGGTCTAAGCACTTGCCAAATGCAAATGAAATAGGATTGCTTGTTTTGTCAGATCCAGGGGACAGAAGCTCACCATTTCAAAGCCATCCCGTCATGTAATCAAAAGCTATAAGGATCATAGATGGTGTTTAAGACAGCTGAGTTTTATGTTTGCAAAACTGAAAAATAGTGAAATTTTTAGGAAGATTCACAAACTTAGATTACCATTAATTAGAAAAAATGACAAGCCTTAGTGGTAACCCAAGGGTTGTCTTAGAAAATGTGGAAATATTTGATGAATGTTATTAAAGAGCAGTGAAATCCAGCAATTGTTTGGCACAGAGTTTGCTCAAATTTGCAACTACTTTAATGTCCCCAGACTTTAGCTTAAATTGTCTTTTTTCAAGGCTCAAGGACTTTCAAGATCCAAGTGTTTTCCAGTTACCTTTGCAAATGAAATAAGAGTTCACTGCATTCCTCTGACCCTCCTCCCTGGTGTTTAGATGGTGAAACTCAGAAAGCCTTCCTTCATGCATTCAGCTTAGAGAAAGAATAGAATGATATAACAAGGCAATATTTCTGAAAGCTGAGATCAACAGACTGTGATTAAAGTCAGCTTGCAGTTATATTGGCTGAGAATGTCATGCCAGCTGCTCGTAAACCCCACAAGATGATGGATGTCTTACTGTTATCCTTATTGCTCTCCAGAATTTATTAGCAGAAAGAAAAATGGGGAAAGGTTATAACTCTCAGAGGTCCAAAATTTTCTTTGCAACAGTGAATAGTGAAGGCTTGGGTGTCAGTTATAAATGAATCACTGGGCATTTGTGTGGCACAGGGAGGAGTGTCAGAACCTCAGCACTCTAATCAAGAGCGGCAGGAGCACCTGCACAGAGGGTCAAGTGAGGTGTTAAGAGGGGTCGTGTTGCAGGTGCATTCATCATTCTACCCTGAGAAATTTAGCTAGTTGCTGTTGAGAAAAAACTCTGTTAACAATAGGGAAACAAAATTCCACGGCCCTCATTCACTGTTGGGGAATTAATGGTTATAGGGAAGGGAAATCCTGCTTGGGTTCAGGAGTGAGGTGTGGGAGTTCTAGCATCATGGAACTGGTGAAGGACTATGTGACTGGGGATCTGGGAGCAGCTGCTTTGGGAGGCAGAAAGATAGATTTGGATCCCTCATCTTGGGTCTTGATGCTAATTTCCTTCCTTTCTCCTGCCCTCTCCTTTCTCCTACTGAGCTAAGAAGAAAAACTCTGGAACCTGCTGTTTTATTTTTTTCACTCAAGAAACTGATTAATGAAAGCTGCTGGGTTTAATAAATGGCTGTCTATTTCAGCTTAGAAAACACTGTTTTGGGGAGTGGAAAAATAATGGCAATCATTCACCTTGTGGAGAGCTGCATTAGTTTGCAAGTTGTTAAAGGAATAGACTTTGGTATTAAAGAAGCTTTGGTTAGGATACGTGTTCCTCCACCTGGGATACGACATTTAATAGCTGTGTGACCTTGAGTGGTTACTTCACATTGTATGAGCCTTAGTCCTCTCACCCAGGAAATGGCGATTAATGGTACATGCCTCTGAAGTTTGCTGTGGAAATTGAGGAAGAGACTTGTAATAGTAAATGTTGGATAAATGTGAACACTCTACATGACCTATTTATTTTCTACTTTCATATTTTCAAAAGGAAGATAGAGAATGTATTTGCTTATGGGTACATTGCTTTTGAGCTCTTGCTCATGGTTAAATTTCCTGCTGAGTATTTTCTGAACTCCAACTCATCATTATTGAATCTGGACAGTTAACATCACCCCTATTCATTTCTGTCTGGAGCACTCCCCTCTCTTTCTTGTCTTAGGAAGTTAAAAATGAATTGATGTGGCTAGAAAGATTCCAAAGGGGGAAAAATGAACTGATAATGTGGGGAAGTTTGCTTTAATTTCCTGAAGAGAAGCTTTGGAATAATACTCTGAATACTTATTATTTGTTGAACCTGGTCAATGTTAGGCATCCCATGCAGATTTTCTAAAGGTGCCATCTTTGTCTTAGGACTATGTAATCAAAATGAGCAAGGTAATCCTAGATGCACAAGTCAGCTTTGTGTTCATTGATGAGGTGCACTATTAGCCTAGATATTGTATTCGATTGCATGAGCACCTCATTCAAGCACTGTCCCACTTTAACCTCTTGCAGCCTGACTGACTACTCTCTGTATCTGGAAAATGGAAAAACCAGCCAGAGTTTAATCCAGAAAACAAACTACTCTAGTTATTTTAGATACAAGGGAGAATTATCTGGAGATTAGGTTCTTAGGAAATTGTTGGAAGGGTTAAAAGGAATGGGCTCTAGGCTGGCTAGAGCTAAGAATGGCCCCTGGAATATGATAGAACTGAATTACAAGGGAAATGACTACCCGAACCCCAATTAGGAACAGCAAAGAATGGAACCATTGACTTTAAGGACACAAAGGCATAGCTGTGATCGAGAGATCAGAAAAACAGCATCTGATCTGTTTGGGGGACCAAACCGTGTGGACAGTGGAATGTGGAGTCTGGTGATCTTCATAGCCCAACTACCCCTCAACACTCACAAAGGCAGAGACTAAATACTGATACACAAAAATCTTCCCTGCCAGCAGAAAACAGCAAACAGCAGAAAGACAGCTTTTGCCCACTTCCACGTTTTACATTTCTGATGAGTGCATCTAATTGACAGAACCTAAGTCATATCCAGTCTCCTAACTAGATTCCAGAAAATGTTGTGTTTATTTATTTATTTATTTTACTTCCAGCCTCTGCAGCATTGGAAAGCACCCTGGAAATGTAACCATGGGACCAGCTCAAACTGATTAACCATTGCTTTAGTTTTTACAGGTGACAAAGGACCAAAATTGCCTGGGTATGCACAATAGAAAGGGCTTTGACCTTCTAATTTAACACCACCAGCCTGGCAGACCAGCTGCATTGGCATCATCTGGAACTAGTTAGAAAGGCCATAAAAGCTGGAGCTACTCCCAGATTGGAGAGACAGTTATGAGTGTTGCCTCCTATCTCCTTGCCAGTTGACTGGAAATAAAGTGTTTTCTTTTCTCCAAAGCTGGTGCCATAGTATTGTTATCTATGTGCATTGGGCAGTGAGCCCATTGCTCGGTAACAATAGGTGAGAATGGATGTTGAGCCACAGTCAACCAATTCCTGCACACTGTCCTGCCTGAGACCCATTATTGTGTGTTCATCTGTCTCTAATTCAACCACATGAATTCAGCAGAACCAAACCAGTTCACTAAGGTAGAGAGAGAGAGAGATTTAAATATGGGAGCAATTTTGTTGAACATTCAACTCAAGGAATGAGCATCAGATCTGAAGTGAGTATGAGCCAGAAGACATGAACTTCTTATTTCCTCAGGTGATGTCAGTACTGAGGTACCTCTCACAATATGAGTCTATATACTCTGAATAAGTGAATAGAGTGATTAAAAAGCCGTATCTAGGGTCTCCACTCCTGAGGGGGGTAATGAGAGAGGAGAAAGGAAGAAACCAGACAGGCAGGCAGTTAGGGTGGGTCCTTGGTTGAATTATTTCAAAGAAAAGAACAGACTGCAGGCATAGATAAGGGAACTTGCACAGGGGGACTTGCCTAAGACATGCTCCCAGCCACACAAATAAGAAAGGCTACACAGGGGACTTGCCCAGACATGCCCGCAATGGAAAATTACATCCCCTGACACATGTACAGTAAGGGGAACAAAGCAATATGGAGTAGCTCAAGCTAGGGGCCTGCATATGCACTAGGAGGACAGGGTGGAGCTACCAGAAATTCACACCTTATGCAAATGAGATGTTCAGTCCTTCTCGGTTTCTTATAAAAGCCTTTGCATTCAACTCTGAAAATGGCAACCCTCTTTCTGGTCTTCTCTCTGCAGCAGAGAGCTTTCTTCCTTCACTTATTAAACTTTTGCTCCAACCTCAAAAAAAAAAAAGAAACAGCCATATCTTAGTCAAAATCTGGCCCCTAACAGAAGGCCAAATCCCTCTGTGTTTATAAGATAAAATGATAAACACAAAGAATACTCTAGGGAAGTAATTTTTTAAAAAACCTGTTTATAGATTTTTGCCTTCCTGGCTGAAAGTTGAGGCCCTTCCTCCTCACCCTCCCATGAGACCTAGCTTCATTGTATTTCACTGAGAATTCAGTGATAATCAATTCAAATGAGCAGTCATGTGAAAGGATGTTGTCAACTGTAAAGTCCTACATATGTCAGGTGTTATTATCACACATAGTGCTTTACATGTAATGGGTACTTTCAATGTTTTGCCAACTTTTCTTTGTTAATTTCCCCCTCTCTTCAGGCAATATAGACATATGTATTATATATATATATATTTTTTTTTTTCTGAACTATTTGGCAAGTTTTAGAAATCATGTCCCTTTGTCCTTAAATACGTCTGTATAAATTTTCTAAGAAGAATATTAACTCAGAATATTGACCATTGATATACTACTATTTAATCTACAGACCTTATTCACATTTTGCTAATTTTCTCTGTAAGTTTTTTTTATACCAGTGCTTTTCTTCCATCCAGGATTCAATCCAGAATTATGCATATCATTGGGTTTTCTGAACTTTCTTTGATTTTCAGGACCTTGACATTTTTGAAGAAATCAGGCCAATTCTTTATAAAAAAGAATTGACTCTATACAAGAGTCACTGAAACTGGGTTTTGTCTGATGTTTCCTCATCATTACATAATTAGAGTCAGGTTATGTGATTTTGGCAGGAATAGTAAATAAACAGTTAACATTTCTTGAGCTAAATAAGAAGCAACCCAAGGTGGATTCACTAAGCAGTAGTTTGAAGGTCACTGGACAGAGTCAGCCAGTGTGGAAGCCGAAAGACTAGACCAACTTCTGCCGTTAACCAGGTAATATTGAGTAACAATAATAAAAAGGATGGTGATGATCATCGTAATAATAATGACTTTATTTAGCAGCATGGAAAGTGCTCTTATATGCATTATCTTATGTAAATCTTTCAATTGTCTCATGAGGTAGAAATGATTCTTACTTTATGGATGATAAAATTGAGGCTCGGAGAGATCACATAGGTGGAAAGTGGCAGAGCCAGAGGCCAAATCCAGGTCTCAAAATCAGACTCTGAAGCTTTTCTTTCTAAACCAATATGCTGGAACAGAAGTCACAGCACCTTCTCGGGAATTCATCTCTAAAAGGAGAGGAGTGAATAAAACAAACATGTAAGGCAGCACTTCTCAGTATTTTGGACTTCGCAAAGCAATAAAAATAATTTTTAAAATTGGAAAACAGACACAGGACTTGTAATACTTTACATTGCCAAGTAAGGATATTAAAATACAAAAATAAAATTTTTATCTAGCATCAGTACTGTTTCATAAAAGAAAGGACATTTTAATATAAAAATATAGGAAAGTAATAATCTCAAAAAAAGAACATTCTTTGAAATTGGATGTATTAGTTTTGTAACATACTCGGTACCTTGTCATTAATTTTCCCACTTCACTGGGGCCTCGTTAAAGATCTGATCTGAGCAGCCCTGATCTGTGGCCTGGCATCGGGAGAACACTGTTTTATGGTGTCTTCCTGCTCTAGTGTCCAGCGGGTTTATTCTAAATGACAAAAGTACGTGAGCAGGGAGAGGAGCAGTGAACAATGATACCTTCCCAGGGTCTCTTTTCTTGCTTCTCTGCTTCTTAGCCCTCACTTTCAAGGGATAAGAAAGAGTTGGCAGGAGAGCAAATACAACATAATGATTTGGGTATAGTAGGAATGGAATAGCACCTGTTCGTGGCTGAGGGCCTAGGGTAGAAATTTCCAGAAAGCAGCTTCTGTCAGTTAAGTTAGGCACCCATTCTGACACAGTGGTTTTTTTTTTTGGTGACTATTTCTATTTGTTTGTTTGTTTGTTTGTTTATTTATTTATTTATTTATTTATTTATTTGAGACAGAGTCTGGCTCTGTTGCCCAAGCTGGAGTGCAGTGGTGTGATCTTGGCTCACTGCAACCTCCGCCTCCTGGGTTCAAGTGATTCTCCTGCCTCAGCCTCCCCAGTAGCTGGGACTACAGGTGCACGCCACCATGCCCATCTGATTTTTGTACTTTTAGTAAAGATGGGGTTTCACTGTGTTGGCCAGGCTGGTCTCAAACTCCTGACCTCAAGCGATCCACCTGCCTTGGCCTCCCAAACTGCTGAGACTGCAGGTGTGATCGACTGCACCCAGCCAGGTGATTTCTATTAATGCATTAAGTAACCAGGTCTTGAAGTGGTTCTAATAACTCCCATAATTTCAAAGTAGTAATAATTATAAACAATATTTTGCAATATTATCTGTATTGTGATGTTAAAATACTTGTGATTATTATAGGTAACAAAGTCACAGGTACTGTTACCACTACTGAAGTGTGAAGCCTACAGTCATAATTGAAGAAAAGGCACAATTTCAGTTAGAGGTCAGTGAAATCAAGATGTAATTTTTTTCCCATCTGAGTTCATAGATTCCCTGACTTCTTTTTGTTTTTTTTGAGATAGCGTCTCACTCTGTCGCCCACGCTGGAGTGCAGTGGGGTGATCTCCGCTCACTGCAACCTCCGACTCCCTGGTTCAAGTGATTCTCCTGCCTCAACCTCCTGAGTAGCTGGGATTACAGGCATGCGCCACCACACCCAGCTAATTTTTGTATTTTTAGTAGAGATGGGGTTTCACCATGTTGGCCAGGATGGTCTCGATCTCCTGGCCTTGTGATCTGCCCACCTCGGCCTCCCAAAATGCTGGGATTACAGGTGTGAGCCACCACGCCTGGCCGATTCCCTGACTTCTATCCATGGGTCCCTTGGAGGGGAATGGAGGATGGGGTGTAGGAGGAATCTGAGGACCCCAGATTAAAACCCCTATTTTACAAAATGTATTTTTATAAATTTAGAGGGTACAAGTGCAGCTTTGTTACATGGTATACTGCATAGTGGTAAAATCTGGCCTTTTAGTGTACCCATCCCCTGAATAGTTTACATTGTACAAAATGTGTAATTTTTTACTCCTCGCCCTCCTCCCAGCCTTCTCATCTTTTGGAGTCTCCATGTCTGTTATTCCACTCTGTGTGTCCACATGTACCCCTGTTTAAGTCTATATTCCCTGTCTATTTTTTAATCTTCCATTCGTGTCTTAATTTTATGATCCCTCAAATATCTAACTGTGTATAAGAGTAAGCAATCTTTGTAGTATGGTTTTTACCCTCATGACCCAGGGTGACTATTCTCACCAAAGTCACCAATGTTCCCCCAGGTTCGAAGGACTTTTTCCCATTTTTATATTACTCCATCTCTCTGCAGCCTCAGACACCAAACCGTTCCCTCCTTGGAACTTTCTCCTTCCTGAGATTCTGCAATATTCTTCTCCATGCCATGACACAGTGGTTTTAAGCCCTCATAATGGTGGGAGTTTTTTCAAAACACAGGGCTGGAGCTCTGTTCTCTGAGTATTCTGAGAGGGAAGGTTTGGGGTAGGGCCTAGGCATCTGTTTAATGCTACATAAGGAGTTCCAGTTTGTACCAATTGAGAATCACTGCCTTTGTTATTTATGAGTGCTGGATGTATGTTTTCCACTGATAACTATAATAATAATAATAATCATAGCCATAGACTTAGTAATGTTTTTCTCTCACACTGAGTTTTTTTTTTTTTTTTTTTGAGGTGAAGTCTCGCTCTGTCGCTTAGGCTGGAGTGCAGTGGTGCCATCTCAGCTCACTGTAACCTCTGCCTCCCAGGTTCAAGTGACTCTCCTGCGTCAGCCTCCTAAGTAGCTGGGATTACAGGTGACTGCCACCATGCTCGGCTAATTTTTATATTTTTAGTAGAGACGGGGTTTCACCATGTTGGCCAGGCTGGTCTTGAACTCCTGACCTTAGGCAATCTGCCCACCTTGGCCTCCCAAAGTGCTGGGATTACAGGCATGAGCCACTGTACCCAGCCTCTCCCACTGAGTTTTAAAGCACAGCTCTCATTTAATCTTTTCTTGGCTTTATTTCCAACCTTAAAAATAAGAATAAAACAAAAACTCCACTTCCTTCAACAAGGAGATGTATATATTAATGAGGAAATGTCTGCAAAATTTTCGCAATATCTGGAATCAAATGTATTTTGTAGGAATAAAAACAATAATTTCTTTTCTTTTCTTTTTTTCTTTCTTTCCTTCCTTTTTTTTTTTTTTTAATGAGGCAGGGTCTCACTCTGTCACTCAGGCTGGAGTGCAGTGGTATGATCACAGCTCACTGCAGCCTCGACCTCCCAGGCTCAAGCAATCCTCCTACCTCAGCCTCCTAGGACTACAGGTGCGTGCAACCACATCTGGCTAATTTTTGTACTTTTTGTACAAAAATTTTCACAATGTTGCCCGGGCTGGTCCTGAACTCCTGGACTGAAGCAATCCACTGTCCTTGGCCTCCCAAAGTGCTGGGACTACAGGCATGAGCCACTGTGCCCAGCCAATAATAACTTCTTTATTTTGGAAGCAAACAGGGAGAAGGCAGAGGTAGATTCTAGGGGTGGTTTGTAAACTGCTGATTTATGGCCAATGATAAGCAATGTTAGTCTATGTGTGAAGATGTGAGACAAGCAGAAAGTGAGTGTTTGCAGGTGTGACTTTATAGCTAGGGAATATAGATAGCAGAGCATTGTCATAGAATCTTAAAGAAACATTGACTCAAATCTGCAAGGAATCTTAGAGTTTTCCATCTTCATTCTTTATCCCCATGATCACATCCAGTCAGGGCCACATTATGACTTTCTTGGAACCCCAGCAGTTCTGCTTTTGCTCCATGGGCCGAGATGGGTGGATCACGAGGTCAGGAGATCGAGACCATCCTGGCTAACACAGTGAAACCTGGTCTCTACTAAAAATACAAAAAATTAGCTGGCATGGTGGCACATGCCTGTAGTTCCAGCTACTCAGGAGGCTGAGGCAGAACAATTGCTTGAACCCGGGAGGCGGAGCTTGCAGTGAGCTGAGATTGCGCCACTGCACTCCAGCTTGGGCTACAGAGCGAGACTCCATGTCAAGAAAAAAAAAAAGTATCTAAAATTATATTTTATGACTGCATTGGCATAAAATCACCTGTAATCCAGGCTGGATTTATTATTACATATTCATTATTATATTTATGTTTCCTTTGGCTTAAAAAAATTAAAAGTAAAACATTTTTATGGGCCCCTAAAAGCATCATGGGCCCCAGACACTTGCCTCCTATGTCTAATGGAGGAGTCAGCCCTGCCTGAGAGAGGGAATGCACTATCTTTTCAAACAGCCCATAAATTTCCATTTAAAAACCATTTGAATTGATAGAAAGTTTATAATATGTATATGCACTTCTGTCATGTTTTTCTAGTTCTTTTCCTTAGAGCCAGTCTCCTCCCTCTGTCTCATGTCCTACATACTAGATCCTGGCTATTCAAATTGTGGGTTGTGGACCAGAAACATTGGTATCACTTGGAGGCTGGTTAGACATGCAGAATCTCATGTCTCATCCTATACCTACAGAATCAGAATCTGCATTTTAACAAACTCCCTAAGTAATTCATATTCACACAAAATTTGAAGAAGCACTGTATTGGAGAGAATAATAATAGCCAACGTTTATTGAATACTACTCTGCCGGACATCATTTTAAGTGCTTTATGTGGATTGTCTAATTAATTCTTTCAACAACTTTATTTATTTTTCCCATCTTACAGATGAGTAAACTGAAACACAGAGAAGCCAAGTGACTGTCTTTATCCAGTGAAGAAGTGGTGTGCAGGAATTCGGACCGGACAGTGTGACTCCAGGATCTATGCTGTTTATCTCCATGCCAGTCTGCCCATTCTCCTGTGCCCTTCTCATTTGAGAAGTTGCTGCTTGCTGCCCAGCTTACAGTTCAGGTTGCCAGGGTGGGAGCAATATTTTTCATAGCACTTAGTCCAACCCTCTTGTTACAGCTGATTGGGTGACAGGTAGATAGATCCCTGATCAATGGTAGTCTATGGCTATTCTGCAATCTGTCACTCAGGTGGGCTCTCACTCTGTGGTATTTAAATGAAGCAACTTGGAAATAATTTGCTAGCTGTTAAGGAACAGGAAAAAGTGGATGGGTGGCCTGTAGATGAGTCATGTTTAGAGTGACTTATCAGTAATAAAGGTATTAGTGCTTCGCTACTTGAGTGTCTAGAGTACCTTCAATTCAGATCCACTCTCCCACTCATTTATCTGGGATTCCCAAGCCTATTATGGCTCCATCTTTTGAATTTCCCTGGGAGTCCTTTTATTGTACCACAAGAAGCCCTACAACAATCTTGCTTTACTTGAGCTAGCTCAAGTGGGTTTCTGTTTGTTATCCTAAAAGCCAAACTACAAGAACACACATTCACATATTTAAAAGCACTTGTGCATCTCCCTAAGCTACCCCTTCTCCAAGGGAAGCATCCCCAGTTCTTTCCATCAATCCTCATGCCACGTGTTCACTCCCTGTCTTGCTTCTTTCCCTCTGGACCGTGCAGTTGTAGCCTTTGGAAACAGACTAATACGGAGGCTGGAATTGGAAGCCACTTTTATGGAACAATTTTATGGGTAAAGAGTGAGCCTGCCAGCCTCAAAATTTCTTCCTTAGCACCTGGCAAGACTCTTCCCTGGAGCCTTAAAATTGGTTCTGCTTACAAGAGGGCACGCTGTAACTGGAGTTATGACTAACAGCTGAGCGCAAGCCCCCTCCCAACCGCCCTCCACCCGCAAATGGGTAAGAGTAGGCCCCCTGAAGAAAAGCATCAGAAATTGGAGTGGAGAGTTTTTCCCAAGCCTGTTCTAGCTTGAAGGCATTTCAAAGGAGAAACCCTGATGGACTGTGTCTCCCCAACTCTGGGGAAGAAACTGCAAGCTGGCAGGCAACCAGCTTGCAGCAACGGAGAGGAACTCCGGCCCATTCCCCCTTGTGGTTGTCGTGTTCAGGTCAGTACTAACTTTAGCCCTGCAGTCCTCAAATGGGGACAGTCCACTAGTGGATTAAATCCTCCTTAAATGATTAGAAGCTTTTAGCCAGAGATCAGAGGAAAGGAAATTATTTCATTTATTCTCTGCTGGTACACGATGACTTCCGGGGAAGCCATCCTCCAGTGTTTTGCAGAATAATAACACTTTCTATTCATATATCATTGATCTCCCAGGAGCTCAAAGTTCTCCACAAGCATCTTATCAGCTAATTTCACCTGAGGTGCTTGGGAAGGAGGGAGGAGGCAAGGACAACATTTGCTTTCTTTTTTTTTTTTAACCTTGAAGTGCAGGGGTACATGTGCAGGTTTGTTACATAGGTAAACTTGTGTCATGGGGGTGTGTTGTAGATTATTTCATCACCCAGGTATTAAGCCTAGTACCCATTAGTTATTTTTCCTGATCCTGTCCTTCCTCCCACCCTCTACCCTCTGATAGGCCCCAGTGTGTGTTGTTTCCCTCTATGTTTCCACGTGTTCTCATCATTTAGCTCCCACTTACAGGTGAGAACATGCACCCAAAGGAATATAAGTCATTCTATTATAAAGACGCATGCACACGTATGTTCATTGTAGCGCTATTCACAATAGCCAAGACACAGAATCAATCTCAATGTCCATCAACAACAGACTAAATAAAGAAAATGTGGTACATTAATACTATGGAATATATGCAGCCATAAAAAAGAATGAGATCAGGTTCTTTGCAGGGACTTGGATGGAGCTGGAGGCCATTATCCTTAGCAAACTAACATGGGAACAGAAAACCAAATACTGCATGTTCTCACTTCTAAGTGTTTGCTTTATTTTCTTCCTTGCGGTCATTCTTTTAGCTGAGACCTCTGCCCCTCAGAAAGAGAGGTGGGGGTAAGCAATGCTGAGGACTTTTTCATTATATAAATTGCCTTACAGTGTTGTCCCTCTACCGGCTTCTGCTGGGTGTCCAACTACCCACCACTAGGTCATTATCCTCTTTTTGTAATTTACTTGCCTCGTTTCAATGTGGGGTAAATACCCTCTTGTTGAGTTGGAGAAACTGGGGGCTCAGAGAAGCTGTGCAGGATGACTGAGTTCTCATGCCAGGCTATGGGTGAGTCTAAAGCCAGTGTTATCACATGTTCAGCTACTGACATGTCCCTCTAAATTCTTCCTGCCTGCAGTGCGCAGGGAGTGGTTACAGAGCTGAGGTTGGCCATAACTCTCTGAATCTGAAAAGATGCGTTCTGAAGCACGTTTGAGGATAAAAGAGGGACGCACATTGAGCCTGAAGGCCTGACCTCAAGTTGGCTGGCCGTCACTCTGAAGCGGCTCTTTTCAGACCTACATCCTGTGCAGTGCTCTGCAGATCAGGCTGCCTCTCTGGGACTTGAATGTTTCAAAAAGGATCTAAAGGGCCTTTCAAATGGTGCCGGGACATAAATAGCTTTCACAGAAGAATGTTGCCTCAGTGATGCGATGACTGAATCAGCACCACATTGAATTAGCAGCAATCTGGTGCTCTGGGTAATGGAGTGATGGTAAATGAACATTATTACGTTTTTACCCCGTGAATGAGTCCTTAATAAAAAAGACAAATGGCTTCCAGGTGTCTTGCCACAAAATTTCAACAACTGAGTCACTCAAGCTGGAGGGAAGAACAAAAGGCAGTATAGAATCTCCTCGTGATTCAGTGGCCGCCAACTTGGATTGTCCCCAGTTCCAACTTTAGCATCTTTCTTTAGTCATTCTACTGCACAGTCAGTTCCCCTTGTGTAGATGGACAACAGGAGGAATTTCTAATGAAAAGACAAAGCTGCCACTGTCCCATCTGACCAAGCATCCCCAGAGAGAACAGGCTTCCCATACCAGGAAATGCTGTTCCTGACAGGAACCACCTGTGTCTCGTCTGTGGCCGGGTCTTGAATTACTGGCCATTCTGGAGCAGGACCGGTTGATGTGCCGACTCCTGTGGCTGCTAGGATGTAAGGTAACCCCTCAGGAATGTTCTGTCAGCTGGCTCAGCCCAGCCTCTGCTGTCATGTCAGGAGGTGGGATGGCTTGGAAGTCTTGTCTCTGTCATAAACTAACACTGTGACATGAGGTGGCTTGGGATCTCTCTGGCTCTTATGTTTCTCAGCTGTGGGGTTCATGGCCAAGAAAGGAGTTGGGAAAGTATCAGGTGACAAACACAAATGCCTCTGGGGGTCAGATAGGTGACAGAAGTGAATGGATTGTCTGGGTGTAAGACAATAGGAACCGCGGCGCCTGTGAGGAACTGGAGAATAAATGCCTTGCCTGAAGATGTTCAAATTCAAATAAAACAAAAACAACCAGAACCCAATATTGTAGGCCAAATAAAATGCCAAGGGGTTAAGTTGATCTGATGATTAGAGTTTCCAACGTATTCTGGAAGGTTGCTTCTAGTTTTAATGATCCAGCCTTTATCTGCAAGTATGTATTCTTGTATATCAGAATTCCTAATTCAATTATGTATATGGTATATCTTTTTGAATGTGAGAAAGTATATTATGTACCTAATGCTTGGAATAAAATTCAGACCAATCTAGGCTTTTATAGGCTAAATCATAGCAAAAATCATTGATCTTAAGTTGTTGGTTAGAAAAAAATATTAAATGTATGTGGTAGGATGTGACTCAGAGGTCATTTAAGCTCCTCTGAGCCACAGCTCTGGGAAGACAGGGAAAATGAACCCCTTTTTAATCACACACTCCTCCTGTTCAGAGCCCAATTATTTTTCATCTGATTTGTACGTAGGCACGCGTGCAGGGACTGTGTCTGTCTTATTAAACACTGTACATGACCCTGGTACCTGACACCTAATAGGGTTCTCAACACATATATGATAAATAAATGAATGAGTTAATGAAAATAGTATGCCTAGGTTTTAGTCTTTTCTCTTTTAAACTATCTAATAAGCTATTGATTGCATAATTTATTTTAAAAGTGTAGATGTAATCATGCCAATTCTTGGCTCAAAGCCTTCTAAACATGCCACATTGCCTACACAACAAATCTCAAAGTTCTTGGCATGATCTTTATTTCCATGTTCTGATTTCTTCTTTCTGTTTAGTTCTATCTTCAAATGAAGTTGCTTCCCCTGCCCCCATATCATAGCCCACCTTAACTACTTGTTCCCCAAACAAGTTCTTTCATTTTCATGACATTCCCTCTGTAATGCCCAGCTCTTCTTTTTCTCCATCAAAATGTTATCCATTCTTCAAGATGCAAATGTCCCCTCTCCAGGAAACTTTGCTTTATTTTAAAGCCAAATCAGAAATAACTTCTTTCATCTGTGCTCTTTCTGCATATCTCATATAAAGTGAGTATTACATTCTGCCTTAAGTTGTAGCTGTTTATTTATATACCTACATCCTCTAGAATCTAGAGTCTAGATAGTATCTAGTCTAGTATCTAGAGTCTAGATAGTATCTAGTCTAGTATCTAGAGTCTAGATAGTAAACTTCCTAAAAGCATGGGCTATAAATTGTTCTTCTTTGCCTACTTCATAAACATGAAGGTATTCAATGCATTTATGTTGCATGATAAAACTTAAAAGTCTACATTTATTGGTTGTTTTTAATTGATGGAGAAATTTTGGTGGCTATCTGTTTGCAGTTAGAGGAACCCTCAACAAACAAGTTTAGTGAGAGAACAAGATAATCCAAGAATCCAAGAAAAAACTGTCACCTTTTGTGACAGAATTGTATAAAAATATATAGAAAAATGTCAGAAGCAATTCAACCTAAGACATAGGGTATTTTTTGCCAATGGGTTTAAGTATCTTCCTGTTGATTATAAAGAAAGAAAAATCATCTGTAAAGTCAAGGATCTGAACTATTGTTGATGTAAAGATGGGTAGTATTACAAAGACAAGTTCCAAAAAAGGGTGTTGGTCTGCACAGAGCCTGGAACTAAAAAATGTGGACATGGGAACCCTCACCACATCTTTATTTTTGTTCAGAAAAGAGGGTAGGCCATTTTCACTGACCAGTTCCAGTTTTGTAGAGTAAAAAGAAAAAATTTATTAGGCTTCCATAGCCCAAAAGAAAGAGCTGTTAAACATATCTCATACTATGTGTTCTAATTCTGCATTCACTAAATAATTTTCTGATCTATAATTTGTTTACTAGTTTTATTAATGAGCACCTATGTGCTTGGTCCTATTGAGAACTTTTATGTATATTAACTTACTTAACTTTCATAACAACCTTCTGAGGTAGGTATTAAAAGCCCCATTTTTAGATGAAGAAACAGACTAAGAGAGGTTAAGTACAGTGAGAACACATGGACACAGGCAGGGGAACAACACACACTGGGGCCTGTTGGGGCATCAGGGAAGGGAGAGCATCAGGACAAATAACTAATGCATGTAGGGCTTAATACCTAGGTGATGGGGTGATAGGTGCAGCAAACCACCATGGCACACATTTACCTGTGTAACAAACCTGCATGTTCTGCACACGTATCCTGGAACTTGAAGTAAAATAAAATTCAGAAAAAGAGAGAGGTTAAGTAATGTCCTCAGTCACCCATCAGAAAATGGTAGAGCTGAAGATTTAATGCAATCTGTTTGAAAATACCAGTGATATGCTTAACAGAAATAGAAAAAAAATCCTAAAATTCATATGGAATCACAAAAGACCTCAAATAGCAAAAGTAATCTTGAGTAAAAAGAGCAAAGCTGGAGGTGTCACACTACCTGATTTCAAAGTATACTACAAAGTCCTAGTAATCAAAACAACATGGTACAGTGTGTGGTATTAAAACAGACACATAGACCAAAGGAACAGAAAAGAGAGCCCAGAACTAAATCCATGCATTTAAATCCAACTCATTATTGAAACACCAAGTACATAATGGGGAAATAAAGTCCTCTTCAATAAATGGTATTGGGAAGACTGGATATCCACATGGAGAATTAAAAAAATTAGACCTTCCTCTCTTGCCATATACAAAATTAACTCAAAATAGATTAAAGACTTAAGTGTAAGACCTGAAGCTATGAAACGACTAGAAGACAACACAGGAGAATCATTTCATAACACTGGTCTGGGCCAGGATTTTTTGGATAAGACCTCAAAAGTACAGACAACAAATGTAAAAGTAGACAAATGGGATTACATCAAACTAAAAAGCTTCTGCACAGCAAAAGAAATAACAGATAGAAGAGACAACCTGCAGAGTGGGAGAAAATATTTGCAAACTATACATTTCAGAGTTAACATTCAAAATATATAAGGAGTGCAAACAACAGCAAAAGACCAAATAACCTGATAAAAAAAATAGGCAAAAGACCTGAATAAGCATTTCCCAAAAGAAGACATACAATGGCCAGCAGGTATATGAAAATATGCTCAACATCACTAATTGTCAGGGAAATGCAAAATAAAATCCCAATGAGATACCATTTCACCCAGTTAGAATGAACAGTATAAAAAAGACAAAACAGAACAAGTGCTGGGGAGGATGTGGAGAAAAGGGAACCCTTATATACTATTAGCAGGAATGTAAATTAATGCAGCCCTTATGAAAAACAGTATGAAGTTTCCTCGAAAAATTTTAAATAGAACTACCATATGATCCAGTAACTCCACTACTGGGTATATATCCAAAGAAATTGAAATCAATATGTCAGAGATATCTGCACTCTTGTGTTAATCACAGCACTGTTCACAATAGCCAAGACATGGAATCAACCTAAGTGTCCATCAATGGATGAATGGATAAGAAAATGTGGTGTATATACACAATGGGATATTATTCAGCCATAAAAAGAATGAAATCCTGCCATTTGCAACAATTAACCTGGAGGATATTATGTTAAGTGCAATAAGCTGGGCACAGAAAGACAAATACTGCATGATCTCACTCACATGTGAAATCTTTACAAAGTTATCACATAGAAGTTGGGAATAGAATGGTGGTTGCCATAGGCAGAGATGGTTAGGAGAGGGGGAAATGGGAAGATGTTGGTCAAAGGATACATAATTATGGTTAGACAAGAGGAATAAATTTCAAGAGATCTATTGTACAGCAACACAACTACAGTTGGTGAAATATTGTATTCTTGATAAACATAAAGAGATTGAAGGTTATTTGGTCTCATCACAAAAATGATAACTAGGTGAGGTAATGTATTTGTTAATTACCTAAATTTAACCATTCTACAATGTGTATGTACTTCAAAACAGCATGTTGGACACAATGATACCTGTCAATTTAAAAAAAGCAAACTTTTAAAAATAAAAAAAGCATAAAACATACTCAAAAATAAAGAGCCAGGAAAAGATGTAAGAAACAGACAAAACAAAAAAGAAAATGATGGAGCTCTGATTTAAACACTGCCTGGACTACCTTTTTTTTTTTTTTCGTATTTTTAGTAGAGACGGGGTTCCGCCACATTGACCAGGCAGGTCTTAAACTCAGGTCATTCTCCCACCTCAGCCTCCCAAAGTTCTGGGATTACAGGCATGAGCCAATGCGCCTGGCCAAGCCTGGACTAACTTTCAATGTTGCTTTCTTTTCTGCATGGTGTTGCCTATTGGAAGGGAACCGCTTGATGCCTCTTGCTTGTTCCACTCTTGGGTCAGAGATATCTCCCTGGCTGGAAATTAAGTAGTGGCCACAGTTGGTAGGGTCCAATCTCCCATAGCTGGCTCATTTCTGAGTGAAGTGGTTATTGTGTTTGCAAGTACAGATCAGACCTTGAATAGCAATATACCCATTAAGATAGTGTCTCTGACAGAAATAGGCTATCAGTTCTACCCCTTATGTTACAGCACTCCTTAACCACTGGAAAGACTTGTGAAAACACAAAACATTCTCTGCATGGCATCTTTAAATGGGAAGCACACTGAAATTTACTTTTTCTCCTTGAAAAAGCTCCAAATTAAATGGATAAAAGAAGCTTAGTATTACTGCTTTTGTTTTCACAGCTGCCAAAATAACTCTGGATCTCCTGGTTCAATTCATAATAACCTTAGCTGAAATTACATGTGTCTAAAGATAGAAGATGCAGGGCCAGGAATGGTGGCTCAGGCCTGTAATCCCAGTGCTTTGTGAAGCTGAGGGAGGAAGATTGCTTGAGCCCAGGAGTTTGAACCAGCCTGGGCAATATAACGAGATCTCCATCTCTACAAAAAAAAAAAAAAAAAAAAAAAAAAAAAAAAAAAAAGACCAGCAGTGTTGACACGTGCCTGTAGTCCCAGCTACTTGGGAGGTTGAAACAGGAGGATCCAGTGAGCTATGTTCATGCCATTGCACTCCAGCCTGGGCAACACAGCAAGAATCTGTCTCAAAAACAATAACAAAAGCAAAAGATAGGAGATGCAGGTCAGAGCATCTGATGCATTTCCTATCTTTAAAGAAGACATTGTCTTTTGTTTAAATGGGATCTGTTCATTTTAACTCGAAGCAGTCCTTGATGACAAATGAATGTGAAAAGCCTACAGATGTCCTAAGTTGGGAAATTTCCTTCCTTCCTCCCTCCCTCCCTTTCTCTCTCTCTCTCTTTCTTTCCTTCCTTCCTTCTTTCTTTCTTTCCTCCTTCTTTCTTTCTTTCTTTTTTTGACAGAGTCTTACTCTATTGCCCAGGCTGGAGTGCAGTGGCGCGATCTCCACTCACTGCAACCTCTGCCTTTTGAGTTCAAGTGATACTTATGTAGTTGGGATTACAGGCATAAGCCACCCTGCCCAGCTAATTTTTGTATTTTTAGTAGAGACAGGGTTTCATCATGTTGGCCAGGGTGGTCTTGAACTCCTGGACTTAAGTGATCTGTCTGCCTTGGCCTCCCAAAGTGTTGGGATTACAGGAGTGAGCCACTGCACCCCACCTGGAAGTTTTCATTTATATACTCTTGACATCATCATATATATTGTGTTTGCATCTAAGAAGTTATTTTAACAATTAATTCTAGCCATATATGGTCTCTTTTTTATTGGAAACACATTAGAAAAGTTCTTAGTTAAATGCCTATTTTGCAGATTTGTACTGAAGGATAGCAGCGGATTGGTGGATGATCAGAAAGGTGGTACCTGGGGTGGCAGTATTTTGGAGAGGGGGTCTGAAAACCAAGTTGTAAGATGGCCTGGGGGCTTTTTAGCCCAGGGAAGAATTTCTAGGCAGGGAAGAGGTCTTCAGATATTTGAGGGACTCACTTGCCCCAAATAGGAATAAACAGGTATCCTCTTCTTTACCCTAGAGGGCAGAACTTGGACTAAAAGAAGGTCAGGATAGGGAGAAAGTGATGTACATGTGGGAAAAATCTTTAGGATACTTGAGGAATTTATTAGAAGGATGAATATTTGAACATTAAAGTTGTTGGGAATGATGGTGGAGGCTGTCTCAAGTAAAGATGGTCAGGATAGGGAGAAAGTGATGTACATGTGGGAAAAATCACTGGGATATTTCAAGCTAGGAAGCTATGGCAGGGATTTCAGTTTGGGTAAGAGATTATGCTCAGTGCCCTAAAGTTCCATTCCAATTCTAAGAACTTAGTTCGTGGTTTAACTTATACACTTAATATCATTTGGCTTTATGTGAATCAAATATGACAAATGGTTTAACAATGATTGTTGGAGAAGAGTGTATTTATGCAGTAGAATCTCACTGATTTAAAATAATTGAAAGGGAGAGCCAGTCTGGTTGGTGAAGTCAATTATGAAATGATTGTAAATAATAAAAGTCCATTTTATTACTTTCAAGTCCTTGGATGCGTGGAATTACATCTACCAAAGTTGCCCGATCAAGGTTCTGCTTTAAAGAATAGAGAATGATTTGTAATCAACATATCAGAGTACCAGGCTTGCTGGCCTTTGCTTAGATTAGAATTAAATCATTTCCAATTCAGAATGTTTGAAAACAGTTGGTTCTCATGAGTAAATAAATAGGCCCTTCAGAATTTCATTTTATGTGTTTATTCTGTCAACTCTTTCTCTTTTATTCCTGTTTCTAGGGCAAAGGGAAGCTTATGTTCGACTTCTGTCAAAATGTCACAATTAAAAAATAAAACACAACATAAATAAGTGAGATTTTTGTTGTATTTTGGTCAGACCAATTCTCTGTCTTGCAGATTGAATGTTAGATTGCTCAAAATTCTTGAAAGGAAGCTTTCTGAAGAACTATTTATATCTAGAGGGTGTGGCAAAGAATTGGATTTAGTAATTTGTTCATTAGTCAAAATTTAATTTCAAAAAGACCATATATGTATAATTTCATGTATGTGAAGTGTCCAGAATAGACAAATCTATAGAGACAGAAAGTAGACTCATAATTGCCTAAGGCAAGGGTCGGGGGTGGTAGGGTGGCTTAAGGGGATAATAGAGAGTGGCACTCACAGGTATGGGTTTCTTTCTGGGGTGATGAAAGTGTTCTAAAATTGTGATCATGTTTGGACAACACTGTAAATACAGACATGCATAGTTTAATGACAGCAATATATTCTGAGAAATGCATCAGTAGGTGATTTCGTTCTCGTGTGAAACAACAAAAAGTTGTGTACTTACCCAAATTTAGTATAGCCAACTACACACCTAGGCAACAAACCTGTATAGCACGTTACTGTACTGAATAACGAAGGCAATTGTAACACAGTGGTATTTTTGTCTCTACACACAACTAAACATAGAAAAGGTAATACGTTACTACAACGTTACAATGGCTATGTCACTAGGCAATAGGGATTTTTCTGCTCCATTATAAACTTATGGGACCACCATCTTATATGCAGTCTAATGTTGACTGAAACTTTATTATGTGGCACATGACTGTGTCTTAAAAAACAATGAATTGGGCTGGGTATGGTGGCTTACACCTGTAATCCCAACACTTTGGGAGGTGGAGGCACTGAGAGGATTGCTTGAGCCAAGGAGTTCAACACCAGCCTGGGCAACATAGTGGGACCCCATCTCCACAATTTTTTTTTTTTTAGTTAGCCAGATGTGGTGATGTGCACCTGTGTCCCAGCTACTCTCGAGCCCAGGAAGTTAAAGCAGCAGTGACTGCAGGGATGTCAGCTTGGATGAGAGAGTAAGACCCTGTCTCAAAAAACAAACAAACAACATTGGATTTTATACTTTAAATAGGTGAATTGTATGGTATATGAATTATATTTCAATAATTATTGAGTGTACATTATGAGTCAGGAGTTGTTCTGGGACTGGAAATACGATGTTGAACAAGCCAAAGTCTCTGCCCTCACAGAACTTACAGTGGAGAGTCAGATAACAAACATGTGAACAAGCATATAAAAACATAGTTTCAGGAAGAGGTAGTACTCTGAAGAAAAATAAAGCAGGATAAGGAACTAGAGAGTATGTGCATACATATATGCACATGTGTCTTGTGTGTATATGTGTGTGGGTATGTGTATGTAGCATGTCTATATGCATGTGTGTTGTATGCATGTGTATGTGTGTGCATTGTGTGTGTATACACATGTTTTCTATTTTAGATATGGTGAACAGAGAGGCCCTCCATGGGGAATATAACTTTTGAGTAAAAGTGTGAATAAAATGAAAGAATTAACTGTGCAGATAACTGGGGTAAATGCATTTCAGGCAATGCAAAGACCCTGAGACAGGAATATTTTGGTCTGTTCAACCAAGAAGGACAGAGAGCTAGTGGGAAATGATGCTGGAAGGGTCAGTAGGGATCATATCATGTAGGTGATGACCATGATAATATCTATGAGTTATTATGAGTTCAGTCTTAGCATTAATAATTACCACTAACTTTGCGTGACATATAGTCCCCAAGTCCTTTTCACAACCTCTATCTTGTTTGATGCTCACAACTCTAAGAAGTTGCTGTTAGTTTGCTTGGTCTATATATAAGGAAAATGTGAGGAAATTGTCTACAATTCTCGGTGCTCCATGAGTCAATGACCCACTTCAGGACATGTCCCAAGTCTGGTGATCTTATTTCCTCAAATCCTAAGTCAGTACTTGCTGCAAGACATAGGCTCAATACATGTTCATTCAACTTCTTTGAGGTCACAAAGTGAGTGGATAGCCAAGCCAGGACTGAAGTTCAGGTCTTCTCATTCCAAATCCCATGCTCTTTGTACTGACTCACATGGCCATATTGCTTTTCCCTTTGAATCACAGAATGATGAGGATTACAGGGTCTTCAGGGGTCATCTTCCCAGTAGATTGACACTAACATCTTCCAAGGCCTGTGGGTGTTTACATAGTTTTCCAGGATTCTGCTGAAAGAGGTTGATCAGTCTCTGTTATTGCACAATGCCACTTTAATTGAGGAATAAGTTTTCCTTAGCATATTCCATTAAGCGACTTTATGTAATTAATTGTGTCCCCTGATTGTTACAGTTTGATAATTTTCATCTCTGCCTTACCATTCAGGTTCCTTCTTAGCAAATCCTACCATCTTTCAGCTTTTAACTACATAAAAAAGTAGTTAAAAACATGAGTCCCTCTCCCTCTCCCTGTCCCTGTCCCTGTCCCTGTCCCTCTCCCTCTCCCTCTCTTTCCACGGTCTCCCTCTGATGCCGAGCCAAAGCTGGACGGTACTGCTGCCATCTCGGCTCACTGCAACCTCCCTGCCTGATTCTCCTGCCTCAGCTTGCCGAGTGCCTGCGATTGCAGGCGCGCGCCACCACGCCTGACTGGTTTTCGTATTTTTTTGGTGGTGACGGGGATTCGCTGTGTTGGCCGGGCTGGTCTCCAGCTCCTAACCGCGAGTGATCCGCCAGCCTCGGCCTCCCGAGGTGCCGAGATTGCAGACGGAGTCTCGTTCACTCAGTGCTCAATGGTGCCCAGGCTGGAGTGCAGTGGCGTGATCTCGGCTCGCTACAACCTCCACCTCCCAGCCGCCTGCCTTGGCCTCCCAAAGTGCCGAGATTGCAGCCTCTGCCCGGCCGCCACCCCGTCTGGGAAGTGAGGAGCGTCTCCGCCTGGCCACCCATCGTCTGGGATGTGAGGAGCCCCTCTGCCTGGCTGCCCAGTCTGGAAAGTGAGGAGCATCTCTGCCCGGCCGCCATCCCATCTAGGAAGTGAGGAGCGCCTCTTCCCGGCCGCCATCACATCTGGGAAGTGAGGAGCGTCTCTGCCCGGCCGCCCATCGTCTGAGATGTGGGGAGCACCTCTGCCCCGCCGCCCTGTCTGGGATGTGGGGAGCACCTCTGCCCTGCCGCCCCGTCCGGGATGTGAGGAGCGTCTCTGCCCGGACGCCCCGTCTGAGAAGTGAGGAGACCCTCTGCCTGGCAACCGCCCCGTCTGAGAAGTGAGGAGCCCCTCCGCCCAGCAGCCACCCCGTCTGGGAAGTGAGGAGCGTCTCCGCCCGGCAGCCACCTCCTCCGGGAGGGAGGTGGGGGGGTCAGCCCCCCGCCCGGCCAGCCGCCCCGTCCGGGAGGTGAGGGGCGCCTCTGCCCGGCCGCCCCTACTGGGAAGTGAGGAGCCCCTCTGCGCGGCCAGCCGCCCCGTCCGGGAGGGAGGTGGGGGGGTCAGCCCCCCGCCCAGCCAGCCGCCCTGTCCGGGAGGTGAGGGGCGCCTCTGCCCGGCCGCCCCTACTGGGAAGTGAGGAGCCCCTCTGCCCGGCCAGCCGCCCCGTCCGGGAGGGAGGTGGGGGGGTCAGCCCCCCGCCCAGCCAGCCGCCCCGTCTGGGAGGTGAGGGGCGCCTCTGCCCGGCCGCCCCTACTGGGAAGTGAGGAGCCCCTCTGCCCGGCCAGCCGCCCCGTCCGGGAGGGAGGTGGCGGGGTCAGCCCCCCGCCCGGCCAGCCGCCCGGTCCCGGAAGTGAGGGGCGCCTCTGCCCGGCCAGCCGCCCTGTCCGGGAGGGAGGTGGGGGGGTCAGCCCCCCGCCCGGCCAGCCGCCCCGTCCGGGAGGGAGGTGGGGGGTTCAGCCCCCCCGCCCGGCCAGCCGCCCCGTCCGGGAGGGAGGTGGGGGGTCAGCCCCCCACCCGGCCAGCCGCCCCGTCCGGGAGGTGAGGGGAGCTTCTGCCCGGCCGCGCCTACTGGGAAGTGAGGAGCCCCTCTGCCCGGCCAGCCGCCCCGTCCAGGAGGGAGGTGGGGGGGTCAGCCCCCCACCCGGCCAGCCGCCCCGTCCGGGAGGTGAGGGGCGCCTCTGCCCGGCCGCGCCTACTGGGAAGTGAGGAGCCCCTCTGCCCGGCCACCACCCCGTCTGGGAGGTGTACCCAACAGCTCATTGAGAACGGGCCATGATGACAATGGCGGTTTTGTAGAATAGAAAGGGGGGAAAGGTGGGGAAAAGATTGAGAAATCGGATGGTTGCCGTGTCTGTGTAGAAAGAGGTAGACATGGGAGACTTTTCATTTTGTTCTGTACTAAGAAGAATTCTTCTGCCTTGGGATCCTGTTGATAGGTGACCTTACCCCCAACCCTGTGCTCTCTGAAACATGTGCTGTATCCACTCAGGGTTGAATGGATTAAGGGTGGTGCAAGATGTGCTTTGTTAAACAGATGCTTGAAGGCAGCATGCTCCTTAAGAGTCATCACCACTCCCTAATCTCAAGTACCCAGGGACACAAACACTGCGGAAGGCCGCAGGGTCCTCTGCCTAGGAAAACCAGAGACCTTTGTTCACTTGTTTATCTGCTGACCTTCCCTCCACTATTGTCCTGTGACTCTGCCAAATCCCCCTCTGCGAGAAACACCCAAGAATGATCAATAAAAAAAAAAAAAAAAAAAAAAAAACAAACAAACAAAAAAAACAACATGAGTTCAAATCCTGAAATGAGTTCAAATTCTGACCCTGCTCTTAATAGATGTACGACCTTTGATGCCTCAGTTTTGCTCATTGGTAAAATGGAGATAGTAATATTATTTATCTCATATGGCTGTTTTGAAAGTTAGATGTGTCTGTATAGTGCTCAGCACAGAGCCTAGAACAGAATAAGTATCAGTAAATATTAGCTATTACTAACTGGTATGCTTATGCCCCACTCTCTGGTAGCACTTACTGTAGAATTGTGGCCAGGGAGGCAAGAAGTAAGATAATAGCTTGTCAATGTTTCTGAGTACACAGCACTTAGGTCTCTATTACAGCAGGCCAGTTGGGTGGTCAAGTACATCCTTGGACTGCAACACAACATGTGCACAGATGGAAACTAGGATTGATTAACTCCTGAGCATTCTGCATTGGAATTAAGGGGGATGATTATTGGGTCTCCCCAAGTACACAATTCCATATGAATCTCTGTGGCTGTTATTAAACTCTGGATTGGAGGCTAGTTTCACCCAGGCGATGATAGAAATTGGGGGTTGGGGGTTGGGTGTTGGGAGCTGGAGCATGGAATGTGTGAGACAGGAAAACAGTATGGGTAGGGACGAAAAGCCATTGATAAAAACAGCCGTTTGCCCCCCTTCCCTTCCCTGCTTAGATTCTGGAAGACTCAGAGCTCTCTGGTCTCTGCTGCTGTGTTGCTGCCTGTTAGCGTGATTGTCGCTGTTGCCAGGTAACTGCTGGCGCAAGGGCTTCTGGGTGGGCTGCCCGCTGGCTGGGTGAGTGGGAGGAGGTGTGAAGAGGCAGAGGTCAAGGCCAAGAGGAATGGAAACAGCACTGTCTACATACACAAATCAGGGCCATGGCGATTCCCCCTAGGCTATGGGACAGGGGGAGGCCTGAAAACATGAAGATAACAAGGCAGTCCTCAAATACAAAGCCAATATACAATACTTTAGAAAAGGAATGAACAATTTGGTTTATTCTTTTTTTTCCTCTTAAAAGAAACCCCAATTCTTCATAAATGCCAGAAACTGTGTGTATGCCTGTGACTGCTGGTGTGCCTTTAAAAACCCCATTGAAAGAACATCAGTTCCCCCACGTCAGTACTCAAGGTCGGGGCCCCAGTGACACTGTTGGGGATGACAGTGTTTCCCCAGATGACAGCGTTGGGGAGAAAATACATTGTCTTATCAGGCTGTGCGAAGCCCCTCAGAAAGCCATCTTTTGGGTTCTTTTTCTCTCACGTTAAGCACTGATTCTCTTCCTAGATGAGGAGTAAGTACTGACACTAGAGAAAGAGCAGAAGGTGAAGCCAAGTAGCAGCTGACTGTATCCAGCATATTTCATTGTTCATCTGAAAGCTGAGACTTTCCCAGCACACTTGTGGGGGAATATTCCACTTTTAAATGGAAAGAAGCCATAAATGTCAGCTAGAAGATACCTGGGAGAGGATCCAATAAGATTCTTTATTTCAGGGGTGAGGAGAGATCAGAAGTTAAGTGCTTATCAAATTCAGAGATACAACTACAGATCTAACCTTGTATGAAAGAGAGATTGTCTCTTTAGTCCTCTAGCTTCCGCATCTTTCAATGTCCTTACCATCGACCTTCATCCTCTTGCCCTGCAAGATGTTTCTGAAACTGCCTCCCCAGCTCTCCACATGATTCAGCCTCTTCACCCTGCCCTAACCCCTAAATGGACCTGCAGTCAATCTCTGGACTGCTTCCCAGATGCATACTTGGTTTCAAGGTCTTTATTGGTTTGCTCTTGTTCAGTGATTGTATCCCCTCTCTCTGTCAATAGATGTTTCACTGACTGTAGCTAAAATAATTTTGTTTTGCCTTTTTTATTCCCTCATGTTCTGACTCCATACTTCATATTAATTACAGGATTGGCCATAAAGGGTACCCAGAGTATACCTGGCATGGCCCATAAAGATGAAAAAGTCCATTGTTAGATCATTTTCATTTGTTTAAAATAACACCAAATAATTGACCTCTCAAAGGTCAACTCTAATTTCATTTAAAAATCTAAAATGATAAGCCTAAAATATATTTAATGCTATTTTAAAATATATATTTTCTTGAGGTACATGAAAATTATATAGGCTACTATTTATTGGTCATTTGATGCCAGATACTGAACTAAATGCTTCACATATGTCATAAAGTATTATCCATAATACACCTGGAAAAGTATCATTATCTTCATCTAACACAAATGGAAACAAAGGCTCAGAGAAGTTAAACAACTGTTCAAGGTTGCTTTTTCTAATGAATAGCTTGTGCTCTTGTTATAATATCAAGTGGCCTCCGTCCATTATATGCAACAGTTTTGGCTCTAATTTTTATCTTAGATGTGAATACAACATAATGAATATATAATGAATTAGCATTTTATGAGTCTTGAGCAAAGCAACTGTTAGTTATTTGTTACTGTGTAACAAATTATCACAACATTTAGTTGCTTTAAAAAGCAATTTTTAAAAATAGTTTCTGTGGGCCAATAATCTGGGAATGGCTTTACTGGATTCTCTGGGTCAAGGTTTCTCACAAGGCTGCAATCAGGGCTTCAATTGGGTTGCAGTCATCTCAAGCCTGCTTCCAAGTTCAACTGCTTCCAAATTCACTCGTGTGGTTGTTGGTAGGCCTCAGTTTCTCACATGCTGGTGAACTGAGGTCCTCAGATCCTCCCTAGTTGTTGGCTGGTAGCTGCCTGTAGGGGGTTGAATGGTCGCCCCCAAAGATAAGAGGGCCTATTCTCTGGATCTGTGAATGTTATCTTGTATGGTTTATTAGTCTGTTCTCATGCTGCTAATAAAGACATACCTGAGACTGGATAATTTATAAATAAAAGAGAGATTTGATGGACTCATAGTTCCACATGTCTGGGGAGGCCTCACAATCATGGTGGAAGGTAAAGAAGGAGCAAAAGCACGTCTTACATGCAGCAGGCAAGAGAGTGTGTGGAGGGGAACTGCCCTTTATAAAACCATCAGATCTCGTAAGACTTATTTGCTATCATGAGAACAGCCTGGGAAAAACCTGCCCCCATGATTCAACTACCTCCTATTGGGTCCCTCCCACGACACATGGGGTTATGGGAGCTACAGTTCGAGATGAGATTTCGGTGGGGACACAGCCAAACCACATCATATGGCAAAGTTAAAAAAATTTATTTCCTTATGGTCAAATACACATAAAATTTATTATATAGTTAATTTTTTTTTTTTACCTATGAGATTAAGATTTAGGAGATGAGATTATTCTGGATTATCTGGGTGGTCCCTTTAATGCCATCAGAAGTGTTCTTATAAGAGAGAGGCAGAGGGAGATTAGACACCAAAGAGGAATGCAATGCCACCAACAGAGGCAGAGCCTGGAGTGATGCAGCCACAAGCCAAAGGATGCTGGTAGCCACCTGAAGCTGGAAGAGGCAAGAATAGATTCTTCCTAGAGCTACCAAGGGAAGCAAAGCCCTGCCAATGCCTTGATTTTGGGCCCGGTGAAATTGATTTCTGACTTCTGGCCTCCAGGACTGAGAAAACAGATTTCTGTTGTTTTAAGCCACCAACTTTGTGGTAATTTGTGATAGCAGCTGCAGGAAATAATATACTGCCCTTAGTCCCTTGCCACATGGGCCTCTCTATATGGACATGTCACAGCATGGCAGCTGGTTCATCCAAGTGAGCAAGCAAGAAGAGCAGAGCGGGAAAGAGTGAGCAAGGTGGAGGTCAGTTTTAGAACCTATTCTCTGATGCAGCATCCCATCACTTCTGTGTTCTGTATGTTTGAAGCAAGTTGCTAGGTCCAGCGCACACTGCATGGTAGGGGATTACTCAAGGGCATGCCCTTCCCTCTCCTCTATGTTGGACTCCTACTGCTATCCCAGGGCTAACATCCATGACATAGGTTTCCATATCTCATACTGGCTTGTGGTTTTATGTCCCAGGGTTTCTTGAAGTGGGCTTTGCTAACCCACCAAATTCTAATCACCCCAAAAATTTGGTAAAAATGCAGATATCCAGGCCTAACCCAATTCTACTAAATCTACTAAATCTAGTGTGGGACCCAGAAACCTATATTTTAAATAAGCTTCCCACGTGATTCCTATGCAAAATAAAGATAAAAAAAATCTGACCTAAACACTATTCCCCACTCAAGAAAAGTTCATAGCTAACTAGTATTTGTGAATGCTACACATCTGCTCTCTGACAGTCATGTTTTAGCAATTGCTTTTTGGGGACAGTTCCTTAATCCAGTATTTCCTAATTAGTGGTAATTGTACCACTGGTGGAGGCAAAATGGTTTAAGGTGGTACAAGCATGACCATTTAATATTTTAATAGTGGTTTTATCTTCAGGGTAACTTCCTATTTATGGCAAGTCACATTGGTTTTACTGCCTGGTGATGATATAGAGTTTCTTTAATCAATGTATTGTTGTAAAAAAGAAAAAGGAGTTAATTTGAAAAATGATATTAAGTAAGCAATGGTATAGGTGGTACACAGACATGGCAAAAACAATGACAGACATAATCAAATGGTTGAAGTTTGAGAAACATTGTCCTAACCCAAAGGAAGGCACTCTGTGGCCTTCAGGTGTCATGATAGAAAGTGGAGGAGATATTTGGGGGCAGAAAGGCCCTGCCCAGGTTAGTAAGGTTATTGCCTGTGTCTCTGTGAGGGGAAGACCCTGCTGATCAGGATCAATCATGAAGCTGGTCAGACAGAGAAAATGAGCCATGCCTTCAGATACATCTCTTGTGAATATAGAAAAGAAAGGGCCAGAGCAAAATATAATCACAAACTGGTGCAATCAGGCTGTGTAGAGGCACAGACTTATTCAATAACAGGACTGGTTCTTGGCAAAAATGAAATGAAGGTGAAGCCCTGTGTTGTCCCTGCTTCCACCAGGGCCCTCTCTTTGTTACTGCCATAGCGCCCTGCTTATCTTCCCTTCTATCTCCAACTCTTTCCTGCTTCCTTCTGTCCCACCCTGATCTCATCAGATCTAGCTCTCAGGGCTTTCATTTTTTTTGGAGCTGTAAATGACCTACGTTATTCAAAGCATTGGTCTTCAAATTCTGTTGGACAGAGCATTCTACCACAAAAGTTAACTAATGGATATCTTTAACCCCGTTTATCTTTATTTTTAGTTTTCAGTTTTCCTAATGTTAAATTTTCTTTAAAAAAATGGCAGTGACTTTTCCTTAGTTATCGTTGATTATAATACTCTATAACCAATTTAATAAGATGCATTAAAATGTTTGATGTTCTTGAAAATTTTATTCAGCAGACAATACATTAAATAAGTGCTTTTAAAAAAAATTCACTATTCATTTGAGCTCTTAGGACTGCACTGCCCAGTATAGTAGCCATTCGCCTCAAGGCACTACTGAGCACTTAAAATGGGGTTAGCCTGAAGAGAGACATGTTGTCAGTGTAAATTACACATTGAATTTCAAAAACGTAGTATTAAAAAAAGAGAATGTAAAATATATTATTAATACTTTCAAGTACTGGTTGTATGTTGGAATAATAATATCTTGGTTATATTGTGCTAAAATATATGATAAAAATTAATTTCACCTGTCTCTTTTTACCTGTTTTAATGTGGATACTGGAAAATTAAAATTATGTATGTGGCCCACATTATATTTCTATGATCAGCATCGCCTTAGAAAATACTGAGTTCAACTTGCAGTAATTGCTGACCTTCTATTGACTGGACACTAAGTGATTATAGGCTCTGAACCTCCCAACATCCTCCCAGTGCTAAAACACAAAATTATAACTCCTTGGTTCCTAACTTGGGTATTTAGGTCAATTCCCTCACCTCCTTTGTTAATATTAGTAGATTCTATTACAGGAAGATTGTCTTGGTCAAGCCTTATTTTTACAAAACCATACCTTATAATGAGACAACATAAAAAATGCATGAAAAAGTATTGGGATCAACTACAAAGTCAAAGAAGGACATAGAAGTATCAAGATCTTGAAAAGAAGTTTACAACCGTCTTGATTCTTTCGGTTATTTTTTCTGTAGCTTATTGATGAGAATCTTCTAATCTTTTTAACTTGGCAAGTATGACCATCTTTTCTGGTGGGATGTTTTCTTGTAAAGCTACTTTCTGCTGCTACTATGCACTATGCATTCAAAATCATAATTCTTATCATTATAATTGAGTTCTTTAGCTTCCAGTCAATTAAAACCCGCATGGCCATAGAGAATCAGATCACACTGTGACTGACCTGCTTTTTGTTTATCCAAATCTGACATCAAAATAAATAACTTGGGGCCAGGCACGGTGGCTCATGCCTGTGATCCCAGCACTTTGGGAGGCTGAGGCGGGCGGATTGCCTGAGGCCAGGAGTTCGAGACCAGCCTGGTCAACATGGTGAAACCCTGTCTCTACTAAAAATACAAAAATTAGCCGGGCATGGTGGCAGGCGCCTGTAATCCCAGCTACTCGGGAGGCTGAGGCAGGAGAATTGCTTGACTGTGGGAGGCGGAGGTTGCAGCGAGCCGAGATCATGCCACTGCACCCCAGCCTGAGCAACTAAGCGAGACTCCATCTCAAAAAATTATAATCATAATAAAAATAAATAAATAAATAAATAAATAAATAAATAAATAAATAACTTGGTATCTAGGGCTGTGTGTTTTCTTTTGACTATGCCATTAAACAGAATACTATTGGCTTCAGGGACCTCTGTTAGTCTGTCAGTGTTGTGCCTGTTTCTATTCCTAATTTTATTGGACAGTGTAGATGAACACTGGATGGAATTGGGTCTGCCTGTGTCTCCTTTCATTACTCTCCTTCTTTCCTTGGACCTTGGCTGGTCCTTGACATCATTCTTAGCTCTATCTGCTTTGCTTCCTCAATCCTCAGGCTGTCCCCACCCCCTGGTGTTCCAGTGTGGCAGCAGATTTGAGATATGAGTGAGAGTCACTCCAAGGCATTGTTCCAGCCCTATCCTGGCCTAAGCTTGTGACTGGTCCCAAATTCCAGCCCTAGCTTAGCTCCTACCTGCAGGCTTTATTTGTCCCACTCTGTCAAAATTTCATAAGTCACTTGATACCCGATGCTCCTTGTCAGCTACATTCTAGCAGTCAACCAGTAAACATATAGCAGATGGATACTTAAAATGTAGCATCATAATCTCTACAATCCTTCATGAATTCTCCCAGATAATTAACTTCCTGGGATATTGAGCACGGCATATCATTTCTTATTTAACACACTTGAATATTGAAAACACAGGACAAATAATCTTGCTGCAAAATTGTGTTGATTTAATTAACAGAAAAAACTATAACACATGTACCAGACACTGAGTTACTGCCTATGAACACAGCATTTGAATATCTGAGTATCCTCTGTTGTGAAATCCATTCGCTTCACTCACAGTCTTTGCCATTTAAATCCTTTTTCAGAGCAGACTGCGAAACCATGAGATGCACTTGCTTCTGTATTCAGGTTTCCTCTATGTTCCTTACATTAGGAACAATATACGGTCTTTTAAGTTCCTACAGTGACCATTTAACTTGGTTGCATTAAGCTGTGATGGCTTTGCTTTGTGATTTCTGGAAAGCCATAATACCATTTGGCTGGCTAGCCTGGACTCTACCTGAGGCATGTGCCACAAGAAATCATCTTCAAAGTTGCCAGGGTGAAGGACTCTTGATTCTTTTTCACTGTGGCTGTCATCTTGCTTTTATCTTCAAAGAATCCTCCAGGAGCTTCTACTCAATTAGCTTTTCTTTGTCCTTCTATAGCATGCCCTTTTTTGTCAATCAGTACCAACATAATACATAACATTCAGTTTCTGATAATAAAATTGTTTCTGGCTCAGATGCTTCATAATGGTCACTATTACACTTAAGTTTTCTGCCCCTCAAGTAGGTCTGAGAACCCCTTTGTTGAAGCCATATCCTCTCCTGAGACATTGTGGCCAAAGGATTTAAATTCTATTGATGAAATGTTAACATTGGCTAGCAGGAGAAAGAATTTGGAATGAATGGTATGAGTCTTTTTCAAGCTCCTAAAATTCTACCATCTAGTTGTTTCCTTATTTGCTCCTTGCTCATTTATTCATTTAACAAATATTTATTTAGACTTACTGTTGGACAAGTTCTGTTTGAGGAACTGGAAATGTAGCAGCCTAGAAAAGGATTCAGAGCATTAAGCGCAACCTAGTACTGCTACAGTGGGTGTGTGTGTGTGTGTGTGTGTGTGTGTGTATGAGAGAGAGAGCGAGACAGAGGGAATGAGAGAGAGAGAGAAAGAGAGAGAGCGCTTGTTCTGCTGACATTATAGCAAAATTCCCCAAATTTTTTTGAAGATGAAATTAATAGTTTTCACAGAACACCAGTTAACATCCTGGAAGTGTAGTCTGGGAAAACACCCAGTCAGTCACCAATGTTGGTTCTTTCTAAAGTCGTCAGTATCTATCCCTTTTTACTCCTACTGCTAATAACCTAGTCCTAGTCCCAACACTTCCTGGCTCATACCCAGGTCATTGCAGTAACTTTCCCACAGGTCTTCCAGCCTCAGTCTCTCCCACTGTGATCTATCATTCATACTGTACTAATACTGGCAGCCTTTTGTTCAGCAATCTGCTTTAGTTGGAACCAAGGCTTGGAGAGATTAGCTGCCACTAACAAGGTCACCTAAGTAATAAGTGGCAGTGATGAGAAATCTATTATACTGCTGTTTTTCAAACTGTGATCTGTAGGACCCTGAAGTCCAAGCACATTCTCAAGTACTCTGAGGATTTCTAAATTTTGTGTTTTCATTTAAATCGTAGTCCATTAATGGAGAGAACATTCTAAACCACCTAAATGGCCTCTCATTGTTGAGAATTGGGATGCAGTTTCTGTGTGTGTGTTTGTGCTTTTTGTAATGTTGAGACCAAGTAATGTGATATTAGTTGGGATGGGCTTTTGAGAAAAAAGTAGATTGAGGATTTTTTCAGCAGTGATTTCAAGAATCTTGAACTAGAAGAAGACTTTTTCATCTTTTCTAGCTCTAAGGAAATGTTTTCGTTATAATTGGTGGGCTTACTCTATTTCCTTGGGATAGGATGGGCATAGATGGGTGACAAAAGTCTTGGGAACAGGTAAAGGAGAATTATTTTACTGTATCAGGTAAGCAAGAAATAGGATATAATCCAACTGCCAATTGCAGTCAACCAACAAGCAGCACACTGGAGAAATTAGAAGTAACAGCGTGAAGCCAAGTCACTTTTCATAGCTAAGTTTGTGAGGGCTAAAGGTGCAGGATTATTGGGCTACATTTCTATCTAGATTCTCCAGCAACTGCAGATGCTTTGCTGAACGTTGGAAAGTGTTGCCACGTGGGGATCCAATTAGTGCCTATGCTTGGGAATAAAACGGCTATTAAAGATCCTGAGAGTTTTTAGGGGCAAGTTATAGGTGAGAACAGGAAGATAGAATGCAGGTCAGATAAACTCTTTTCTTTAGAAATCTGCCACTGGTGGATCTCTCTGCAGCAGGGAGAAGTGAAGATTTCTCTAACCCTTTAGTCTTTCAGTGCCATGCAGTGATTTTCAAATGTGGGCCAGGAGATGGGTTATATCAGAATTGTTTACAGTGCCGGTTAAAAATACAGTTTTCTGGAGCTGAATCAGAATCTCAGAATTTCCGGGAATGAGACTGGTCAGTTGTAGTGTTCCACAACATTCTTAAGCATGTAAAAAATTGAGATCTACTGGTCTAGGGACTTTTTCTGCAAGGTAGAGTGCAAATTGCTGGAAGGACTCTAAATTTTTTTTTTTTTTTTTGAGATGCAGTCTCGCTCTTGTCACCCAGGCTGGGGTGCAGTGGCGGGATCTTGGCTCACTGCAACCCCCGTCTCCCGGGATCAAGCAATTCTTCGGCCTCTGGCTTCCAAGTAGTTGGGATTACAGGCACCTGCCACTGTGCCCGGCCATTTTTTGTATTTTTAGTAGAGATGTGGTTTCGCCATGTTAGCCAGGCTGGTCTCGAACTCCGGAGCTCAGGCAATCTGCCCACTTTGGCCTCCCAAAGTACTGGGATTACAGGCATGAGCCACTGACCCCGGCCAAATTTTTTTTTTTGTTTTAAACCCAGCCAAACTCTGCTAGAAAAGGTGATTGCCTCCTAGTGCGATAGGGTGTGCATGTTTTAAAATTTACTACTGCATTGCATGGGCTAAAGTGTTGTTTTACTCAACTGATCCTTCTTGGAAGTATAAATCTCCCTAGGAGAGATAATGTACTAAGTCCCTTCAAGTTAGAGTGAATGAGTGTCTTATGGATAGCAGAAGGGAGTCAGGGCTCCTTGGTGGAGTCAGGGTTGAAGATATTGGAAGACTGCTCAAATTAAGAAAAAGATATGAAAAGGAAGGTTGGGGAAGTGAATTTCAAACTTCTTGGACTTGCCATTTGCTCCTACCTCTAAGGCCCTTTGCTTATTATCCCCATCATCTTTTCTAAACCTGACCCTTATATGCCTGAAGTTAGGGAAACTTTTTTCTTCACCAGCCTTTTTTAGATGTGTTTGGAATTTTGCCTAAACATGGTCTGCCAAGCGTGGCCTATGTTATTTTTAGTATCTCCTTTGCATATGTGCCCTAAGGAAGTGGGATCCTCCGTTCGTTCTTTCTTCTGAGGAATATTTGATTGGCAACCTTAAAATTTTTCTTTGTGTTTAAATTATAAACTCACTGCAAGCACAAGGCACCTTTCAGAGTCTTTTAAACTACATGTCAATATGTGTTCTTGTAGAGCTATAATTACCTATTATTTCATAGCTTTCTGAATTAAATATTCATTAAACAAAAGCTGAAAATGGTATTAAATCTATATAAGATTTTTAATGTGCAAAAATTACTTATCAGTATATTAATATACCTTCATCAGGGTTCACTTAGGTAGCAAGGAAGGACCCTATATTTTTTAATAATGCTTTGTTTTTTAAAGTCATTCACATTT
Source organism: Homo sapiens (assembly GCF_000001405.40). NCBI lineage: Eukaryota > Metazoa > Chordata > Mammalia > Primates > Hominidae > Homo > Homo sapiens. The sequence goes on along the minus strand of NC_000001.11, from coordinate 182,729,537 downwards.
ACAGAACAACGCACATTTTCATAGAATTCTGACTTATTATGTGACTAAGGGAGTTACTAAATGTAAATGAGAAATGATTTCACTGTACTGTCTTTGGAGAAAGGATGATTTTTAAATAAAAATGGAAGTTTCCCACTTTTGCCAATAATCAGTGTTAACATCACTAGTGAAAGAGATATCTATATTGGATAAATATGGGCAGAAGAGCTGCCCTCTGATTCTAGGAATGTGGAAGACGCCCATTAGAATTCACCAGTCCAGACCATCCCCACTCATCCCGAGGTGTTCTGGGGTGAAGAGAGTTGAAGTTACTCACAAGCCAGCATTTTTACCATCCATTCAGACATACATATCCTAAGAAAAGAATATCTCTAATACAATCAACCATTTCATTAAAATTTTTTAATCCAGCTAATTCATGAAACTTGAATTTTAAAAAGGATTATGCAGAAAGCCTCGTAAAAGAAGCAGGTTGTCCTGCCTTACCCCATTTCCACTTGCCAGAGGCAACCATCTTTTTTATTTTATTGTATTGTTTACATGTACAGGATGGGGTACATGTACAGGATGTGCAGGTTTGTGACACAGGTAAATGTGTGTCATGGTGGTTTGCTGCACCTGTCAACCCATTACCTAGGTATTAAGCCCAGCATGCATTAGCAGAGACAACCATCTTTAAGTGATAATGTTTTTAGGGTTTTGATAGTTACCTTTCTATTTCTAAATAGTAAACTTGTCCTTCTAATTTTTGACTGATTACTTTAGGTTATTATCTGTTGATTCTCTCCTATCAAATATGAGTATTGCACTAATCTTGTCCACTTCCCCTTCTAATTCTTAATGCAATTATTGTTAGTTCTTCTGTTGATTTTCTTTGTTGAATCTTTAAAGAATACTATTAAATTTTCTCTTTTTTTGGGTCCATCAAATTTGGACCTTGCCTCTTAATCCCATCATTTAGGTGAGGATTTTAGCACACTTACTCTTCCTCTACTTTTTCTTCCTCCTTTTCAGCTCCATGAAGTTTCTGCTCTTGGATTTCATTGACATTATCCATATTGCTCAATGTTTATCATTATGCTAAACTTCTGTTTACTTGTGCTAGCTAGAGTGGGTCTTTAGAATCGAAAGGTTCATATTGAAATGATTTGAATCATATTTATATAATTAAATATCTTGTCTTCTTATGTACTCTGACGCTATCAGGAGCATTTTTTGGTATCTTTATTTTTTAGACCACATCCTTCATGGTTGCATATTGTTCTATTTTCTTAGGAATGCACTGAAGCTTGGCTTTGCTTTTATGTTTAGCCAGAATATGCTATTCAGCTTTGGTTCAGGTTTAGTCTTTGGAAGCCCAGATAGATTAATGCCTGCTTCAATGTCATTTCTGACATTTTGAATGTTGGTGTGAGCAGTGATTTTGTAATTATTTAGTTTACCACCACCAAATATCAGTGTAACAATTTCTGTAAAATGAACATATTGTGCTATTTGGATTTGTTGTAGATATTGGAGTATCAAAATATTAGGCTATTCAAATATAGGTAAGTTTTATTCTAGATGTAACTTGGAATTAAAAAATCCCTTTGTGTGTTTTATTCAGTTAAATGTGTCAGTCAAATGAAGTGTAAATGTACATTTGTTATTGAAGAGTAAAATCCTGCAATAATTAACATGATTGTGAAACTATTCATTTTATATATAAAATTACTATGAACTTTTGAATAATAAATAGGGAAAGAATGCAGATTAATATGCATAATGAGAGAACACACTGGGTAGATTACTTTAGAAAAAACTCTATACTTTAGAGCCTAAAATATTTATAACATTAAATTAATTATAATAAAAAGTAGAAAAATACAGAATAGATGACATAATTCTAATCTTTATAGAATTATTTGGTGTTCGAAAATGCACAATATTAAGCAAAGTAACCTTTCGGAACGGCTTTTAGTTATCTAATTCCATTTAGGTTATGAGTTGTTCAAGAAAAGGTTCTATTTTTCCAAATTCTTCACATTTTATGCAAATGATTAAAGAGCAGAATGTCAATTTTACTCCCTTGAAATGTCACGAAGAGAAAAACTCCAAATCATAAAAAACAAAATTCATCATAAATTGTCTTCATTCCAGACATATTATTAGCCAATACTTAAATTATACTTATTATGAGCCAGGCACTGTTCTACATGTTCTTTCTAGATTAACTCATTTAATTCTCCCAACAGTCCCATGAGGTCTGGCTATTATTAGCTCATTCTACAGATGAAGAGCTAAGGTACAGAGAGGTTAAGTTATTTGTCCAAGGTCACATGGCTAGTAAGTGGTAGTGCAGGATTTGAAGCCAGGTGGTCTGACTTGAGTCCATGATCTTAACCATGGTATGATTTCTTATATGAGATATACCTAGAAAATGCTTAGGTGGAGTTCCTGACTTGTGGGAAGCAACCACTAAAAGTTCTTATCATCAGTTACTGGAATGGGATGGGGAATGTTGGAATGAGAGAGGGAGGAGCTGAAAAGTTATTCATCTCTCACTGTTCCAACCTGTGGCGGGTGTACATGGCCCCAGAAGGTGAAGAAGCCTGCTGCAGCCAGGAAGGTCCATGATAAAAAAAAGTCTATATCAAACACCTCATGCCTGTAATGGCTACAGGGCCCTTTGAGACAAGGGACCTGCTGCAATGCACAGGCTGTTGTGGCTAGCTTCCATCATGGGTTTTCCTTCTCACTTTGTAAGGCTATTCATGAAGATGGCTGCAACATTCTAGTTTCATTAAGTAGTGCATTACTTTCTAGTTTCCTTGGGAGAACTGTGGTGGCACAGAAATTACAGTAGAGTGGCATCTTTTTTTTTTTTTGAGACAGAGTCTCGCTTTTGTTACCCAGGCTGGAGTGCAATGGTGTGATCTTGGCTCACCACAACCTCTGCCTCTCGGGTTCAAGCGATTCTCCTGCCTCTGACTTCTGAGCAGCTGGGATTATAGGCATGCACCACCATGCTCGGCTAATTTTGTATTTTCAGTAAAGATAGAGTTTCTTCATGTTGGTCAGGCTGGTCTCCAACTCCCGACATCAGATGATTTGCCTACCTCGGCCTCCCAAAGTACTGGGATTACAGGCGTGAGCCACCGCACCTGGCCGTGGCATGGCATCTTATCAGAGCATGGAGATTGAGACTGGGGGGCACTGCATAGACCTATCTCTACTCCTAGAGGAAAGAGGGTTAACCAGGGCCCCTTAGAGGATACTTGAAAACATTCTACAGAGAAAAGCTTAGTAAATATCAAAGCAGTTTTCTTTAAAACATGGAAGTTTTGGAAACCTGAAGTTTTTTTTTTTTTTTTGAGATTAGCATCACATAGGCACAAATGAAATTCTTTCCCAAAAGCAATCAGTGCCAGTTTACTGCAATTAACTAAGAACTGCAAACTGCAAGCCGCTGAGAAGCCACTGAGTAGAAGTACTGGGCCCAGATGTTAAAGATCCAGAGGCAATTTAAGCAGTGCTAATAGCAGTTGTGGAAGCTGAGACAGCTGCTTTACTTGTGCCTAAGTGTTCATCATTTATTAACTATCTTCTCTATACTGCACCCTTTAAAATGTGTGCAAATGTTACTCATAAATTGTTTAACATTAACATTTTGTGACTTTAATGGGGTGATGCTTTGTTTATTTAGGCCCAATTAATATATCTTTCGTTTGCCTGTAACTAGGGGAAGCCTGGCTGATTGAATCACACGCCGTGACGTCAGACACTGCTGTGTGGCTGAGCCCACCGAATTCCAGACAGAATCTAGCAGGAAACACATCACTTCTTGAATACCAAAAATACCAGCCTTACAAACTAAGACATGAAATGGTGGCTTGTAGCACCAAGTTTCATTTGTAAGTCCTTGTCCCCACTCCTAGGATTCAGGGACTACCCAGCACCTCTTATGGCTCCTCATAGGAAGTGACTCTTGGATTTCTGGCCCATCACTCATCCTCATTCCTGTCCCCATGTCCCCATCTCGTGTGTTCTTTCTCAGGATCCTGCTGGATGGCCAGCTGGCTTTGCTAATTTTGAAAGTGTGGGAAAGGTTCAGATGCTCTTGTTGGTCTAAGAAGTGTATGCAGAAACATTAAGACACATCCAGTCTGAGTCCACAGGAAGTTGGCAGCAGTCCCGCAGGGAGTATTGTGAGCATCTGTTATATTTAGGGGTCTGTTTTAACAAGTAACTTCATGGCAACTTCTATAATATTAAAATTATCAGGGTTGGGGGGCATTGTTTTGGACTAAACTTGTGTACTAGGCTCTAACAGATCAGAAAAACCAAAATGGAGTCCCTCTTGCTACATGGCATGTGGTAATCAAACTGAAACTTTAAGGAAGCCAGTAGATCCCAAAACAGACCATTTTCTTTCTCCTCAAAACAGGAGATTCCAGCATAATAAGGAAACCCCCTCAGCTTTAACCTTTACAAAAAGGTAACCTGAAGTAACCTGATGTTAACCCATCAGCCTTTCCCTCTATTTTTCATTTTCCTTATTCCCACCTTATAAAACTCACTGTTAGGCTATTTTCCAGTGGGATTTGAGACCAGATATGTCCACTTACAACAGTGACAGAATGATATCAATGCCTAAAGCTTTGGTCAACCTCTCAAAATTGTTAAATTAAGTTTAGCCTAGGCCGGGCGCGGTGGCTCATGCCTGTAATCCCAGCACTTTGGGAGGCCGAGGCGGGTTGATCACCTGAGGTCAGGAGTTCGAGACCAGTCTGACCAACATGGTGAAACCCCGTCTCTTCTAAAAATACAAAAATTAGCCAGGTGTGGTGGCAGGCGCCTGTAATCCCAGCTACTCGGAAGGCTGAGGCAGGAGAATCTCTTGAACCCAGGAGGCAGAGGTTGCAGTGGGCCGAGATGGCACCACTGCACTCCAGCCTGGGTGACAGAGCAATACTCCGTCTCAAAAAATATAAAATAAAATAAACAAAAAATAAAAAATTTAGTCTAAAGCCTCCTCCTTACATATTTTTAAGTTTGACCTAAAAGCTTTTCTGTGCATAGTGAACTGCAACCTAACTGGATGTGTAAACAGGCTGTAACCTACTCGTATAACAAGTAGCTGAGTCAGCCAATCACAGATGGTCAATTGTCCCACCCATGTTCAAATAAGGCAAAGGCCCAGTTGTTTCTATACCTCACTGTGTCTTCTTTTTTCTGTCCTTTTTCCTTTTTCTGTCCTTGAATGTTATCTGTATTAGTCAGGGTTCTCTAGAGGGACAGAAATAATAGGATATATATATATATATATATATATATATATATATATATATATATATCCAGTCTAGCCTTTTCAGGTTTTTCTGCCTGCTTTCTATTTATATTCTGGCCACACTGGCAGCTGATTCTATGGTGCCCACCCAGATTGAGGGTGGGTCTGCTTTTCCCAGCCCACTGACTCAAACGTTAATCTCCTTTGCCGACACCCTCACAGACACACCCAAGATCAATATTTTGCATACTTCAATCCAATCAAGTTGACACTCAGTATTAACTATCACATTATCCAACCACGTGGCAGTCTTGGAGCTGCTCTGAACCTATTCTCGTTTTGGGGGCTGCCCGATTTTCAAATTACTCCTTGCTCAATTAAACTCTGTTAACTTATTTAAAGTTTTTCTTTTAACAATACTTTTAAAATTAGAGTCATCACTGATTCTAAGTAAAATACAGTTTAATCTGGAATTAAGGCATACAAAGGAACAATTTATATACACTTAAAAAATTGCTGCCATGATGTATTGAGCTGCATTATTTTTGCAGTAGGCAGCCTCCAAGATGACCCCCAAGGACCTGGGCTTCCTGGTTTTAGACCCTTGCATAGTCTCCTCCTATGTTGTTCTTGAGTTGGTCTGTGGGACCAACAGCAGCATACAGCACAAGTAACACATCATTTTCCAGATTAGATTTAATAAGATTGCAATTTCTGTCTTAAGCACTCTCTTCCATTTTTGCTAGTTTGTTCTCTCTCTCTTTCTGTTTCTCTCTCTTAAATCACTGCTCTGGGAGAAGCCAGCTTCTGTGTCATAGAGAAACTTCCCAGCCTGTGGAGCCAGGCCCATGTAGTAAGGAGCTGAGGCCTCACGCCAACAGCCAGAGAGGATCCCAGCCAGCCAGCAACTTCATGTGTGAGCTTGGAAGCCGATTCTCCAGCCCTAGTTGAGCCTTGAGATGACTGCAGCCCTCACTGATGGCTGGACTGTAATTTTGGGAGACTCTGAGCCAGAACCATCCTGCTAAGCCATTCCTGGATTCCTCAGAAATTGTGATATGAAATAACACTTTTTTATTTTAAGATGCCAAGTTTGGGGGTATATAATTGGTTGAATAATGTCCCCCCCAACCCAGAACATCAAAATGTGACCTTATTTGGAAACAGATTTTTTGAAGATGTAATTAGTTAAGATGAGGCCATATTGGAGTAGGCTGAGTTCTTAATCCAGTGACTGGCATCTTTATTTATTTATTTATTTATTTTTATTTTTATTTATTTATTTATTTTTGAGACCGAGTCTCACTCTGTCACCCAGGCTGGAGTGCAGTGGCGCGATCTGGGCTCACTGCAAGCTCCGCCTCCTGGGTTCACATCATTCTCCTGCCTCAGCCTCCCAAGTAGCTGGGACTACAGGCGCCCGCAACCAAGCCCGGCTAATTTTTTTCTATTTTTTAGTAGAGACGGGGTTTCACCGTGTTAGCCAGGGTGGTCTCAATCTCCTGACCTCGTGATCCACCCGCCTCAGACTCCCAAAGTGCTGGGATTACAGGTGTGAGCCACCACGCCCGGCCTGACTGGCATCTTTATAAACAGAGAGGACACATAGAGATGCAGGCAAGAAGGCCACAGGATGACAGAGGTGGAGATGGGAGGGATGCAGCTGCAAGCCAAGTAACCCCGAGGACTGCTGGGAGCCACCAGACGCATAGAAAGAGCCAAGAGGTGCATAGAAAGAGCCACCAGGCACAGGGAAAGAGCCAAGGAGAGATTTTTCTCCAGAGTCCTCAGGAGGGAGCATGGCAGGCTGACACCTTGGTTGCAGGCTTCTGGTCTCCAGAATTGAGAGATAATAATTTTCTGTTATTCTGAGTCACCCAGTTTTTTTTTTTTTTTTTTTTTTTTGGTAATTTGCTATGGCAGCCCCAAGAAACTCATGCAGTGCAATCTGTGAGGCAGCAATGGATAACAAATACAATTAGGTGACCAAATTACTCTTTTACAACATTCATTGACTTCTCAATGACTACATATGTGGAAAAAAAAAAAAACACTTGTTTCTTCAGGACACTTATTATTTTTCCTTTTTTTTGGCAACTTTGCAAAATTTCCTCTGGAACTACCTTCTTCCTCAGGACAAGAGGAATCAGATATGCTAAGATATAATACGTCCCAAGTTATGTAAAGCACAGAGCTTCATACACAGAACCTGTGGTGCTACAGCTCTATGTCCTAAAACACAGCAATTCTGATACGTTTGATTTTGCCGATCTCCATCATAGAAGGGGAAGGAAGTACTGTGCTACTTTTATAATTGTGTGCACTGTGATAGGGAGTGTACATTTTGACTAGACATTAATGATACCAAATTATCTGCTAGGAATTGTATATACATGTGATTGGAAGAATTTTCCATAGACTAGCTTCTGACTCTGTAGGCTTCAAACTTCATTTCTCCTCTGCTACACACATGCTTCCAGTGCTGCTCATTTTCATGTCATGATATGAACTCTGACCTTTCATCTTTGTGTTGTAAAGCTGAACGAGTCAGCACAGTGGGTGACAGCAGTGTTCCTGGAAGCCATCCCTACACCAGGATGGCAGAAATGACTTAATATACATAAAAGTGACCAATAGATACATAGAAAAGCTCAAAGTCAATATCCCTGGCTCCACTTACCCTTAGCAGATCCCTGAGATGCCCTTTCCCTGGGAAAGCAGCACTCTCTTTTCTTAGGCATTATTGGCTCTAGGATGATGGAAGCACACTGCTGCCAGTGGCCATTTCTGTCACGCTGTGAAGAAATTTTGCCGAGAACAAAGCATACCCAAGAAAAGCAGAATTAAGATAAATATTTTGAGAGAGTGAGATTAATTTCTAATGACATCCCTAGATCTTTGTGACTGACCAAGTTTAGTTTTCCAGTGACATGAGCCAATACATTTCCCCTCTCCTGTTTTTGCTTAATTCAACTTGAATGGTCTGTCTGTTCTGCGTTTTTCACTGTGGCATCCCAATTTCTAGAACCTGGGACATGATAGGCACTAAATAAATATTTATCGAGTAAATGAATAAATTGGGGGTTCTGTCATGTTAAAGTGAAGAAGATCTTTATCAGACTAAAGAAGACTAAATCAGGGAGATTAAAATCATATATATATGTATATATATACACACATATATATGTGTATATATGTATATATACACACATATATATGTATGTATATGTATATATACACACATATATATGTGTATATATGTATATATACACACATATATATGTGTATATATGTATATATACACACATATGTATGTATATATGTATATATATGTATATATGTATATATGTATATACACACACATATGTATATATATGTGTATATATATACATATATGTGTATATATGTATATATATGTATACACACAGATATATATGTATAATTATACACATACATGCACGCAATCACACACACACATATAATTATAATCAAGAATTGAAGTGCTGCAGACCAAGTGCTGGAGGAAGGATATTGATGAGCACACATGGGTAAATAGAGAGGGCAGGCATGCTGAGCACATTAGAAGCAAAGCCCTAGAGGAAGGAATGTACTGGGCATGCTCAGAACATGGGCCTGCAGTGAACAGTGGTAGTGCATTTCTGAAGGAGGTTAATGGGACGATGCTGAGAAGGCAGAGTTGGCACATCTCTGAGAGCTTTGAATGACAAATTGAAGAACTTGGAATTTATTTGGTAGCCAGTGGGGAATGAATGGATGATTTTGAGCAGAGAAATGAGATATTATCCCTTCCATAGATGGTTTCATTTTAACAGAAAATCCAAAGCTTCTACTTAAAAGGCTATACTCTTACATAGCAGGCATTTGGGGTCATAAAGCAGGGTTGGTGAAGATTTTTGCGAGATAACTTTCAAATGACACCATGTAGTCCACTGCTATCTTATGACTAGTCATTTTCTTATGAAAATCTGCAGTTAAATCCAATCATTTCTCAAAAACCTATTTGCAACTTTTGCTACTCAAAAATAGAACTGTAAGCTCTGAGGGAGGTAGAGGAAAGAAAAACAAAACAAAACAAACAAACAAACAAGAGAAGACTTTTTAAAATCTTCAGGTCAATTTTATCTTTTGGAAAAATTCAAAATAATGAATAAAATATTTAAGATAAGTTTTCAGCAATTACAAAGTGATCAGATGCTTTAGAAGAGAATCATCTAAACATATTTCTGAAGAAGCAGAAATTATGTGGATAGCTCAGAAACAAAGGTCAATTAGGCAAACTGGCTGGAGGTTAGTGTAAGTAAAACTGATTAGACTAGAAGAAATAGGGTATGGGCAAATTAGAGAGATTGGAGGAAAAAAATGATAATTTCATAAGGAATCCAAGCTACAGTGTGTAACATATTTTACCCTTAACTAACAAAAGTGACTATAAATGGTATAAACATACTGCATTTATTTTGGTTGCTCTGCAACAGTGTTTTTTTTTTTCCTTTCTCCCCAGTCTATGTAAATGAAAAATAGTCGGGTGTGGTGGCTCATGCCTATAATCATAGCACTTTGGGAGGCCAAGGCAGGAGGATCATTGAGCCCAGGAGTTTGAGAACAGCCTGGGCAATATAGTGAGACCTCATCTTTACGGGAAGGTAGGGGGAAGCAGGGTGCAGTGGTATGCGCCTGTAGTCGCACCTACTCAGGAGGCTGAGGTGGGAGGATTGCTTGAACCTGGGAAGTCAAGATTGCGCCACTGGGTGACAGAGAGAGACTCTGTCTTAAAAAAAAAAAAAAAGAAGAAAGAAAAAGAAAAATAGAGTTTACTTTTGATTTTGAAAATTTTCAAACAATTCATGTGTCTACTTTTTAGGCATCCTATTTTTCCTACATTTACATGAATTTTCTTCTTTTCTTGTGGTATCATTTGTAAAGGATACTTATACATTTTTGGAAAGAGTCTAACTTTTTTTCTCCTCTCACTTAAAACTGCTTTTCTGATTTTGATTTCTGTGATAAAGGAAGAATGAGCGTGAGCGTTAACACTCCCTTCCCAGGAGGAAGGCTACTCTGTGCTGCGCAACTCCTGGCCTTTGTGCATAGAGAAGGCATGGGACTAAGAAGGCCGAATAATGGGATACCTGGGACAGATGGGTAATGAGCTGTTGGGACAAGAAAGAAACCGGGGAAACATGGGAAGATTTCAGTCATTGTGGAGGTAGTTGGGTGGGTAAGCATGCTTTTCAAAAGCAATTTTTAGAAACTGTTATTTGGGAAAAAGGTGTCACATCAACCTCTGAATCCCTTCGACATTTCCATTAAAATGTCCCATTTCCATCCGACGCTATTACAGTAAGATTTGTGAATGTACATATGTTTGTCTAACTTGTCAATTTGTTGAGATTGGATTCAAGGTGGGAGGGGAGAGGCTCTTAAGATGACCCAGTTTTATTTATTTATTTATTTTTTTGGTAAAGCACGCCATATCACAGCAATTAAAACTATAAAGAGAAGAGGGTTAAGACAACGGCCAGAAAACAGTGTTCTGTTCTCTAGCCCCTTTTCCATTTTTCTCATATTGTTCTAGGGCTCTAGATTCCATGTTGCTTAATGTGTGCTCATTAACCTGTCCTCTCAGCTGTTATGTGGAGTCTGCCAATTTTCTCTATTCTAGTCAGCTTAGATGATGTCTCTGAGTTCACTGCAGTATCATGGCTCCCACCATGCCAGAGATGTCCACTTGAGGCTCCACTGCTGGCATCTGCCTGGCTGCTTCAGGAAGTGCGATGCCAGGTGGAGGTCTTGCTGCCACTGCCTTGTGGAGTGTTTCTAATGCCTCTGAAAATACCATGGTGCCGTCCAAATTTGACAACATCTTTGGGATTTCCCCTTCCAGTTGCAGATGTTGGTTGTCTACTGCTCCAACTGCTGAATCAATTCTGTTTCTTTTTGGGTTCTGCTTTAGTTCTGTCTCTCTAGGACTCAGATGTAAGTCTGTGGTTGCAGGACCTGCTGGGACACAGAGCCTGGCTTGCCTCAAAATATTCCTTCACGCTGGCTTGTCTGGGATCTTTCCTAGATATTCCAACTCTCTCTTACCTTTGGATATGCTCTGTCCCAGGACAGAGGTGCTTTGGCCCCCACGATGTGAGGTCATCACACCCTTGGTCATGCTTAAACTTGTCTACATCTCAGCACAGACTTAGGTCCTCAAGGTAAGGTTCCAGCTACGTGGACAACAGTTTTCATAGTCCTTTCATTTGTATTCTCTCCTTTGATGAAATATTAATGAGTATACCATTAGGATAATTGGGTTACTGTCTTATACTCAGTAAAATTTCAGCTTGGAAAAAGAGATGAACTTGTCTCTGCTATTTAAATATCCATTTATTTATTTCTTCATTCATTCAACATATTTAATTAGTAACTACTGTAAGCTAAAGATGGTTCTAGGGATTGAGGACATACCAGTGACCAGGACAGACAAAATTCCTCTCTTTTTAGAGTTTACTTCTTATGGGGGAGGCAGATCATTAGCAAGTAAACTGACATTGTAATTTTAGAAGGTGTTAGTTTCCCTGAAGAAAACACAATAGGGGAGGGAACCAAGGGTGACAGTGGGCACAGGATGGGGGCACTCTTTCAGATAGGGACACCCACTAGGGCAGGCCTTGCTGAGACTCTGAAACACCAGAATTTTAGTTCTTTTAATTGCAGGTAAGTCCTTTCCAGGGTTTCACTGATGAAATGAGCTGAAATGATGACATAATGAAACCATCTGTGTGCTAAGGTTAGCTGTGTCATCTTATCTCAACAATTTCAGGTGAAAATCTTTGGCATGTAAAAGGAAGGAGATACTCTGTTAGTTTCAGGAAGAAAAATGAGTCTGACTCTTTTCCATAGGAAAGTAATTGATGGTTCCAGGAGCCTCTTCTTTCCCTCTTGCTCCTCCGGCCTCAGCCTTAGTTTTCTCCTTCTGTTGAGGTTGAAGATGAGGATGGTTTTCACTTTCTTATAACAGGAAGTAGTGTGGCTTTCATTTAACTGCATACAATTATAATGCAGCAGGTCATTTGCATAAAAATGTACCAGGCATTTTCTCAGAGCTTGTTTAGACTTCCTAAGTATTCTGTAAAGCTCTAGTTTTACAGATGAATGTCCAAGGTCACAGAGCTGGTCATTAATAGTAATGAGAGCCACTCATATTGACTGGCTACTATGTGCCAGGGATAGGGTAAAGTATTTTACCACACACTTCCTCCAAATTTCCTGTGAGACAAGAATTAGTATGTTCGTTATACCTTGGGGGAAGATGAGATTGGACAGATGAAAAGACTTAGCCAAGTCACACAGCAGGAAGCCTGATTTTCTGCCTGATCCCAAAGTGCACTCACTTTTCACTAAATTGTGATCATTCTCAAGGTGAATCTAGGTGGTGGCATTTGTATTTGACCTTGGATGATGATCCGAGGCACAGAAAAGTGGCAGGGCCGGAATTCAAACTCAGGTCCCCAAATTGCATCATAGCTAAGAGTTTGGGCTGTGAAAGTTACACAGATCATGGTTTAAACTCAGGCTACAGAACTTACTAGCAGTATGACTATGGGCAATTTCTGTAGCTTTCTGTTTCTCAATTTTCTGATCTGTAAATGGGCATAATAGATACCTACCTCAAAGAATCATTTGAGAGATTTAAAAATGTATACACTTGGCCTTCCATGTCTGGGGGTTCCCATATTTGCAGATTCAACCAATTGTGGATGAAAAATATTCAGAAAAAAAAAACAATAAAAAATAGCAATACAATAATGAAAATAATATAAATAAAAATACAGGCCAGGTGTGGTGGCTCACACCTGTAATCCTAGTACTTTGGGAGGCCAAGGTGGGCAGATTGGCTGAGCTCAGGAGTTCAAGACCAGCCTGGGCAACACAGTGAAACCCCTTCTTTACTAAAATACAAAAAATTAGCCAGGCATGGTGGCGTACACCTGTAGTCCCAGCTACTCAGGAGGCTGATGCAGGAGAATTGCTTGAACCCGGGAGGTGGAAGTTGCAATGAGCTATGATCAAGCCACTGTACTCCAGCCGGGGCGACAAAGTGAGACTCTGTCTCTAGGAAAAAAAAAAAAACCAAAAAACAGTGTAACTACTATTTTCATTCCATTTATATTGTATTAGGTATTATAAGCAATCTAGAGATGATTTGAAGTACAGGGGAGGATGTGTGTACGTTATATGCAAATACGATGCCATTTTATATGAGGGACTTGAATATCCATGGATTTTGGTACTATGGGAACCTATGCCCCTTGGATATGAAAGAACCTATCCTCCTTGGATATCAAGGGTGACTATATTGTGTTTTTAGAGCAATTTTTGGTACATACAAAGCTCTCAATACATTCCAGTATTATTATTCTGTTTCACTGTGGCAGACCCTAATATTACTAGCCACACTGCTATTCCTTGCCGAGAAAAGCCACAATTCTGTATAGCTCTCAGGCAACCAAGACACCTGGCAGGCTTGGCTCCCTCCCCATTGCTGGCAGATGGGTCATGATTGGTCTAAGTCAGATGTTCCAAAAATGTGGTCTCAAGACGAGCAGCATCAATATTATCTGGGAACTTATTCTAAATGCAAAATTTCAGGCCCCACTTGAATAAAAGACTCTGGGGATAGAGCCCCACAATCTGGGTGATGCTGGGTCACTTCTAGGTGATTCTGATATGGGCTAAAGTTAGGAAACTGCTAATCTAAAGCAATACTGATAATCTTATTCCCCTTTCCAATAACTGGGTGAAGCATAGACACAGGGCCCAATCATGGCCTATAGGACCTGAGAAGAAGCCAGATGGGGAGTGGGGAGCGTGCTCAGGTTTTTTGTGCCAATTTAAAGGGGTAAGTGAGAGTAACTGCCTGCTTTGCAGTATGCTATTTGTTGTGTATGTGACACCTGGACTACTTCCATCACTTTGAAACTGGGAGAAAGATGTTTTCTAGGAAAGACAGGGTATAAAGTTAGAAAATACCCAGGTCTTTGTTGATGCTGCTGAGCTGCTGAATAAGCCAAACTCCAGACTTCCTCTTATACGTTACAATAAATATTATTGATGGGTAAGCCACTTTCAGTGGGTTTTCTTCTTTGTAGCTGAAAGCAAACTCACTGATGTTCCCATACAACAGTTGTCTCTTATGTAAATCAGTGCTCTTTGGAATGTATTATAGAAAGATTATGGCGCATTGAAAATGTGGGCTTTAATCATACTAATTATTTATTTTCATTTTCTCTCTGTATTGATGGCGTAGGGGTAACGCATCCATTTCTTTCTTCCTTTGGACTCTGAATAAGCCAAGAAAATGCCAAACATTTGGATGAAGAGATGCTCAGTTTTTCATATGGGTCCAAATGATCTGGATGTTTGGCTTCTGAAAATGAAACATCTGGAGCACAAAGCAATGTTTTTACGTTTCAGTTATATTTTGGTGTTATATGGAAACTATTATCAAAACCAGGAAGGAAAGATTTATTTAAGAAAAAGGATCACTTGAGAGCATCACTGGCAAGCTGCCCTGCCCATATAGCAATTCATTCACTCATTCCATTTTTCTCATTCTGAATAACTGAATATCTACCATATGCAGGACATTGTGTTATGGGGATGTAATTATGATTTCACATATAAATATGACTTTATAGACTTAAAAACAGTCTTTTTCTTCCAGGACCATACGGTTTAATGATGAGCAATTGTTATAATAAAATAAGTTGACATGGTAGAGAGTGGTAAGGTGTTAGTGGGAGCTTGAAGAACGGTGTTTTCATTCATTTAGTTATTCAACATATATTCATCATGTGTTTAATGAACCAGATGCTACTTCAGGCTTTGGGTCCACAGTGATAAGCACGGCCAGCAATTGTCTCTACTCTTGTGGATCTTACAGCCTAATGGAAAGAAAGACATGAATGCATAAATACACAAATATATTTATAATGATAAATTCAGATAGTTTTATGAAAGAAAGAACAGTGTGCTGTCAAAGAGTAACTGGGGTGATGTCATTTACTATGCGGGTCAGGAAAAAACTGTCTGAGGATATGACATTTAAGCTGAAACCTGTAGGGTGAGTGGGAGTGAGTGAGATTAAGTTTGGGGGCATGAGGGGGAGGAAAGGTTAGAAAAGTCTTCTTATAGGAAGTGGCATTTGAGATGAGTCTCAAAAGTCAAATTGGCGTGGTAGAAAATGTCTATAAATATGCACACGAAGAGGATTGTGAGGAATATATCAAAATGCAAACAATTTTATCTTTGGTATCATGATAATGTGTACTTCTACTTTTCTTGTTTCTGTTTTATGTACTGTATTTTCTGTGTACTTCTTTTGCAATAAAAAATTACTTTAAAAAGTGACCATAAAAGAAAAGAGAGATAAATTGGTGTTTTTCAAACAGGCAATGATGGGGTCAGGGCTGGCGTGTATGCGTACCATGGGAGATGTAGTATTTCCAGGCACAGTAAATGGCTTTGGCAACAGCTTGAGCATTTAAACAATTGCTAGTTACTAACAGCATCTCACAACTATAGCATGGCAGTGGGGACAGGGGAGAGAGGTGAACCAGGAAAGTGGTCCAGGGGTCAGTTAAGGCCCTTGTGTCATCAGGAAGGACCTCAGGTTCATCCTGTGGTCAGTGGGGGTAAGGTGATTAGATTTGTATTTTAGAGGTATCCCCCGTGCCAGTGCAATCTATGGGACAACTGCAATCATTAAAGAGAGGCCGGGCGTGGTGGCTCACATCTGTAATCCCAGCATTTTGGGAGGCTGAGGCAGGCAGATCACTGGAGGTCAGGAGATCTAGAAGAGCCTGGCTAACATGGTGAAACCCCATCTCTACTAAAAATACAAAGATTAGCCAGGTGTGGTGGCATGCGCCTGTAATCCCAGCTACTTGGGAGGCTGAGGCAGGAGAATCACTTGAACCTGGGAGCTGGAGGTTGCAGTGAGCCGAGATCACACCACTGCACTCCAGCCTAGGTGACAGAGCAAGACTCTGTCTCAAAGAAAAAGAAAAAAGAAGATAAAATAAAGAGAGCAATTTTGTTAACAGCAGGGAAATATTTCTTTTTTAAAATTATATGTATCTTCGAGTGAGCCACCCAAGATTTATTCTTAGTTGGTCGCCATGGCTCAATTTGGGACGATGGCAACTTGGCCAATTCTTATCTTATACCACTTTGGCTGACTTGACCAATTAAAATATTAAATTCAAATGATTAATTTGACCGGTCTGATGCCAAACAACTGGGTAGGTGAAATACTTTAGTTTCAGCCATATATTTCAGGGTGCTACAGCCCCAGTCTCCCCTTTACCTGGTCGTCACCATGAGTCCTTTGAGGATCTTAAGAGGAAGGCAGGACTGTCCTTTTCCTACCTGAGAGATCAGAATGAGGTCATGTCTGTAGAATGATTGATTTCCTCAGACAAAAATACTCTTGAAATATAAACTGTCAATATTGTTTGTTCTGATACCAACTTTTTGTGCAGGTTTTAATTTTGTCTATTTATTTCAACCAAATCTGAGGTCTCCATGGCTACAACAGAAGAACAGAAGGAATAGAATACTTCTGTGTTAGAACATCCTAAAGGGTATTGTTTATAATAAAGTGTGGGTATTTTGAAGGATGCCCATATTTTTAAAAGGTGTAAATACTGTTCATATGGTGTTCCAAGCCAGAGACATTTTTATGTTCTGGCCGTGGGTGACATGTGAGCACATTGGAAGGATATATCAATAAAGGCTCTAGAAACAGACTAAAAAGATAGCTGGATTTTATGGTCAAATTCAGATGGAACAAGATGTGTTTATTAGCCTGTAGGGCAGGGTCTGGGCTCTGTATGACCTGAGTAATCAGGTCAAATGTGGCCATGGATTGACATCCAAGTAGCTGTATGAGTTTACATTCTGAATGCCTGAGAAGCTTTACTTCAGGAAAAACTCACATTTTCATGGGTACTTCATGGATGTGTAGCTAACCTGTTTGGCAGGATTGGCACATGATGATAAGTCCAGCATCCTTTTTCAAGAGGCAATGAGTGTGTTTGAGGCTTTAGAGTTAGATCTGAATTCCAGCTCTTCCCCCTACTATGTGTGACTTAGATTTCTTCACTTGTTAAATGGGAGTAACAAAGTTCACTTTGCAGGGTTATTGTAGGGGAGTAAATAAGTTACTTATAGGGTTCCTGACATTTAATAAGCTCTAAAAAATTGTTGCACCTACTGTTGTTATCATTCATACTCTGAAACAGGACAGAGCTATGCAAGCAACGGCTCAAGAATTTTGATTTCTAAATTCTGCAAATTAGAAGCTCTAGGATGGTGGAAAGCAAAGGAGGAAAACAGAGATTAATATGATGGGAAGATCAGGTTAGAGTTTCCTGCTGTTCAAGGTGGTGAGATCTCAGGCCCTGTGTAGCATCTGGAGATTTTTGGAACTTAGCCAGTATCTGGGGCCAAGATATTCCTGGCTGTTAATGCAGATGCCAAGGCCTTGAGCTCCTGGTAGACAAAGGTTAGGGTGATGCCAGGGTGCAGCCACATCACTTGGCTGAATTGTTCCACAGTTCAAGTCAGGGGTAATGCTGGCTGACCCCAGCCCACTGAGTATCTGTCTCAATATTTGTTGCTGGTATGTGTTCCCAGCCACTTATCAGTCCTCCTTTCCTCCCTCCTGGGTCTTGTCCTAGTCAGGTGCTCTGCTTCCAGTCAGGTATCCAGCCTGTGTCCTATTTTGCTTCCCAGCTTAAGGAGATCAAACGTTGCAGGTAAAGTATTTGCTGACGAGGTGGGACCTGTGTCATTTTGAAAAGGACTCTTGGAAATCAGAAGAATGACATTTTAATGGCAGAATGATAGACAATGGATTGGTATTTGGGGTCAGGGGGCTCTGTCTGGCACTTGTGATTGGGATACATCATGGTGCAGTGGCCACATTGTCTACTCTGAAGGCCAAGCCTTGCCAGAAGTAGTGTTTTCAAGTGTTCCCTGAAAAAGGCAAGTGATCAGGGGAGTGGTTCAGTACAGAGGTACTGGCTCATCACCTGTTCACTTCTGGCCTGATGCATTTTTGACTGACAGTGACTTCATTTGCAAAGCGAGGTCCTTGTGTGATCTCCTTCTTGGGCCTCATTCACCTACCAACTCAGGAATCCCATGCAAAGTGGTGTCCTTTGCCGGCATCTTTGTGCCTCTTGCATTGGGACTCACACCTGTGATTGCCTTAAAGATGCCTTTGGTTTCTTGATGCTTATTGCCCTGAACTGTTGTGTAGGTGCTGGGGAAAGGTTGCAGGGGGCAGGGACAAAAAGTACTCCATGAACATGAAAAATGCTGCAATGAGAGGTTTCTTTTTGGAGAGTTTGTTGAATTACATAATAATATGAAAATAATATTACTACTACCTACATTTTCAGGTCCTTTTCTGTTTCTCAGGTACTGTGTTAAGCACTTTTCATGGTGTTTGAATGCCTGTTGTTTTTGCTTGTCCTGCATCCCTCCTCCTCTTGTGGTAACAGCAGATTTAAAGCGGAAAATCAACTCCTGATTTTCCTTTTGGAGCTCACCTATTCCCCATTACATGCAATCTTTGGGGGCCTTTTGTTTTGTTTGCCTTCTCTTCTCCCCATTGGTGGGAGAGGGATCTTTGCTGTAGGGTTATGGGGATGGCTGAACACACAGGACACCTGACCCTGGACAGATGAGGTTGCCAGCATTTTATTAGTCATTTATACACACAGCCTGGGGGAGGAGGACACCACCGGCCACACAGAGCCATAGGGGGTTATGCTCAGGAATAGAGTGAACAAGTAGAGGCTGTGGGAGACAGACTTTGTAGTATCAAGAGGGTAGGGGTGTCCCTGCTACCTTATAAAGATGTGATTGGGTCATTTGAGTAATTCCACAGGCCAGCAGGAAACTGAAACCCACTACTCAGGGATAAGCAGGAATTGCACTTTGTTCATTTGATAAGGAGAGATGTTTGGCCAGGGGACCTTATTTGTAGGAGGAGAGGGAGAAAGAAGTTTGCAGTTAGGTCATTTGAGGCCTTCCTCATTTTGGGCCATAACTTTAGGTCTCATACCACACCTGTGAGTCAAATTCCTGTATCCTTCGCTGGTAAAAAGGATGGGTATGTGGCCTATGCTAGACCAATCAAGCCCTCTCTCTCTCTTAGAAATGTGAAACCTTAGTGAAACAAGGATGGAAAAATGATTGGAGTTGACTAATTCTGACAGCGCTGTCCCAGAGAAATTATTCACTCCTGTAACCCAGAATCTAGAGTTGGATTCTGTTGCTTGCAGCCAAGAACTATAACTGTTTCACATTTATTTGACATAATGACCCTAAGGGATAGGTAATTTTTATTATCCCCATTTTACAGATGAAGAAACTGATGCAAAGAGATGCTAAGATGGTTCGCATTCATAAAACAAGTAAGTGACAGTGGGGGGAGTTGAAAAAATAAGATTAGGTTGGCAGTAGTTTGCAACTCTGCACCTTTTTCTTAAAGTCAGGGAATAGAAATAGTGTGTCAGAACTTTACTTGCCACCTAGGCAGGGGAGTGCCGATGAGATATAGTATCACCCAGTGGCAATACCTGGTACACTCCTTGGTATGTGGTTATCCAGTCTTTGGCTTTATGGGGTCACTTACATTTCACCAAGAGCTAAATAAACTCAGTCCCTGAGTTCCAAAGATGGTTGGATATGAGGTGTCACATTGATGTGGAGACCATAACCAGAGAAAGATTATTATCTTTAACTGGCTCTGATGAGGTTGAGTCAAGAGTATTCTGGTTTGAGTGGGTATGGAAAGGATGTGTGTGTGTGTGTGAGAGAGAGAGCAAGAGAGAATACATGTGTGTGTGCACTTCATAGTTCAGATTCTTGAATCTTTTCTGTCAATAAGCACATATACCTGGACTTTGGTGAGCAAAGACAGGAGGGCTGAAAAGTGTAAAACTTTTCAGTAAGAGTAGAAACTATGAGGCCCAGTGTTTTCCCACTAAGGACCCACAACATTGGGAAAGTTAGAAAAAGGTGGACAGTGCTCTAATGGGGATAAAACAAAAACAAAAACCCACACATACATAAAAGCACATCTACAGAAGTAGAAAGAAAGCCAGGAAAAGGAAGAACCACTAAAACCAAAGAGAGAAACGGAGAGAAGAAGGTGTGTGGGAAATGGGAAAAGGCGCTTTCGTCAGGCTGCTGTTCCTAGATGGAAGGACTTTCACCATCTTGGCAGGCCGCACAGGTCATCCTTTCCCTGCCCCAAGCTTCCGCCTGCCCAGAGCTGCTTGGGGAGCAGTGCATCAGCGACCAGATGTTAGGAGCACCAGCGTCAACTTGGACATTCAGAAGTCTCATCACCTCATGGCTGTGTTCAAAGAGAAAGTGGCTTCCTGCTGACACAACAGTTCCCAAGTATGGGGCAGGAGCCTTGAGCTCTGATTCCCCCATGCGGCCCAAACTTACTCCGCAAACTTTGAAGTCTGTTGTTCTTGGCCGGGTTTGAGGGCCTCAATGCAGAGAGACACAAGTGGTCTCTGTCTGGAAGCCAGCCTGGTGGCAGGAGAGATGGAGCCGTGCTAAGGCACACAGAGCTAAAATTATCCTGCCCTTATTTCTTCCGCTTAAAGACACGTTCTGTGGAAGTCATGGGTATTATGCTATCAGTCCATTGATGGCTTCAAACCCCTTGTCTGAGCCATTATATCATCTCAGGGGTGTGGGGAGCCCAGGTGTGCCTCTGTAGACAGGCTGCTTCCCAGCACAGGGACCTGCAGCGGCTGTGAGTCAGGTCTGCCTCACCTTCATCCATCTCCTTCAAGGACACTGCAGGGGCCAGCGGGGGCTTCCTTTCCATGGCTTCCTGGGAGGCAGTATGGGGGAAAATTCCTTTCCAGGTCACATTGTGAAGGGATGAGGCTTGAGTGGAAGACAAACAGAGGGAAGCAGACTTTTTCTGGTGGACTCCTTGAGTGACTAGTACTTCTTCCCAAGGGGTGCTGCTGCTTAGCCTATTGATTAGGAGTTTGGGGTCAGACGTCCTTGGCTGAATTCCATCTGCACTACTGACGAGCCCTGTGACTGTGGCCTATTACTTAACCTTTCTAAGCTTTAGTTTTATCATCTATACAATGACAGACTTATCTCGTGGAGTTTTGTGATGATTGAAAGAAATAATCCCCATAAAAAGCTTAGCATCTAATGCCTGTAATCCCAGCACTTTGGGAGGCCGAGGCGGGTGGATCACGAGGTCAGGAGATCGAGACCATCCTGGCTAACACGGTGAAACCCTGTCTCTACTAAAAATACAAAAAATTAGCCAGACATGGTGGTGGGCGCCTGTAGTCCCCGCCACTCGGGAGACTGAGGCAGGAGAATGGTGTGAACCCGGGAGGCAGAGCTTGCAGTGAGCCAAGATCATGCCACTGCACTCCAGCCTGGGCGACAGAGCGACTCCATCTCAAAAACAAAACAAAACAAAACAAACAAACAAAAATTTAGCACCTTGCTGGCAAGTAGAAATGCCTAATGTTATTTATTGATTATGATGATGACTACACAGTTGCCTTAGGTGCCTCTGCCCTTGGACTTTTCCTGGCCAAACCATAAAGATCATCTGGCCCCAAGTTAGCGGGTTATTGGAATGATTCTTCTAGTGGCGGTGATAGTAGAGGTGGGGGCAGGAAAAGGAGCAGAATGGTTTGACAAATATTAAAATAAAATTTTGATGCCTTTGCCACACCTTCCCCTGCTTCATACTTGAACTTGGACTTCTAGGTTCAAAGCCAAACTCAAATGGCCAATGTTCTTAGAAAGCTGGCTCAAACCACTGTTGGCTGCAGTGTTCTTAGTGGGCAGAAGGCCATGTTCCTCAGCTGGACCAGCTCCCAGCACAGCAAAGTACAAAAGGTTGTCTTTGCCTCTCCAGCCTCCTTCCATTAGGCTACTATTACAGTAGTAGTGTCCTCTCAGGCACAATCTTGTTTTTGTTCCTATCGATACCTAGTTTTTGTTTGTTTGTTTGTTTTTTGAGATGGAGTCCCACTCTTGTTGCCCAGTCTGGAGTGCAGTGGTGCGATCTCGGCTCAATGCAACCTCCACCTCCCGGTTCAAGCTATTCTCCTGCCTCAGCCTCCCGAGTAGCTGGGATTATAGGCACCCCCCACCACGCCTGGCTAATTTTTTGTATTTTTAGTAGAGATGGGATTTCGCCATGTTGGGCAGGCTGGTCTTGAACTCCTGACCTCAGGTGATCTGCCTGCCTTGGCCTCCTAAGATACTTAGTTTTAGAAAAAAAATCTGAAATGAATTCATACTGAGATATAAATGACTGACAGCCTAAAGTGTTACCACTTCAGGGGAATTTAGAGTTTGATATGAAATAATGTACTCCCACATTGATTTTAAGAGTTAGCCCATGGATGGCCAGGCATGGTGGCTCATGCCTGTAATCCCAGCACCTTGGGAGGCTGAGGTGGGTGGATATCTGAGGTCAGGAGTTTGAGACCAGCCTGGCCAACATGGTGAAACCCCATCTCTAATAGAAATACAAAAATTAGCCAGGCGTGGTGGCACACGCCTGTAGTCCCAGCTACTTGGGAGGCTAAGGCACGAGAATCGCTTGAACCCAGGAGGCAGAGGTTGCAGTGAGCTGAGATCGTACCACTGTACTCCAGCCTGGGCAGCAAAAGTGAGACTCTGTCTCAAAAAAGGAAAAACAAAAATGAGTTAGCCCATGGATGAGGAAGGCATTCTGGGAGCATTAGGTCTTCCTACTTAGGTGGTTAATTTCCTGGTCTTCAAATCTCTTTTTAGCTCAGTTCTAGCAGGTGGCACGATCAGCAGCACTAGTTGGACAGGGGAGCCAGATTGTTGTCCTGACATATAAAACATATCTCCAGGCCAGGTGTGGTGGTGCACACCTATAATCCAAGCACTGTGGGAGGCTGAAGTGAGCAGACAGATCACTTGAGTCCAGGAGTTTGAGACCAGCCCAGGCAACATGGTGAAAACCCATCTCTACAAAAAAAATACAAAAATGAGCTGGGCGTAGTAGTGCATACCTATAGTCCCAGCCACTTGGGAGGCTGAAGTGGGAGGATTACTTGAGCCCAGGAGGCAGAGGTTGCGGGGACCCGAGATGGTGACAGTGCACTTCAGCCTGAGTGACAAAATGAGACCCTGTCTCCAAAAATAAAAAATAAAGAAAAAAAAAGTTGCATCTCCAAAACATTTCTCAGGGATAGTGGGGGACAGAATCTGACACTGAGGAGAGGGCCTGTTGCTCCAATGTCCTCTGCCCCATACCCACTTGCTCCTAAAATTCTTCATTTATAGAAGAAGCTGTTGAACGGGGCTGCTACTGATTCCCTTGCTGAGTCAGGGGCACAAACGCCATTTCTGGAGATGTAAAATCCATGAGAAGAATTGGAAGGAACTGGCAACTCTCTATATACTGTCTTGTTTAAAATGGAACTTCACCCTACACATTCCCCGTCTTTTTATCTATGTTGCCATTTGCTTGTAGATGATGCAGATATTTACTATTATCTGAGTACTGATTCAATGAGTATTATGCGATCATTCCTGAGGCCTTCTCCTTCATACTCACCCACATCAATGCTGCATGTTCTAGATAAAGTAGCTATAAAAAAAATCTTGGGATTCTTTTTACGCTTCAACTTGACAGGACTAAGAGATGCCCAGATAGCTGGTAACACATTACTTCTGAGTGTGACTGTGGGGCATGTTCTGGATGAGATTAGCATGAATCTGTAGACGGAATAAAGATTTCTCTCTCCCATGTTGGTGGACAGCATCCACTGCATTGAGGACCTGAATAGAATAAAAAGGCAGAGGAAGGGTAAATTTGCTCTGTCTGCTTGAGCTGAGGCATCTGTCTTCTGCTGTCAGGCATGGGTACTCTTTGTTCTCAGGCCTTCATACTTGAACTGGGGTTTTTACCATGTGTCATGGGCTTTCTTGCACCTCCTGCTTCCAGACAGCAGACTCTGGGACTTCTCAGCCTTCATAATCACGTAAGCCAATCTCTCATAATGAATTTATTTTTATATATCTATATGTATGGTGTTGCTTCGGTTTCTCTGGAGAATCCTAATAAAACTGTGATACAGAGTAAGAATATACATAATGATATGTTGTTTCACATAACAGTACTTACCCTTACTATATATCAAAAACATTGTTTGACCTCTGAAAATGATTTCACAGGTCACAACCTGCAGTAGGAGGCTGGGACCCATGTTCACACCTGGCTTGCCTGTGCACAGATGGGCACGTGTGGTGTGAGTGCCTCTGATGATGGTGCTGATAGTGACAATGTTGGCCCTGGGTAAGCCTGGCTGGAGGTGTCTTGTGCGAATTCTTCACTCATCCCTAGCATAAGGCCACCTCCCTGCCATAATCAAGGACAGCTTGGGTCCAACATGGTCTTGCCAGGAGTGGGGGCAGTGAGGGTGGGTCTGCAATTCACACCCAGCAAGTGACACATACATAATCCGCATCCCCGATTCCTCTTTCCACCATGGAAATGGCAGCAGGGGAGTGGAAAGGGACCAGTTTTAGAGGGAGAGGCTAGGGGAAGGGTTAGTACTGTGGAGCCACACCTTTGTCCCATTCTGCATATGGGTCCAAGATGCCCCCCCTTACCTGCTTTTTTCCAAACTGGCACACTTTTCTTCTGTGGAGGACTGAAATTGGGAGGGCTCCTGGCCTTCTAGGGGTAGTGTAATGCAGATTCCGGGAATAGAGATAAACCAAAAGAAGGGCTTATGACGGGGCCTGCCTAAGAATGGTTTAACTGAGGACAGTGAGAGACACTGAGTATTTGCTTCTTCAGTGATGAACTCTTCAACACCTGCAGATGTGCAGTTTCAAGAAAAAACCTCTCCAACCCATTGTCCTGAGAGTTCTAGTACCCAGGGAAGTGATTCTGTGGCTATTTTATGCAAGCTGAGAAAATTGTATTTTATACAAGTGGAGAAGCACAGAAAATTACAGTTATGGTTATTGGAGGAATCACTATTCGTCTGAATTCCATTCAATCAAAAGCCCCCTGGGCTCTGTAGATATCTGAAGTAAAAACAGTCCTATTTAGGCTTATAGTTAAAGCTATAGTGAAATCTTTATTGCATAAATGTAAAGTCTTTATATATTGCCTCTCTAAGAAGTCAAACTTCTTCAGGTCAGAAACTATTTCATTTCAACTTTATATTTCCTGCAAAACCAAGTGCTGTGCTGTACCATTTGTTAATGTTCAATAAATATTTGTTAAACGAATAATAAAATTTGTGGTTTAACTCCTACAAATTTTTATCTCTAATCAGTTTTTCTCAACACTCAGCCTACTCGGCATCACCCCTCCCTGACTTCCCAGTCAATGTGTGCTGAGGGAACGCAAACAAAATGTAATTAGGGAGGCGAATCTGCTTTGAAATGCACTTGTGTAAACAAATGTAGGCCAAAGGCAAATTTAAATGACTTTCAAAATCATCTGTGGTTATTATCCATGACCCTGTGCTGGCCCAATTTTTACAGATAATCAGGTTATAGCTGATATTGGTTCTGTATTTTCACTTTAGAACAGAGGTAGAAGGTAGAAGGATGCTGTGAGCATGGATTAGGACAAAATAAAGTCACAAAACCCCTGAAGTTGTGGTGAATTGAAGACACAAAAACAAAAGGATATTATTTTTCTTAGCCGAGGTCTATGCAAATGTACCTTTTGGCCACCCCTCCACAAGCTCCAATTCTATTTGCTATCTCATCAGGTTAGTTCAGGATTTGGGGGTGGTAGGTAGGATTTGTGGGTCAGAGCAGTTTGTTATTCAGATTAGTGTAATCTCCTCTTGAGATAACACAATTTTCCCAGCCTCCAGGGAAGGTTCTGGTTTGCAGCTTTTGCTGCCACACAAGCATCTCTCTCAGAAATTTGGGTTGCAGGAGAAAATGCCCCTTTCCCTTCAGAAGGCATAGGCAGGGAATTTGTAGAGGGTAAGGAATCTTTGCAAAATTTAGGTCAAAGCACTGGCTTGGGATTATTTACTCAGATAAGACTGTCTAGTACTCTATCTTGTCCAGCATTGCAAAGTGCATGGTACATAATAAGTACTCAAAAAGGATAACTTCCTGGGTAAATAAATGAGAGGGTGAGTGCTCAAATGAACTTACTGGAAACAATCCAAGTGTTCCTTTTCTGCCCCTTTATCATTGCCTATACATTGTAATGACCCACTGCACTCTCCTTTAGAGAGGTGACTTACTCTCCATATGTTTGCAGTTAGATGGGCTGTGAATGTACATATGGTAGGTGAACACCTATTTGGTCTAAATAAAGAACAAAACTTTTTACCTCTTTCAAAATATTGAGTCATCTCTCAGTGATCTGTGCATTTGACCTGGCCTGAAATTTCCATTATTATTATCACTTAGGGGTTAGATAGCAATATTGAATAATTGAATTTCTTTAGGAAGTCATGGATACAGGTAATATCTAATTAGAAAATCACTGATGATATAAATATTTTACTTACGATTGGATCTTTAGCCTTATTAGTTTATTATTTAACCGACTGATCCCTTTGCCAACAAGTGTATGACACAACAAGTCTTTTTAAAAAAGTTATAATTTCAAGTTTTATTTTAGATTCAGGGGTACATGTGCAGATTTGTTACCTGGGTATATTGCATGATGCTGGGTTTTGGGGTATGACTGATCCTGTCACCCAGGTACTGAGCATAGTATCCAATAGTTTTTCAACCGTTGCCCCCCTCACTTCCTCCCTACTCTAGTCATCTTTTCGATTGTTGCCATCTTTATTTCCGTGAGTACCCAATGTTTATGTGGTATTTGGTTGCCTGTTCCTGGGTTAATTCGCTTAGGATTATGGCCTCCACCTGCATCCATGTTGCTGCAAAGGACGTGATTTTGTTCTTTTTATGGCTACACAGTATTCCATGGTGTATATGTGCCACATTTTCTTTATCCAACCCAACATTGATGGGCACCTGGGTTGAGTCCTTGTCTTTGCTACTGTGAATAGCACAATGCCTTTTTAGCAGAATGATTTATTTTCCTTTAGGTATATACCCAGTAATGGGATTGCTGGGTCAGATGGCAGCTCTAAGTTCTTTGAGAAACCTCCAAACTGCTTTCCACAGTGGCTGAACTAATTTACATTCCCACCAATAGTGTGTAAGTGTTATTTTTTCCTCTGCAGCCTCACCAGCGTCTGTTGTTTTTTAACTTTTTAATAGTAGCCGTTCTGACTTGTGTGAGATGGTATTTCATTTGGTTTTTATTTACATTTCTCTGATGATTAGTGATGGGGAGCATTTTTTCATAAAAAACAAATAGTTTAAAAGTAGAGAACCCCAGCAGTGAAGAAGGGGAGATCCAAGGGTAGATGGCAGCTTAAGAATTTCAGCTCAAAGATTGACTGGGCCACTAAGAAGGATTCCTTTGCCTCTGCCTACTTAGCTGGGGGTCCTGCTTCCTGAATAGCATTCAGTTTTCCAGGCGGCTGGATACAGGGCTGCAGCTAAAGAGTAACCTTGAGACCAACCCTATAATCTTAACTTCTCCCAGTAGTGCCTACCTTTGATCTAAGTGGTGTAAGAACCTCCTTTATGGTACTCCTTAAGGGACAAAAAGTTGCATTTAAGGGACAAAAAGTTACATTTGTCTCAAAGGAAAGCTGGACATGGATATGACTCAAGGGAGCTGATAACTCCACCCTGCCTTTCCTTGGAGTCATCTCTCAGTGACCTGTGCCTTTGACCTGGCCTGAAATTCCCATTGCTATTATCACTTAGGGGTTGGATAACAATATTGAAGAACTGAATTTCTTTAGGAAGTCATGGATACATGTAATATCTACTTAGGAAGTCACAGAAGTCATCTGATGCCTGCTGCCCAATGAGGTTTCCTAAAATGCTGATTTATGATGTCACAATTCTGCTCAAAGAAATGCAATGGTTGCCTGTTGTCCATCAACTCAAAACCCTGCTATTCCGCCCCATGCCATTAATTTCACTTATTTGCCTCATTTGGGATGGAGCTACAAGTAGGTGAAGAAGAGGACCTAAATGTCACATTTGACACATTTAAAACCTTCTCAAGAAAACATGACAAACATGTTGGGTAAATTTATATGATGAATTTGTTACAATGATTCATAATATATGTAACTCATTCATTACAATGGGGAAGCTTAGAATATTGGACTGGGATTTGGAAAACTTGCACTTGAATCCCAGTTCTGCTATGTTACACATGATGAATCCTTAAATAATTACTTTTTTCTGGTGTCTTAATTTCCTCCAATGTAAGTAGTCCACTGGACTATCATGATGATCAAATTAGATGATTGTAAGAGTCCTTTTGAATACAAAGCTTCAAATTCAAAGCACTTTGAAATATGAAATTTCATCAGTTAACAAAAATTAGACATTGCATTAATTTTTAAATGCTGTTCGGTTTTGTGTACTTAGTAGAATGAGAACTCTAACAAAAAGCATTCAGTCTTTCTAAGACACTCATGACTTCCAGCAATTCTGCTATCTCCTGAAAGCTATGGGAATTAGAAGACGGAAGATGCACCCTGTGTCTTCTGCCGCCAGAGGCAGCCCGAGGCTGAACCTGGGGTGTCTCTTGGAATACCACCCTGGACTGGCACCTCCTTTCTCTTGAAAGAGAAACCAGGAAGAACAATGCTCATGGTTACGTTTTCGGGGAGGAATGCTGAGGTGTCAGATTGGTGCGCTTATTGAAATATACAGGGACAAAGTAACACACTGTAGACTAGCGTGTGTGTCGCGGGGAATGTTTTGGGGGTCATGTTGGGGTGAGTGGTTACACCTGCTTCCATCCATTTTCTAGGGCAAATGGCTTCAGCTGCTGCCCGGCAACAGCATTTTCATAAAAGCCTTTGAGAGTAGCTTTGAAAATGTGTCAGCCAATAACCGTGCAGGACCCGGCCTAACCGCCGAGGGATCCCCCTCCCCCTCGCCGGAGCCGAGAATTGGGAAGGAGCAGATGGAGCTAGTTCTCCCCTCGGCGGGCTCTGGGGCGCATTGTTATGCACTCAAGACTCAGAACCTGAGACCCAGGCGGGCTCTTCACAGGCTTCGCCCTGGATCCCGAGCTCGGGAAGGAGTTCTGTGAGCCCCTCCAGTCTCCTGCAGGGTGTGAGGTGCCGGATCTTATCCAGGGCAGGCACTGTGTGAGGGTGCGCCCTCCTGTTAAATTTGCCGTGAGACCTCTCATATGTCATTAATCAAGCAGCTGAACCGAGCTGGCACTGCTGGAACACGGCATTCATTATAGTCCCCGAGGGATCCCTTTCTGCAGATCCCAGAACTTTTGGCTCCAGGAATAGAGATATCCATCCTGCCAGGAAGGCCCCAGGCCTGCAGCACATTGCAGGCCTCTCAGGGGATTTTGCCTGTATCCCTCCCCGGTAATCCCGTTGCAATCCCCAGGGCTCTGTGAATCCCCTCGGATTCTTAAGGTCCCTGCAGCAACGAAGCAGGCTTTGGGGAGCCACAGCACAGGGAGAAGAGCCTCCAACAGGGATCTGTGTGGAAGTTTCTAAGGACACAGCTATGTGGCACGTGTCTAGCCTGTTTTGTAAAATGTTTTTCACTTTCCCCGTGGCATGTGCCAATCCCTGGGGGCTAAGAGTTAGGAAAGGCCTTGGGCCTGCTTTCCTTGGCCCCCTGCCACTGAGGCCTGGGCCCAGGGAACTAATCTTTGCTCCTGGGAAGATGGGAAGAGCTGCCTGTCTGCAGAAACCACCTCCTCCTCTCTACACTCCATCCCCTTCCACATACACCATGAAGCTCCTTCTTTGATTTCTAAGTACCGAGCCAGGCGAGAAACACCCATTTAGCCATGGCCCCCTTTCAATGTGTTTAATCCCAAATGGAATAAATAAAATGAAGGAAGGCCTGCCTCTGTGGTGATGTGGAAACCCCTCTGGCCCAGGGATGGAGGCATGCAGGGTGATGAAAGTACAGCAGCTGGAGAGGCGGCTTTTAATAAGAAAAGATGAATCAAAATGCGCAAGTCATAACTCCCTCTACGCAGCCACCTATCTTCTGCCTTAACCTTTTCAGAATCATAAAAAACAGTCTAATTTCTTCCAAATAAATAGCTTTATGCCTCTCTGGGCTCTATTTTTCAGGCATACAATAAGTCTCTGGGCGCTTACACAGACGTGCTGAATATATGTAACTCCACATTCATTACGGAGACATGTGTGCACACAGTCACACACACATTGTTCTAATTCCCCTTGGTCTAATTTATGCAGTGAATTCTGTGCTTACGAAGTAAGAATTATTTCAAGGTTAAACAAAATGATGATAAGCACCTGACTCTAGCTGGGGCAACTCTGCCCTTTTCTTAGGACTGGTGGAGTTTAGGACACCAAAAAAGGAATATGCTCAATAGCAAATTCACTCTCATCGTGATAATATTGCTGACTTTTTTCACCCACAAAAAAGCAAACATCTTGGGGAAAGGGCTATGTGGCTTTAATCTTAGGGGGAAAATAAGCATCAGAGAGGGACTTAAGGTTGCTTCTAGGACTTTAAAGAATTATATTTGGCTTTCCAGAGAAAGGAGACTCTTCTTCTCCAAGGGAATTTCAAGTAGGAGGCAATAATAACAAATTATTTCATGTTTCTATGTGGCAGATATTATTGTAAGTGTACAAATATCAACTAATTTTTGACCCCTGTTTTACAGATGCAGAAACTGAGGCACGGCAGGGTTATTACTTGCCTAAAGTCACAGCACTTTAAAATAGTAGAGCTGGGATTTAAACCAAGGCAGTCTGGCTCTAGAGCCTGCCTGCTTAACTACTATGATGGACACAATAAAAGAAACCAACTGAATGAAACAAATCAAGCAATGACCAGATGATGCCAGCTCCTTACAGAAAGACCACCAACCGGTTTGTGGCTTTGGCTTCTTTCTTCTCCTTGATTTTACCTTTCTCTCCATTCTAGTGGCCAGCAGCCACTGAGCCAGAAGGTAGCAGGGGAAGGGAGAAACAGGGGAAACTCACATCTGTTCCCTTTCAATAATCATCATTCTAGAAAAAGTCAAGGGAGGACAGCAATCGCCTGTTTGTGTCATCCTGCCTGGTATTGCTAGTATTCCCTCTAAGTCCCTGAATTGGAAACATTAACACGCCAAAGCTTTTGGAAACCCTACCGGTTCTCATGGCCTTACTTTTCTCCTGCTTCAGTTTAAATCATTCTAGTAAGCACTCAATTGGCATTTGCAACGAAGAGTGGTGGCCCACTACAGTTACAATATTCTATCAATTGAAAGACGAATTATGTTTTTAATTCAGCTTTATTTTTTCAGGAGGATTGGCTGGGGTGAGGGATAGTCACCGACCTTACCACATTATAGATACACACTGATTATAAGACATCTCAGCTTTAGAAATGTGAAAATGTGAAAAAAAAAGTGTTTTAGAATTGAGAAAATACACTATTTTATTTCTGTCTTTCAATAAGGATTCAGCCTTGTTACGGTAGCATCTTGTAAGGGTTCTTCTTATGTGGTCTGCCCTCTCCGGGTATCAGAATTTTGATTACAGTTGTCAGCCGGAGTTCAGCCTGGTTCAGATATCTATTTTTAACAATAGCCGAAGGGGTTCTTTTATTCAAGACAAGAGAAAGATTACTTAAGAATAAGGGAACTGATTCATGGATGGGGTCTGAATTTCCTTCTTGTTAGCAAGGGGCTGTCTTCAGAGGGTGCCCCCTAAGGGGCGAAAATTGAGTGGAGATTCTTACTTGAGGTAGCAGGGTTGGAAAAGTCAGAGACATGAGCCAGGTCTGATATCAAGAAGAAGAGTCAAGTATTTCAAACTCTAGAAATAAATTCAAGTACCAAGATTGTGGTAGATTCAGCATTAAAATGGCCCCAGTTCTCTACCTCTGCCCATATCCATGCCTTTATAACATGACTGCAACTTTTCTCATCAAGATGTGGAGTTTCTCTGCCTCTTGAATCTGGGCTGGCTTTATGGCTTGGGTTGGCCAGTAAAAAGTGGCAGAGTGAGGTTGCAGTAGATCCAAACCTGGGCTTGAAAATGTCTTTGCACTTCTGCTGTTTCTCTTGGGACTCCTACTTCTGCCATAAAAATAGAAAACCTTGCTTAGCCAGACAGATGATAAGAAACATGTGGCCCAGCCACCCCTAGCACCCTAGCCAGCAGACAGCCCAATGTCAGGCACATGAGTGAGAGCATTCTAGACCAACCAGTCTCAGCTGATCCACCAACTCCCTTCAGGTTCATAAGCCAGCCCAGCAAAGATCAACCAAGCCTGCCCCAGATAAGCCAAATCAGCTAAATGACTCAGAGATTCATGATCAATAACAAATGGTGATTATTTGAAGCCACAAAGCTTTTGAGTGGTTACACAGCAATAGCTACAAGGCACAAAGACAGGATTGAAATCAGGGCACCAGATCCAAGGTTTAAAGTTAAACAGAGGCTTGGCACGGTGGCTCACGCCTATAATCCCAGCACTTTGAGAGGCTGGGGCAGGATAGATCACTTGAGGTCAGGAGTTTGAGAACAGCCTGGTGAAATCCCATCCCTACTAAAAATACAAAAATTAGCCAGGTGTGGTGGTGGGTGCCTGTAATCCCAGCTACTCGGGGGGCTGGGACATGAGAATCACTTGAACCCAAGAGGCAGAGGTTGCAGTGAGCCAAGATCATGACACTACATTCCAGCCTGGGTGACAGAGCCAGACATACAATAAGTCTCTGAGCAGTTATTGAGCCAGACTCCATCTCAAAAATAAAATAAAATGAAATAAAATAAAAAATAAAAAAGCTAGACAGAGACTAGGTTTGGAGCAATAGCAGTTCAGAAACAAAAGACAGGCTTGGAGGGCGATTGTTGAGAATGGCTTTGGGATGTCTAAAAGTTGAGTAATTGGTGAATTCCTAAATTGGATGGGTTCTTACAGAGGGATAGAGGCAGGGTAAGGAGAATGAGAACTAGAGAAGAAACCAAGATTGTTTCTTTTGTGGGAGTAGCCCTAGCAAATGTATCCTTAGTACAATGTCTGGCCTATAAAAGGTACAAAATAAATATGTTAATTAAATTAATAAATCCTCTCCCCAGCAGAAGGTTTAGATGTTCATTCATCCTTTAATCAAAATTCATATTGAGCACTATATATGGGTGCAGAGGCTTGTAAATGGCAGGTGTAGGTGCACGATTCTGTGGAAGTTTTGAAATTCCACATCTACCAGATACAGAATGTATATAACCCAATATTTATCTTAAGCATATGCACATGTACATTAAGCTGTAGTGTATTGACCTCCAATCTCTCCTCTCTAAAGACTGAGTAAATGATGCAGTTGGTATGCACTAAGAAATGGCTGTTCTGTTTTATCTTGCTTCTGCATTGTCTATCAACCACTTCTGTATCCCTTGCTGTTCATATCAGGTATTAGCCTGGGTTGGAGGAAATACTTTCTTAAATGGCTAAGAGCAATTGTAGAGCCAGGTGCATCAGCATGTGCCTGTAGTCCCAGCTACTCAGAAGGCTGAGGTGGGAGATTTGCTTGAGCCCAGGGGTTCGAATCCAGCCTGGGCAACATAGGAAGACCCTACCTCTTAATTTTTTTTTAAGTGATTGCGATAGTTTTACAGTGGCTCAAAATTTAGATTTGGCCTGCAGAGTCCCCTTCAATAGGATTCCTGAGCTCCAATAGCTCTGAGTGTGCTAAAATGGAGGAAGGTTTGTTTTTCTTCAAAGTGTTCTGCGAAATGTGAGTTGTGGCTATTTATTACGTGTCCATTTTTTGTGGCACCGAAAACTTGTCTTACTTGGATCTGCTACAGTGGTAGGAGGGGCCAAAGTCTTTTCCAGTGTAGGTTTCCAGAGTCAATATGAAAAAAGACTAACCGCTTTAGCAGAAGTTATGAATGCTAAGATATTTCTTAGGTGTTCTTGCCAAATACCTTTTTCTGATTGTGGTCTTCTGGTATTCTCAGTTATTGTTTCACGTATGCAATGATGTAGCCAGTGATTCCCAAATACAGTCTATCAATAGGTAGCAGTTAAAGAAAAAGTCATCACTGAACACAGAAAAATGAGAGAAAAAAACAACAACCCAATGCACTGTAGTGTGTATATGTTTCTTCATATCAATTTCTGTGTACCTATATGTGGGTGCAAGTTCGCCAGCTGTGCTTTTGTGTGAAGACTTATCCTTCATTCTGCAATTATGTGTTTCATACTTTTCTGACGTTAAAATTTTCTTTATTTTATAAAGTGATGGCAATAGTAGATAACTTTTTTTTTTTTTTTTGAGTAGGAGTCTTGCTCTATCACCCAGGCTGGAGTGCAGTGGCTCTATCTCGGTTCACTGCAACCTCTGTCTCCTGGGTTCAAATGATTCTCATGCCTCAGCCTCCCAAGTAGCTGGGATTACAGGTGTGTGCCACCACATCTGGCTAATTTTTTGTATTTTTAGTAGAGACAGGGTTTCACCATGTTGGCCAGGCTGGTCACGAGCTCCTGACCTCAACTGATCTTCCCACCTCGGCCTCCCAAAGTGCTGGGATTACGGGCGTAAGCCACTGTGCCCAGCCACAGATAAGCATTTTTTAATGTTCTTACTTGGAAAAATAAACAATTGATGATCCTGTGGATGCTGCATCGGAATTTTTAAAAAGTTGACCAGGCCAAGCTTTACAAGTCTGGAAATCACAGAAAGCAAGGCCACAGTGGACACTGTGAAGGACAAACAAGGATGGCTCCTTCTCTCCAAGACTAAGCACTTCCTTTGGGAAGATTAGACATTTGGGCAAAATAGCTAGCAGAGAGTTAGCTTGCAAAGCTGTATTAGATAAGTGGGAGATGTCATGACAGGTGTAATTTAATAAACATATTCAAAAAAATTTACCATCCTGAGGTAAAGAAAGGTTGACCAAAATTTCAGAAGAAACAAATACAAGTAAACTTTCTTTTTTTTTTTTCTTTCCACATTTTATTTTAGGTTCAGGGGTACATGCGAAGGTTTATTATATAGGTAAACTGTGTGTCGTGGGGGTTTGGTGTACAGGTTATTTTGTCACCCATGTAATAAGCACAGTACCCAGTAGGGTACTGGATACTATCCTCACTCTCCTCCCACCTTCCACTCTCAAATACGGCCCTGTGTGTTTGTTCTTCTCTTTATGTCCATGTGTACTCAATGTTTAGCACCTACTTGTAATTGAGAACACGTGGCACTTGGTTTTTTTGTTCCTGCATTAATTTGCTTAGGATAATGACCTCCAGCACCATCCATGTTGCTGCAGAGGCCATGATCTCATTTTTTAATAGCTGTGTAGTATTCAATGGTATACATGTACCACATTTTCTTTATCCAGTCCACCCATTGATGGGTGTCTAGGTTAATTCCATGTCTTTGCTATTGTGAATAGTGCTGCAATGAACACACATGTGCATGTGTCTTTATGGCAGAATGATTTCTATTCATTTGGGTATATACCAAACAATGAAAATGCTGGGTCAAATGGTAATTCTGTCTTAAGTTCTTTGAGAAATCTCCAGATGGCTTTCCACAGTGGCTGAACTAATTTACACTCCCACCAATTGTGTGTAAGTGTTCCCTTTTCTCCACAATGTTGCTAACATCTATTATTTTTTTGATGTCTTAATAATAGCCATTCTGACTGGTGTGAGATGGTATCTCATTGTGGTTTTGATTTGTATTTCTCTAATGATTAGTGATGTTGAGCATTTTCTCATATGCTTGTCAGCCATGTGTATGTCTTCTTTTGAAAAGTGTCTGTTCATGTCCTTTGCCCATTTTTCAATAGGATTGTTTTTTCTTGTAAATTTGTTTATGTTCCTTATAGGTTCTGGATATTAAACCTTTGTTGGATGCATAGTTTGCAAATATTTTCTCCCATTCTTTATGTTGTCTGTTTATCCTGTTGATAGTTGCTTTTGCTCTGTAGAAGCTCTTTAATTAGGCCTCACTTGTCTATTTTTGTTTTTGTTGTAATTGCTTTTGGAGTCTTCCCCATAAAGTATTTGCCTTGGCCAATGCCCAGAATGATATTTCCTAGATTTTCTCCAAGGGTGGTTATAGTTTTAGGTTTTATATTTAAGTCTTTAATCCACATTGGTTGATTTGTGTATATGGTGTAAGAAAGGGGTCTGGTTTCAATCTTCTGTATATGGTTAGTCAGTTATTCCAGCAGCATTTACTGAATAGGGAATCCTTTCCCCGTTGCTTGTTTTTGAGGGCTTTTTCAAAGATCAGAAGGTTGTGGGTGTGCAGCTTTATTTCTGGGTTCTCTAACCTGTTCTATTGGTCTATGTGTCTATTTTTGTACCAGGACCATGCTGTTTTATTTACTGCGGCCTTGTACAGTTTGAAGTTGGGTAGTGTGATACCTCCAGCTTTTTTTTTTTTTTTTTTTTTTTGCTTAGGATTGCTTTGACTATTTGGCTCTCTTTTGGTTCCAAATTGAATTTTAGAATTTTTTTTAATTCTGTGAAAAATATCATTGGTAGTTTGATAGGTATAGCACTGAATCTGTAAATAGCTTTCATCAGTATGGTTATTTTAACAATATTGATTCTTCCTATCCATGAGCATGGAATGTTTTTCCATTTGTTTGTATCATCTATGATTTCTTTCAGTAGTGTTTTGTAATTCCTATTGTAGAGATCTTTCACCTCCCTGGTTAGTTAAATTCCTAAATATTTTATTCTTTTTGTGGCTATTGTAAATGGGATTGCATTGTTGATTTGGTTCTCAGCTTGGACATTATTGGTGTATAGAAATGCTACTAACTGCTGGGTCCGATGGTTTATGCCTGTAATCCCAGCACTTTGGGAGGCCGAGGTGGGCAGATCACGAGGTCAGGGGTTCGAGACCAGCCTGACCAACGTGCTGAAAGCCTGTCTCTACTAAAAATACAAAAATTAGCTGGTGTGGTGGCACGTGCCTGTAATCCCAGCTACTCAGGAGGCTGAGGCAGGAGAATCGCTTGAACCCAGGAGGCAGAGTTTGCAGTGAGTTGAGATTGTGCCACTGCACTCCAGCCTGGGCAACAGAGCAAGACTCTATCTCAAAAAAAAAAAAAAAAAGAAATGCTAACTACTAATTTTCATACATTGATTTTGTATCCTGAAACTTTGCTGAAGTTGTTTATTAGATTTAGGAGCCTTTGGGCAAAGACTGGAGTTTTCTAGGTATAGTATTATATTGTCTGTGAAGAGAGATATTCTCTATTTCTATTTGGATGCCTTTTATTTCTTTCTCTTGCCTGATTGCTCTGGCTAGGACTTCTAGTACTATGTTGGATAGGAGTGGTGAGAGCGGGCATCATTGTCTTGTTCCAGCTTTCAAGGGGAAAGCTTCCAGCTTTTGCCCATCCAGTATGACGTAGGCTGTGGGTTTGAAATAGATAGCTCTTATTATTTTGAGGTATGCACTT
Organism: Homo sapiens; assembly: GCF_000001405.40. Taxonomy (NCBI): domain Eukaryota; kingdom Metazoa; phylum Chordata; class Mammalia; order Primates; family Hominidae; genus Homo; species Homo sapiens. The sequence goes on along the minus strand of NC_000001.11, from coordinate 182,691,656 downwards.
TTGATGCCTGGTTTGTTGAGGTTTTTTTTTTTTTTTTTTTTTTTTTTTTAACATGAAGGGATGTTGAATTTTATTGAAAGCCTTTTCTGCATCTATTGAGATGATCATGTGGTTTCTGTTTTTAGTCCTCTTTATGTGATGGATCATATTTATTGACTTGCATATGTTACACCAAACTTGCATCCCAAGAATAAAGCCTACTTAATCATGGTGGATTAACTTTTTTGACATGCTGCTGGATTCAGATTCTCACAAGTAAACTTTCTAATAAAGCCCAGATTTCATTTCGTTGCCTTTGTCAGTTTTGCTCTTTGATACTAGAAATGAAGTTGGGAGGGGTAAATTAAAAATAGTTGGTGTTCAAGGAAGAGAGCTAAAATTTGGGCTACTCCATGATGTATCAGTGAGCTTTTGGTGTGTAACAAAACATCCTAAAACTTAGTGGTTTAAAACAACAACCATTTATTAGGTCATAATTCTGTGAGTCAGTTGGGCAATTCTTCTAGTTTGGAGCTAGTTTAGCTAATCTTGGCTGGGCTCACTCTTATATCAACAGTCAGCTGGTGGATTGGCTGGTAGCTAGATTATCTAATATGAACTCACTCACATGTCTGGCAGCAGACTGGCTGTGAGTTGGTACAATACAGGGGACTGGATCAAATGTTTTCTTTCATGAAGCAAGTTAGTGCAGGGTTCCTCATGAGGAAGCTACAGTATTCCAAGAGTGGCAAGAGAAAGCAAGCCCCAATTTGTAAGTGCTTTTCAAGTCTACTTGCATCCTGTTTGCTATTGTCCTGTAGGCCAAAGCAAGTTACATAGCTAAACCTAGAGTCAGGGTGGGAGAGAGTACCGTGTAATGGATAGAGAGGTCATGGATAGAGAGAGCTGTGAACAAATGAAGGGCCATCACTTCAACAATCTGCCACAGCTGTTGATAATATCCTAGTAATGGTTTTATCAAATCACGAGGTATTTTTTGTCCAAACTACTTAACAATTTATTTCAGATGAGACCAGAAGTATAAATGAAGCACAGAATTGTAGAATTGTAGAGTTGGGAACAAATTTACAGATGACCTAGTCTAGCCCTGTCATTTAACAAAAAGAAAATGGGGACCCAAAGAATTTAAATGACTCGCCCAAAGGGACAGAGCTAGATACTGATAAATATTTTAAACATCCATGCCTATATGCTAAGAATTTAATAACCTAGGGTGAGAGGTACAACTCCATCACTGATATTTGAATACCTGGGATAAGGTGAGGATAGCAGAGTGAAACAAGACAGATTCAGTCCCTGCCTTCATGGAGCTTATGGTCTAGCCAGGTGACACAGACAAGAAAATGGGTAATCGAAAAGTAGTGTGCTATTGTTGTACCAGAGAAGTACAGGATGTTATGAGATGTCAGGGGGGCATGAATTATGAAGGAGCAGAGGGGCTATCCATTAGTTGTTAAGGCTTTTCACACATAAACTTATTAACTCTCTTTACAACCCTATGAGACAAGTATGATGAGTATCCCTCTTTTCCAGGAAAAGACCCTGTGGCATAGAGAGGTTAAGTGACTTGCTCAAGGTCACAGAACTGGTAAGTGGCTGAGCTGGGATTTGTCCTCAGAGTACCTCTCTGACCCTAGAGCCCACATTCTGCCTATGGAAATGGAATAAGAAAAATGAATGAAGTCCAAGGATTATTCAGACAGGTTGATCAGGCCAAGAACAGGATCTCCAGACAGATATTTTAAATTCTATTCCCTAGAAGTGACCTTGAGATATCACAAGATTTAAACTCTGTGAGTGATGAGTGTCATTGTGTATGTGCATGTGCTCACATGCTGGCCTGTGCCCATTTGCGCCCAAGTCTAGGGAGAGTTGAACTTTCATGGCTCTATATATAAATTGTTCCATATGGTGGAGTTCAGCAGCTTTCTTTGTTCCTTTGACCATTAACTATATCTATATCCATATCCATCCATTCATCCATCCTATTTTCTGTCTACCTGGAATCTTCTGACTCCTTCCTATCCCAGGACTGGGTGATTTTGATTGTGTTTCTGCTGTCTATTTACTTTCTTTCCTTCTGTTAGTGGGCTCTGCATTCTCATCACCAGAGGCTCTCTTCTCTTGCCAGGGGAGATGGCCCCTCTCTACTTTTCTCCTCCTATACCTTAGGCATTTGTTGTGTTCCCTGTGACAGATAATACTGTATAGGAGAGCAAAGAAAGACTTCCTCAACAGTAGCTAATCAATCAGAGAGATAAAGCTATTTTTACTGGAAGTAAGATATACCAGGGAAGGAAAGGGATCCTAATAAATTATTTAAGATTGAGCTCAGATATTCACTTGTGGGGTGTGTGTGTGTGTGTGTGTGTGTGTGTGTGTGTGTGTGTGTCTGTGTGTGTGCGTGCGCGTGCACGAGAGAGAGAGAGAGAGATGCTGTTAGGGAGAGATTTAGATCTTACATTTCACTAAAAGGCAAAGGCCATCTAGTTTCTGATTTTGGTTTTTCAACAGTCTTCTATATCTCTATACCGTTTTTTGCTTTTTGCTCCTGTTGAAATGCAAAGACATGTCCTTACTACAACCAAGAACAGCCCCTCTATGTTAGTTTTCGGTTACTACCATAACAAATTACCACGGACACAGTGACTTAAACAGCATAGATTTATTATCTTACAGCTCTGTAGGTTGAAATTCCCACAGCGGTCTCATTGGGCTAAAATCAGTGTTGCCGGGTCTGCATTCCCTTCTGGAGGCTGGAGGGGAGGTTCTGTTTCCCCGCTCATTTGGGTTGTTGTGCTGCATTCAATTCCTTGTGATTACAGAACTGATGTCCTGTGTCCTTGATGAACTTCAGCTGGGTTGGTCTCCAGCTTCTAGTGGCAACTGTATTCCTGGGCTCCTGGCCTTCTTTCTCCATTTCAAAGCTAGCAAACATGGGTTGAGTCCCTCTCATAGTTTGAATCTCTCCTTCTTTGGCTTTATCTCTGACTCACTCTTCTGTCTTCCTCTTTCACTTTTAAGGACTCATATGATTTGATTGAGTCTGCCTAGATAACCCAGGATAATATTTTCATCTCAAGGTCTTTAAGCTTAACCTTATCTGCAAAGTCCCTTTGCCAAGACAACATAGTCACAGGTTCCAAGGATTAGGGCGTGGTCATTTTCTGGGGCCATCACATATAACACTTCGCCTCTTTTTCTTCTTTTCCCTCTTTTTCTTCCTCCTCATCTTTCTTCTCCCTTTCATTCTTTCCTTCTTTCTTAAAAATGAAGATGAGAGAGAGAGAGAGAGAGAGCGAGCGAGAGAGAAAGTGTGTGTGTGTACTATCTACTAAGTAACAGGCACTGCAGAGGGCACTGGCTAGAAAAGATGAATTAGTTATAGCCTCTGCTCTCAGAGAGCTTACAATTTATTGGGAGAATTCATTTCAATAAAAGATAAAAATCAAGACAAGGTATTAGGTGGTATACCTTTCTTATACATTTAATCTCTTTAATCTCTTCCTCTGAATATTCAGATCTTCTTATCCTAAGAACACTCTAACTAAATACTGGCAAGTGAATTAATAAAGAGATTTGCACAATGGCAGAAGGTTTCTAAAGCCTTACCTCTACCAGACAATAGGACATACGCAGTTTAAAAGCTATGCAGTTTATCATAAGTCAGTGTAAATGTACCATAAACTCTATGTAGTCTGAGATGTCTTCCAATCCCTCTTCACTAAGGAAATGGTGGAGTTCCTTGGTCAGGGATAGGTAAAGAAATGTTTCTGCCTTCTTAAACCTGGGTTTCTTTCTTCTTTATTTCTGTATTTTCTGTATTGGTTCAGTTGGTTCTGTATTTTTTGCAGGCAACAACATCTCCCTTTTCCTTCTCAGCCAAACTTCTTAATTCAATTTATTCTAACAAATGCAGAGTCCCTATATATGCTAGATACTTACTTGGTGCTGGAGGTACAAAGATGAAAGAGAGTCCCTGTTCTTGAAAGCAAAATCCATTTCTGTTGTTTTGACAGCCTAGTGATCCACTCACATTTTGGTATTTGACCTTTTCCCCTTTTATCCCTCTCAGCCAAACCTCCCCAACCTGTTTGGCTAGTGTACACTGCCATGTGCTGAGATATTTCTTCCCTCAGCCCTTGGGCAGTCTGGCAGAGCCCTGGGTTCCATTTACTCTGGTATTCCATACAAAAATTATTTTCTGTGTGTGCCATAATTTGAAAATCTGAGAAGCAATACTCTAAGCCAATAGTTGTCAAGTGCAGTACCCAGACCAGCAACACTGGCATCTTTGGAAAGTTGTTAGAAATCCAAATTCCTGGAGCCCTCAGGCTTATGGTCCCACCTTCTTCAGAGGCTGAGGCCCAAGGATCCCTTGAGGGGCCAGGAGTTTAAGTCCAGCCTGGGCAACATAGTGAGACCCCATCTTTGGGGGAAAAAAACAGAAAAAGAAATAAATGCGTATTCCCAGACCCCACCCTAGACCTGTTGAATTGGAAACTCTGGGAGTGGGGGCCAGAAATCCATATTTTAATAAGTACTCTGGAGGATTCTCATGCTCTTAAAGTCTGAGACGCACTGCACTAAGCCACGTTCCCGGTGGTCACCTATGACGAAAATTCTTTTTGCCATTTTCATCTCAGTTCTCACCCACATTAACTTCTCTGCCGTATTTGACTCTTCTCAAAAGCTCATCTTTCCTGGCTCCTGTGACACTTCATTCCTCTGGTCCTCCTACTCTCTTTCTCTCAGATGATTTTTCTCAGTATCTTTGGTTGGCTCCTCTTTCTCTGCTCCTCCTGTAAATGTAGTCACTTCTCAAAGTCCTGCCCTCAGCCCCTCTTCTCTTGCTGTCCTTGGGTGATTCCATTTACTCCCCTCATCTCTTTTCTTCAGGTGGAGAGCTCCCAAATCCTACCTCTCTGCTAAGATCCAATGCTGTATTTCCAACTCCTCTTCCACTTCTGCCCTGGCCTATCAACAGAGCTCAGGCAAACACACAATTAGTTTTCATTTGCAGGTCAAAGTCTGCTTTTCCTCCTAGGTCCCTTAGCCTTAAGAACTAGTTCTCAAATGGATTGTAGAGTCATTCTCAGCTCCTTCCCATCCCCAAGCCCCACATTCTGAGCTCACCCTATCCTTCACAGAGGATCTCGTCATGCTAATTCAGTCTCCCCAAATCTCTGTACTTTGTCCTTTCCTCTCAAGCCCATTGTCTTTTTTTGGCTCTCATCTTCTCTCACCTAGGAATTTGTAACAAGTTTTGATGGGCTTTACTTGCCTCCAATCCCTCTCCACTTAGTATCTTCTCAAAACACAGATCTGATGATAAAAAAAAAATTCGATCAACACTTCTTTGTTTAAAGTTTTTACCGTGTGGTCCCAATGGACCCTTTACATTGCATTCACCACTGTGGCATCCTATCACACTCTACTTTTTTCTCCTGCCTCCCTAGAAAGAACACTCACTGTTTCCCAAACATACCAGGTACCTCTAGACTCCATGCCATTGCCCAGGCTGTTCCTCAGCCCTGCTTTCTCTAGCCCAGTCGACTCTGCTTGTCGACATCCACATGTAACTTTCAGGGTGCAGGTTGTGTCCAGAGGACGCCTCCTCTGAGGGGATTTCCCTGACTTCCCAGTTGGACTTAATCCCCCTTCCTCCGTGCTCCCCCAGCATTTCCGCAGAGCTCTGTGAGTGCTTAACTCACTTCTCCATGCATTGGAGTCAGCTATTTAAATCTCTCTCTCCTCCACTGGGTCACCTAATACATGACAAGGAGGTCTTAGTCGTCACTGCATCCCCCACAGCACATACTAGGTTCCCAAGAGTTGTCTGCTGAATCGGCCTGATTTTGTCGAAATGGTGCAGCAGTGAAATGGTGACCTGTCCCCTGAGGGGTCATCTCGTGGGTCAGTGCTTGTCAGGACCTCAGGAGTCAGGCTTGACTGAGAACGCCCAGAGTGCAGCAGGGAAGGACAGTTCACTGGAGACCTGCAAGAGTCGTGTTCTGCCCTCCCTCTGCCTCCTGTTCCCTCCCTCCAGAGAAGGCCCTTGCTTGAGATTGCTCTTCCCATCGTTAGCTGTGTTTGTGGAGAGTTCCCCAGCTGCAGCTTCCTTTGGTCTTCTCTGTCTTCCATGGTTTGTTGATTTACTTCCCTGTCAGTCTCTTTCTCTGGCTGTGGTTGTAAATAGAGCTGGTGACTGTAAGCTCCGCCCTGCGCAGTGAACCTGCCTCATGTGCATGGCAGGTCCAGGAGACTGTGGGATCCATGTGAAGGGTCACCTCTCCACTCCAAAGCTGCTCTGGGCTCTGGCCCAAGCTGTCCAAGAGGTTTTGTCCTGACTCTCCAAATGGACCTTTACAGACAGAAGCGTCACATTCTCCCCATTTCTCCATGATGCTTCCTCTTGCTCCTGTTCTTGCCACCACCACCCTCTGGCCACAGGATGGGCAGGTGGTCGAGGGGACAGTCAGGCTTGTTTGCAGCAGAGGGTGACAAATGACACAGAACATTTCATGCATTACACTCTTTCATGTCTAATTTTTTTTTTTTTTTTGCCTCTTTGAGAAAGTTGGAGCTGTGCGTGATATAAATTGCCTTAGCCATTGCTGAAATCCTAAGCAAAAGTGGCCTTGTTGGTTAGGAAAGGAGAGCGACAACCTTGAAGCCAGGCCAGGAATATGGGGCTTTATCTTTCCCCCTTCGCCATCTCTCATAAAGCAACCACTTTCACCTTGGAATGTTTTGAGCAAAAGCAGGTTATCCTTTCTCCCACAAGCCAGTTACCCCGTTTCGCCTCCTTGTGTCCCAGGTGATCTCTTCCCTCCCTCACCTTCCCCTCTGCCATCCCCTCTGAACTCTGCCTCTCCCTGAATTCTGGAGAGCCACCAGCCCCTCGGAGGCAGCTGTCTGTGAGCGAGCTGGGAGCGGGAGAGCCACACAGGCAGTGCCATCCTGCTGGAGCCTGCGGTCCTCCCCCGACTCTGCGTGGCAGTGCGCATCATCTGTCAGAGTGCCCCTCTCCCCTCCCTCTGCTTCCCCACCCCCTCCCCTGCCGCTCACTCGCTCTTTCCCTTTTCATGAGATGCAGAGCCTGGAGAGGAGCGGAGCCGGCAGGAGCAGCATGTTGCAGCCGCTATTCTAGGGGCGCTGGGTGAAGTGGGCTGCCCTCTGCCACCCTCTCCCAGGTGCCAGGAGGAGGTGGCTGACTCTATCACTCAGGGCCTCACCGAACCATGCCCAGCTGGGGCCCGCACCAGCCACACCTTCCCAGCTGCGCTGCCCACCGCCAGGCAGGTAAGAAAGAGCAGCTGCTTCCATCAGGGCCTGAGTGGGTCCCTGGGCAGGTCAGCCCAGGCTATAAGTCTTGCTGAGAGGTGCAGGGCACTGCAGGGCAGAAAAGGTTCTGGCCTCCTGTCATTGTCCCCATTTACTCTCTGACTCCTCAGAGCTATTAAGCCCGCCACCTCCGCCAGGAGCAAGGGTGTAGAAATATGCCTGTTCTTCCCAGTTAGCAGGTGCTAAGCCTCAAATGTCCTTTGTGTTCTCCATCCTCCTTCCTCAACCCTAACTCCTCAGGTCCCCTAACACCTGCTTTCTCCTCAAAGGTGATCCTGTTTCTTCCCTCAGCTCCCTTAGGGGGCTCTGAAAATATTGTAGGTTGATATCTGGACGATAACACTGTCTCTTTATTTTTAGTTTCATTCATGTCTTTTTCTGCTGTTGTTTTAAATGGGTTGCTTGCACAGCAGTCTGGCAGCACACAGAATCTGTTTTGTTTCCAGTACATGTGCAGGTCTTTGGTGTTGCTGGTGACTAACGTTGGTCACACATTCCGATGCAGAAGAACTCACAATCACAATGAGTTGGAGGGAGATTAAAATTGGAGGTCACCAATTTCTAAGCAGTGAGTTGAGGGCACGGTTGCCTCCTACAGGGACTGAAGAGTCCGTGGCATCAGCTAAATGGGTACTTCTCAGCACTGTCTAGTCAGTGACTTTTTTTTTTTTTTTTTTTTTTTGAGCACTGGGAAGAGGGTTGCTCTTCTCTTTCTGTGATAGAATGGTGACTCAATATCAACCTATTGTTGAACTACATACTGAGAACCTGGCTTGCAAGTGTTTGTAGGTCCTGACCTTGGGGTGCTTAGAGTCTAATGAAATAATGAAGGAAAGCTTACCCCATCCTGAAGTCTGGGTTAATTCTGGATTGTTTGTTCTTACAGATTTGAAGAACTTTAGAGTTTTCCTGGAAAATGGAGGAGGTGCTGGCAAGTGGGAGTGAGATAACTGTATTCATGAGATCATAGTAGTTCTTGGTTACAGTTAAAAGCTCTGAACATGCAACATGGTATTACGCTGATGATGGCTGTTATTATTTTGAGAATGAGAGTCCTGTGAGCAATCACTCCAGTAAACTAGTCTTTATTAACTGTTTGTTCTCCACCCATTCTTAGAGCAGGTTTCCTGAAAGAAGTGTGTGTTAGACTGGAAAGGTGATAAGTGAGTGGGCAGTAGAGTGTGTAGTGTGGCCCACATCTCACCATGGCCAGGTCAAGGTAAGCCTCCCTTGGGTATCACATCCTTCTAGCTTCTTCTTTGTTTAAAGATTTTTTCCACATAGTGTCTAACACAAAAAGGGATCTGAAAACTTGCTCTTATTCTTGTCCAGGTGAATGAAACATGCCAGTTAGGTGAAGGTCTTTCTCCCGTGGGTCAGTGAACTCTGACCTGGAGAACATGGTTCCTTAGTCACAACAGCCATGCCACTATAGCAAGGGGCTCTTAGAGGACAGAGCAAGAGTGTGGATGGACAGCTGAGCCAAACCCTCATCTTTCTGTTAAGAAAAACCCTCCAAGTGTGGATCTCAGCCATGGGTCAGCAGCAGCATGAGCTGAATAGGCAGAGTTGGGGTGGAAAAAGTACTGGAGGTCCTGGGTTCAAGTCTTCTTAGGGCCATTAATTGAATTACCCTGGGCCCTCCACTCAGGGCCACTGAGCAGCTTCATCTGTAAAATGAGTGATAACAAGTGTCTGGCTCACTTTCAAAGGAGCTTGTGAGGATCAGCTGAAAGGAATGATAGCTCCCAGTGGTCAAGATGTGCTGAACAACTTTGCCAGGTACTTGCCCACATGATGCTGTTTAATTCTCCCAACTTCCTAGAACAAATTGAGGCTCAAGGGGGGTAAAAAAAACTCGAGGAAGTTCAGCCAGAGAAGTGAAAGCACCTGTCCTTGTATCATCATCCCCATTTACTCTCTAACAGACCCTTCAGAACCTTTAAGCCCACCACTCTTGCCAGGAGCAAGGGTGCAGAAATATGCCTGTTCTTCCAACTTAGCAGGTGCTAAGCCTCAAATGTCCTTTTTGTTCTCCATCTTCCTTTCTCAATCCCAGCTCCAACTTGTGACTTGTGATTATAAGTAACAAAACTCACATTTGTATAGCACAACCCAGCTTGTGACTGCGCTATACAAATGTAAGTTTTGTTAATATAATGACTTTATGACTTAGAACAATTTTCCTGTCTATTCTATTCCAGGCTCTCTGTTTTATGCTTTCTGGTTTCTTCTTTGTCCAAACACCTACATTTCTAGAGATGTCAGAAATGCTTTCTTGCTTCCCCTCTGTGCCTGGGGGGTATTTTTCACGTCCAAGAAATATCAGCATCATCATCAGAACCTTTGCCAGTGTTCTCTGCATGGAATTGGTCAGTGTTCTCTGTATGGAATTTCCCAAAGGCTTTTGAATTCAGCAGTAAAAGGTTCTAGAAGGAAGAGGGTCTCAGAAAAGCTGAGTGGCTTAAGGTTGATTCCTCCCAGGGCCTTGTCTCTCAAGGAAAAGTGTCAGGGGGAATTTGCTCAGCATCTCCGTGCATCGGAGTGCACCCACACAGCCCTCGTCCCTCCTCCCGCCTCCAGCTCAGACATTAACGTGCACCAGCACATGCCCGCAAGCAAGGCGTCTCACTGAGTGCTCTCAGTTCCCAGTTCTGTGTGAATTTCGGAGCAAATACCAGTGGGAGAACTGTCCCCAGAGTCCCAGACTCCACTCCACTATTCCCTGCTGCTGTTGCTGTGGCCGAACCCCACTCCTGGGTCTGATGGCTGTGGATTCTCCTTGCTGCGTGATTCTAGGTGTCTGGCTAGAATGGAGCTAGGAGTGAGGACATGAAAGCCATTGCCTGAAGTCATTAAAAATGGAGGATTAGAAAGAGCTTATTTTATATTCAGAGAAGGGGGAGAGTGCTGAAGCTGCTCTCTGCCCACAGCTGTAGACTCTGATGGCAAATGGTAAAGCTTTTGTTACTATCTGAGAAGGGGAAGAGATTGATAACCAGCACCCTGGCACTGAGCGATAGGAGGGAAAGCCACATTTCAGTTGTGACAGGGTTTCATGCTTGCCTCTCAGCTCCATGGCTTTGAAAACTACATCCCTCTGCTTCTCCACCTTTGGCCCTCCTGTCCCATCCATGCAGCCTCCACACCTCTCCCCACTGGGTGTGGGGCTTCTGCCTTCTCGGACTCTGATGTTCTCCCTGTGACTCAATGTTTTCATAAGCCTAAGTGATTTACAGCCCATGTTTACTTATATATTTCACTGAATTCTTGCAGTAACACAGGAAGTGGGCATTGCCTTAGTAATTCTGATTTCAGAGATGAGAAGGCAAGGTCCTAAGCCAAGGAGAGCCTGCCATAAAGGGGCAGAGTTGGAGCTTGAACCCTTGTTGCTGACCCTGGAGCCTGTGCCACTCTGTGACTCCACACTGTCTCTGTTGGCCAGCATCCTACACCAAACACAGTTTCCTCACCTACCTGCTGGGGGGCTCGTGTCAGCTCAACATACATTAACTGAGCCTTTTCCTGTTGCCGGGGACCGTGCTACATTTTGGAGGTGTAGAGATGAAAAATACGTTTTTTACCTAGGCAATGTACATAGGGAATGTAATGTACCCATGCCTGGGACCTTGCTTGGCACATAGGAGACACTTAAATGTTAGTCAGATGAATGAATGAATGAATGAACCCATGCTTTCTGCCCTTGATGAACTTAGGATCTGGTTAGGAGAAGAGAGTTGCAGGTACCTAGCTATGCCAGGTGCTGACATAGAGAAGTGTGCCTGGAAGCCATAGGAGCACAGAGGGCATTTCCTGAACTTGGGTGTTCAGGTGAGGCTTTTGGAGAAGTCGTCCTGAAGTGCAGCTTGAGGATGAGCAGGACTCACTCAGATCAAGGACATTCTGGGCAGAGGAAATGAAATAAAGGAGGCCCAAAGCCATGGAACCCTGTGATATGTGCTCATGATTATGGAAAGTGTAGAGTTATTGGGGCCTGAAGGACAAGCCAGGGAAGTGGTAGGTGACTCTCAAGGTAGCCAGACCTTGGGGTGTTTGTGTATCAGGATCCTTCTTAAGCTGGAACTTTATCCCTAGAGTAGGAGGGCTTAAAGGTTTTGAGGAGAAGGAAATGCAGTCATGTTTGTGACTAACCAGGTGATTATGGCTGCAGATTGGAGCTGAATTTAAGAAAATAGGCTGTCTCATGGGGACCAGAGACTGTGAGGACGTGAACCAGGACCGTAAGGACATGAGCCAGAGCAGTGGTAGCGAGGATGGAGGGGAGGAGACAGATTTGAAAACTATGAAAGATTTAATCAGTATGATTTGGTAATTGGTTGTCGACAGGAGATGAGAGAAAGGGAGTTGCCTGTAATTACTTTCCTATTTCTGGCTTGAGTTACTCAGTAGATGGTGGTGCCAGAAACTGAGATCAGCAATTCCAGAGGAAGCCAAGGTTTATATGTGTGTGTAGGGGGTGCGGGTGGAGTGGGAGGTGGGCGTGGTGAGGGCGGCGGATAAAATGGGCCAAGAAAAGATGGGAATATGATGTGTCCATTATTTAGATATATTTGCAGTTGTTAGGCCTGTAGGATATCTGAGGGGTATGTTCAGCAACCCAAGGACTATCGGAGTCTACATGATTGGGAGCTATTGGTGTCTACATGATGGGAGAGGGGCTAGAGTTGGACAAAAATATTTAGAAATGGTCAATATACCCAATGTAGTTAGGACTATGGGCAAGGATGAGATTGCCCAAGTAGCATGCAAGGTGAGAGAGGCAGGAAGCTAAGATTAGAGAGGAAGGAAAATACCAGTGTTTATGGGGTGGACAGAGGAGGAGGAGCCAGCAAAGGAGACCAAGGGGAAGGGCAGCCAGGGGAGTGTAATGTTGGGAAGTCAAAAGAGAGAGATCCAAGAAATGAATGGTCACCATGGCAAAGGCAGCAAAGAGGTTCATAAAGACAAGTACTGGAACATTTCCACTTGAACCTCACAGTATGGAGGCTGTGTTTCGGGGGAATGGTGGGAATGGAAGCCAAATGGCAAAGGGGTTAGGAGGGGATAGGAAGTGAGGAAGCAGAGGAGACTCTTTCAAGCAGTTTTGCTGATAAAAGGAGAAACACCCAAGGGTGTTTCCCAAGGGGAATTTTTTTAAATAAAAGAGATGAACATTGTTTTTGTTAAGTGCAGAATAACATGTGAGAAAGAGAAAATAAAGATAGAGTTCATAAAGGAGGGTCCATGGGAAAGAATAGGTGGAAGGCCACAGGAGGAAGAATTCACCTTAAATAGACACATCTGAGGGCAGCTGGAAGGAGGTCAGGGTGTGTGTAATATGGATAGATTAGTAGGAGTTGTTAGTAAGTGAAAAGAGGTCCAGGTATTTCATACCTGAGGCCTTGATGATCTTGATGGGACAGGAGATCAGGTTGTGAGGGTGTGAAGAGTTGTGTATGTTGCATAAGCTCTCTCTCTCCACTCTACCTTCCTGCCCTTCAGCTGCCCTCACAGAAACTAGTTGGCCACTGGAAAGGTCATTTGTAAAACCTGAGTTCAGTGTTTAAGGCTGTGATCATAGTAGGAACAGAGAAGGGCTGTGGAGGTGAGCAAACAGGCCATCATTTCTCTCCTTGTCCAGTGTTAACATATGGCCCTGAATTCTGCCTGTATAGATGGGCAGCTCAGCAGTGGGAACAAAGGATGTGGCTGGATTCCATCCAGGAACTCTGAGTTGGAGTCCTGGCTATGCCTCTAAGAAATGTGACATTGGACAAAGTCTTCAAAGTTTAGTTTCTGTAGGTGATGTCTAGGAGTTATACCCACTCTAAACCTCTGTGAATTTTAGCACCTGCTCCCTAGGCATAAAATAATAGACTTTTCTTAAAATGGATTTATTCAAGGGGAGAAAAACTTACAATGGAAAATGTACAGAAAATCAAGTTCCATTCAAATAGTCTCCTCCTTCTGTATTTCAGTTTTCTTGTACTTTGTTGGCTTATTTTACTGAAGCCACACATTGTAGGCACAATTTCAAATATACACAAGTCAAGAGAACAGAACAATGAGTCCCTACGTACCTACCACCCAGCTTCCCACCCAAGATGATGTTGAAGCTGTTCATGATAGCATATCATTTCAACTATAAATATTTCAGAGTATACCTCTAAAAGATAAGGTCTCTTAAAAAAGCCTCAATATCAAAATTGCACTAAAAAATAACGATAATGTCTTAATACTATTAAATATCTAATCAGTGTTTAGATTTTCTCAATTGCACTGTATTATTTTTAAAATTTTACATTTGAATCAGGATTCAACACAAAGTCCATGTATTACATTTGGCTGAGGTGTTTCTTCAGCTTTATTTTTAACCCTGATGGCCATTGTCTGCGAGGCAGCACTGTGTAATCCTCTAACATCTCCTGATTTTGTTTCATTTCCTTTGCTGTTGCTATACCATTTCATTTGAGGAGACCTAAGGAAGAATCGCAGGCTTAGACACCAAAGCCTCCAAAATTTAACTTTGAAATTTCTTTCTAGACACACTTAGAAGGGGGAGTATAAAGTAGTGAATAAAGAAAAGAGGCTGGCAAGAGGAAAACCCTGCAGTGAGCAGTGAGGAGACAAATGAATGCTCAAGAGGAACAAAAGGAAATGAGAAAGGTAACAGAGACTTACGTAACCCCCAGCCACTGAGCAGCTGGAGAATCATTACAGATGTGCTATCTTATACATTTTTGTCTCACCTCGCTGAGCAGGTGGTAAAAAAGTGAAACTTTAAATAATGGCATTCTATTTATATAGCACCTTTCCCCAAACAGCTTATTAAATAGCTGAACAGACATCTAAGTAATCCTCTATGTAAAATGAGGAAGTAGTAGGAAATTTAATTACCATTTTACAGATGATAAAATATAGTTGAAAAGACTACGAATAATGATAAAAGTGGCTCACACAGAACAGCTATTTGCCGTTTGTCAAGAATTGTGATGAAGACTGCATTACATTATCTAATTCAATCCTTATAACGAGACTATGACATTGCTATTGTTATTATCTTCATTTTATCCATGATGAAAATGATACTCAGACAGGGCGAGTAGCTTGCCCACAGTTCTGGATCTGCCCTTAATCTGGAAAATTACGGAGTTGGGGTTGAAGCTCAGGGCTGTCAAATCCACCACACTTTCTTTTCCAGTCAGTCTAATCTCCACTAAATTAGGAAACTTTTTTTTTGTTTTTTTCATCTCCTTGCTCACTGGCAAAATTCCATTTAAAGGGAAGCCAAGATCATCTTCAAATATAATAATAGGGTGTGATGTACTGGAATTTACAGGGCATTTCCCCCATAGACTTTCTCATTTCTTTGCATATAATCGCCCTGAGAAATAGACCGGGCAGGTGTGTTAATTTGTGTTTTACAGATGAGGAAATTGAAGTTGAAATGTCTTGGTGATGTTCGTTGGTGGTCACAGAGCTAGTAGAAGTAGTTAGTGTCATGGAGCTAGTTAATTGCAGAGTTAGTACCAAAGGCCCTTTCTTCTGATTCCAAATCCTGTGCTTCTTGGTTTTCTTTGAAAACCTCATGGGCACACAGCTTCAGCTGCTGACTTTTCTCCATGTCCCCTCTGATGTTCCTTATGAGGAGTTGAGCAGCGTTATTACAAATTAAATATGTGGATGCTTGAACTGATGAACAGGAAATGAGGCTGCTAATGCTCAGAGGAATGAGATAGAGGTGCATTTTTTAAAGTAGAATTTTGGGCCAAGTGACCTCCTTCTGTCCTGCCCTTCCATGTGTCCTTCCGGTTTCCATGGAAACCCTAAATCAATGCAGCATATGTTGATTCATGTTTCTACTGTTACTAGGAAGCTACGAAGTGGAAATTGCTTTTAAAAGATTTACGGAAGAGCTTTAGCATGCTGACCAGAATTCAAATCTAATATCCAAATGACTGTTTTATTAAAAGCTTTAAATGTGGTATTATCCTAGGTGGTATGTTGATTACATAAACACACAGGGGCATTTGGCAATAAACCTCCTCCACTCTCGTGGCTTTTTAAAATATTATATTGCAAATTTAAACTCCCTTTATCTTCAATTTAATTACATTCTCATGGCCTGTGTGACAATGCCAGGTGCTCCTTTTGCTCTTGATGAATTCCACACTGCCCTGACCAGGCTATTGGGTTAGTTTGCAAATGCCTTATGTACCTGTGCAGCTGACCCTGAGTGTCATTAGCATTCTGTTGACTTCAGTCTTGACCAGAAGGCTGCAGAAGTCTAACATGTTTCTACCATAAAGAATCCTCGGCGATTTTTCAGATTTTTTTTTCACGAACTCAAAATCAAATTTAGCCGACATTTACTCAACACCTGCTCTCTGTGAGTTAATGAGAATTAATAGTAAGGAGAGTAAGTAAAAGAGTCTGTCTTTTTGGAGCACACAGTCAGTTGAGAGGCTCAGAAAATATAAATCTTAAGAATAAACTATGCCTGTGATGTGGGCTGTCAGAGGGCCTTACAGCAAGGTGGTGCTATTGGGATGGAGGGGGTTCCTTCTGATTGGGAGAATTCTGAAAAAGGTTTGGAAAGGAGAATTTTTAGCTTGAGGTAATGGGTTTAGGGAAGAAGCTGAGAGTTAATAGGCAGATCAAGGGTGGGGACATTCCGGGCAGAAGGGACAGCAGAGGAATCATGCATGTGTGTGGGATAGAAAACCTGGATAGGCAAACGGGACAAACTCATTGTCAGGCAGGACAAGGAGGTGCAATGGAGCCCATCAAAGATGATTGCACAGATGATCCACTTTATGGTATCTGTTCAGTGGTACTCTGGTGGTAGTGTAGTGTGCAAGAAGGTTTGTGGGTGGGCAGAGAAAGAAATGAGGGCAGGGAGATCAGTTATTTAAGAGAGGGCAGGAGGTTGTGCAGGTGCTGGGGGTTGAATAACCTCTCATATGGCAGCATCAATGGATGGGAGGAAATGAAGTTGAGAAATACTTCAAAAATATGACAAGATTTAAAAACCAATTTAGGAAGGGAATGGAGAAAAAGAAGCCAGAAATGTCTGTACTTGTTGGGGTTAGGGTTAGGCTTAGGGTCCCTTGTGGGACTTGGGCAGAGTAATGTCACAAGTAAGCACAGGGAGCCCAGCAGGAATGGAGGATGGGGGAGAGTGATTGTTTAGAGACAGTATAGCATGCAGGGTCTGTTTAGAGAAGAGTATAGTGTGCAGGGTCTGAGATGTGAGGAACTGTCCAGCAAACCTCTGGAAAAGCGGCCTAGAGCTGAAGAGGCAAGATTGAAGCACTGATTCTGGAGAGGAGTGGTGGGTGCCTGGAGAGGGCAGGGCTTCCCAAGAGGAGTGAGTATAGACTGGGAAGTTCAGAGGCGGGCAGGACAGCCCAGAGGCAGGAGCAGGGCTTGCAATCACTGTGTTCCTGTAAGAAACGTGAGTTGTGGCCAGTTGAGATGTCCTGTGCCAACTGCAGCTAGCAAGTCAGGAGCAGTAGCTGGAAAAGAACCCAGAGCTCTACATTCCTGGGCCAGAGCTCTAAGCCTGGGGAATGTAGAGTCCAAGGTGATGAATTCCTTTCTCACGAGCACTTAACTCTGCTTGCCTTTTCTGTTTATTTGTTTCAGGAAAGAAGACGATGCTAGAATGCTTTACTTTAGGTTCAGCTTAATTCTCCTCCCTGAAATTATGCCCTGGCCTCTTTGGAAGATTATGCTGGTGTCCTCTTGTAAGCGGGGCCTGCACTACGTCTGTACTTCTCAAACTATGGTCCTCTGTGATTACTTTTTGGCATTTAGGAGTGTTTTGATTAGAAAAAAAAAGCTTGGACTAGTTTTAATGTTCCGTTTCCTTGTGTTATTCATGTCCACACACTTTTGTCCCTCTGCTCTTTATATTCCTGTTCTTTCTTTTACATTTTTCTTGTTTACTATAGCTCTTTTTAAACATTGGACTTATTGACTTCTTGTGACTATATTATTTTCCCAAAGGCTAATTGAAGATTCTGATGCCTGGTTAATATTGATTAGCTTCCACTTGCGACTCAGGCCCATTTGCAGCCCTGCTCTCTTTCCTTGGGGCCTTTACCCCGTGGACACTGGCCGGGGCAGCGTGAGATTTGGAGGAGGCCTTTGTTCCGCTGTTTTAGTGCTGGTAGAAAGTGTCCTATGATGGCACTACCTTTGTGTTAAAGCAAGGAGTAGAGCAGAGGCTGGAAGCATCAGGTTTGGTGCTAGATACCAGCTCTGCCACTTTTAAATGACGCGTCTCTGTTTCTCCATCTGTAAAAGGGAGATGATAAAGGTGTTGGCTTTGTAAATTTGTTCTGAAAATTAAATAGATAACTCAAATACGATGTTTGGCATAGTGTCTGGCACATACTAACTGCTCATTAAACATTAGCTATGTGGATTCACCTTATTCTATAAACATATCTTGAATTAGGGGAGTGCTTATCAATGGGCTTTTATTCACCAGTTTATCTGTGTACAAGTTTCTTATGGTGCCGTGTACCAAGAAAATGTCCAGAAATGAAGGGTTCTCTTTCTGCTTAAGTTCTAAACCCCAATTAGCAACAGGGTTCAAGAAAGGGGTAATAAGAAATGAGAAACTTTTCTTTTGCATCTTATTTTATAACACAAAGTTCCCTTTCTTTAATAGAGGGGCACTGTGGACGATATCAGAAAGAGACAATGAGTCACTGTGGAGGCAGCATCAGAATTTTTATTTCATCTTATCAACAGACAATGAGTAGTTGTGGCAGAATCATTTCACCGAGAGAATTCAGGTTATGCACCAATAGATCTGCCCAGAAAGACTGGGTCCTGGTATGATATAGTAGAAAGAGCTCTGCTGTTAGAGTCATAAGACTCAAATTCTGGTCCTTGTGCCTCCTCTGGCATGTTGGGTTGCTTTGATAAAGGTACATCACCTTTTCTGGCCTCAGTTTTTTCATCTGTAACATGGGAATAATAATACCCTCTCTGACTGTGGCATAGGATTGTTGAGTGACAATACATGAAAATGCTTTATACATTTAAAAAGGTTTAAAAAATCGAATTCATTTCCATTATTATAAAGCCATCACTTTCTGTCGAGATTTCTCCTGCCTTCTGGGTTTCAGAAACGGTTTGCAGCAAAGGCTATGTGTCTTTGGAGCTAGTTCCTGAGTGGGAGTGTAGACTCAACCTTAGGGACCTAGAGCATAACGAGAAGACAAGCTTTCTCCCAGGGCAGCGGTTTGCAAACTTTAGCATGCATCACAGTCACCTGGAAGGCTGATTACTGTCCCCAGAGTTTCTGATTCTGTAGGTCTAGGGGTGGGGCCTGAACATTTGCATTTCTGATACTTCTCAGGTGATGCTGACACTGCTGGTTCAGGGACCACGCTTGGAGAACCACTACACTAGGGCAAGCAGGAAGAGAGTCCTCCTTCTGGAACTGAAGCAGGCAGTGTGAAGACCCATGTGGGTAAGGAGGTTTGAAAGAAGAAAGAAATGGAAAAGACAGAAAAATAGGGATCATGTGCAGATCGGGCAGAACAAAAGGAAAAGTCTCACTCCATAACAAATGCAAGTAGGGGGAAGTTGCTAGGTGATGGATGAGGGAGAGAGGTGAGTTTCTACTGTAGGAAAAACCAGGTGAGAGGCAGGAGCACAGAGTTGGAAATATGCATGTTTGGGAAGGCAGAGGAGGTGGAAATTTCTCATTAAGAAGTGGGGAGTGGTGTGGTTGGCACTGGTTAGGGTGGGAGTGGAGATGAGCTGGGGGAGAAATGCCTCTGTAGAGTAAGGGGCACAGCTGAGATGTGGCAGAGAGGGCTAATTTCAGGGCTGTGTGGTTTGGCTTGGTAGTGCAGCACAATAGAAATTGAGAGAAAGGGGGTGGAATTTAGATGTGTGACCTGCCCTGTAGCTTTCTTGCTCTCTGCATTTATCACATCACATCACACCCAGCAAGACAGCCCCCCTCCTCCTGGCTCATTAGGAGATTTGATTTGGAGTGGCTCCTGCTGTCAGCAGCTGTCTGGGGCAAGATCTTTACGCTCCCCACTCCCGGTGCAGCAGCCAACCTTCAGCCAGCAGCGGGGCTCATTAGAAGAGGGTCCCCTGGACACTTGATTTTTAGCTCACTGGTGACTGGAAAGAGTTAATACCTATTCTTTGCTGCCCCCCGCACAGCCTCTGGGTGCAGAGGGAGGCAGCTGTGGGCTGTGGGGACTTCTCCCTGAGCTGCAGCCAGAGGAGCTTCAGGTTAGTGAGGCTGAGCTCAGCTCAGGGGCACCTTCTGCATCCTGCCAATGAGGATGGGCGTGCAGACTGTGCCCGGGAGCTGAGCCGCCGCCCGCTGGGTGTAGGCTGCTTCAGTATTTACTGGATGTGACAAGCAGAGAGAAGAGCTTTCAGTGGGGCCGCTTGCTGCCTGGCTCAAGTGGTGGGAGGTGTGTTGTGCATGCCTGTGTGTGTATATGTGTGTGTGTGCCCCTATGTGTTCATGCACACATGCCCTTCACTCGCCGAGGATTTGACTGCTAAAAGAAAGATCTACTTTTTCCCCAGAACACCTTAACCCGAAGCCTCTCTGACCATCCAGTTGGCAAAGACCCTCAGGCCATGAGGACTGGCCAAAGACAGTGAGTATTGCCTTTGCTTTTCTCTTTCTTCTCCGGGGTGTCTGTGTGCACCGATTGCATTATCCATATTTAATTAACTTGCCTCTTCATGCATATTGATTGCTTTCTTCCCTCGGAGGCTCTAGTTTCTCTCCCCCTCTTTGTAAATCTTTGTTCTTTGCTTTTAACTTTCATTTTTTCTTTGAGTATCCTGTCTTCCCATTATGTCTCATCCTGTCTGCCCCAGACACACCTGTGACTTGATGCCCACCTATGAGGGCACATGCACTGTGGGGGCAATCAGATCTTTGAACTTCCTGGGCTTTGGGTAACTCCTAACTCTCAGAAGTCCAGGGCCAAATGGGATAAAAGCCCTGAGGTGCTGGGATGGGTAAGGCAGCTGGGTCAGAGTGTCCTGCTGATTCTTATTTATTGGCATCTGTGGTTGAGAGCATCAAATGGGTAGTGGAGGGTCTGAGCAGCAATTTGGGCAGCGCTGGATTTGAAGGAGAGAGACAGGCAACTGAACAGCATGGGCAAGCCAGTGTGGGCTGGCAGTGGAATGGGAAGAGAGACAAGGCGGGGACAGAAGGGTGGGTGATCCCCTGCCCCAAATGACCTTGCCTGCAATGTAGGTGGGTAGTCGTCTCTGGTTCCACTTGGCTCTAGGATAATAAAGGTCCCTGCATGAGTTTCCCCTTCCCCTGGGGCCATATCCCACAGCAAGAGGCCTAGGTGCCCCAAACATGACTTCTAGGGACCGGCACAGCTGCAAAAGCTTTGATTTCATGACTTCTGAGGAAGCAAGTGTAAGCCTGGTTAGGAGAAAGATTAAGGAAATGTCCCTGCAGCCAGGGAACACAATCCGTGACAATGGACCTTCATACACAGTCTAACTAATTTTTTTTTCTAGTTTTAACAAAGCAATCTTTTAATTTTATTAATTATAGTATTATTAAAGAAGCTATTTTTAAAAAGTACTTGTGAAATAGTCGCGGTAATATAAAAATAATTTAAATGGTGTAGCTCACATAGGAGTCTTATCTATCTAAATTAGGTTCCTTTTAAAATGGGTTCTATGTTTGATGTCAGAGTCCCCCAGGGGAGCCCTTTATGGATAGGCTGCTCTCCTCACGTGTTTCTTCCTATCAGAGGTCTTCTGTGGGAACAAAGGGTTTGAAGCACTGAGAATGGGACCCTCAGGAGAGGAAGACTGTAAGTCAATCAGCTTTCAACCTCAATGACCCCTGTCTTCCCACACTCATGTCCTTCCTGCTTCGCGTCAAGAATAGGCCAGGCCCCAGGCTGAGGAAGGTCATGTAGGCTCCATATGGGCAAGAAAGGGTAACTTGCATATTCGTTTCTTCAGCCTGCACCTGTGATCCCTGCAGAGGAGCAAGCCTGTGTGGTGATGGTGCCTGACAAGCCTCTCTTGGAGTTCCTCCAACCTCCCTCCCACTCCCACTTTCCCGAGTCTCCACGCACTCCCACCTGGGACAGGTTCACTTGGAGGGAGGCGAGAATCAGAGCAGCATCCAATCAGATTATTTTGGAGCAAGTGCCGACCCCCTCCTCCAATCCCGCTTGCTGGTCACTTGGGCCCCACTTTAGTAAGAGAAAGAGAGCAGTAATTTTTGGTTTGCTAGGCCCACGCCTCCCCTGAGGCACACGTTCCACTTTATATTTGATGGCCAGTGGTTGGGGAATCAGGAACTCCTAACCAATAATCAACAACATGAAGCCACCAACAATTTGTTCTTGTCCATCCTTGGTTTGTCGCCCCTGCTAAGGACAAGTGGACATTTGTGGGGCTGGGGGGATGTGTGTGGGGAGGTGTTCCGCTGGCGGAAACCCGTCTGAGAGGAAATGTAGTGCAGTCAGATGAGAGAGGGTGGCCCCTCTTACAGCAGATTCTTTGATTTTAGGTGAGAGGACGTGCAAGGGTAAATTCCTGAGCCCCGCAGTCTTATTTCCTGCCCTGACGTCCCTGCATACCAGCCCAAGGGTTAACCGTAAGCTGATGCCTGTATGGCGGCCTTACTGATGCCACGCAGGTAATGAATCAATGGCCTGTTTTCTTGCCCCTGACCCTTTCCTCTTTTCTCCACCTTGTCACACCCTCTGTTATTTGAGTCTGGCCCAAGCCTTCTGAGCCCATGCGTGGTCTACTTTCATCTGTCCCCATAGGCCTCCTGTGTGAACTGCACGGTTCTTGTCTGTATGCCTCTTGCAAAGTTGTGGCCTTGCAAGCAGGACCTGCCTTAGCTGAAGCCCTCCCATTGACTGGTGAGACAGCTTGGCAGTGACTTGTGGGGTGGGATGAGGGACTGTGCATGAGCTTGTATGGAACAATTTAGGGATCTCTGTGAGTTACTGGGATGGGGCTGTAGAAAGGAGAAAGATGAGGGAAAGCCTCGTTATTTTTAAAAAAGTATCCTTAACCTTTGACTCCTACTTCTACCCTCATTATTTCAGACCTAGCTAAGAAGATTATAATTGAGGTCTTAGCTAGAAAGATGAAAAATAAAAACCATTTTGTCCCAAAGAATATTTTGTTGAAGATTTTTGCAAACTATTTGGGAGAATCACAGTTGTCTTGGTAACAAGTAGCATCCTTTACACTGGTCCCTGCTAAACCTTGTTAAATGGCTTGCGTGGATTTGTGATTTTTTGAAAGTCCTCTTGATTGCTCTTTGAGGGCAGTGACCTGAATGTTTTATGATTGATGATCCTGAGGCACAAGGAATGAACCAACTCACTGAAAGTTGGGCTTTGGTCTGTGGGGCAGCCTGAGCAGGACCTTAACTTGAATTCATGGAATGTGATGACTCGAGGGCCCTCAATCAGCTGCTCGCAAGGCGTGCTGTCAGACACCCTGCGATTTGCAAGCGCGAGTAGACACATAAGATGCCCGCTGTCGCAGGAGAGAGAATAGCAGTAGCCAATGTTTGGAAATGCCATGAAATAGATGGCTTCACAATGCGGCCTGGCTGAGATTCAAGGTGGGAGCAGGGGACGTGCAGGCCCAATTTTTTGCAGGAGAGAGGATATTTCTGGGAACTTGGATGTTCCAGCCCTAGGAGGCTCTTCAGAGATGTGCTGTGGAATACAAATGCTGTCCATCCCTGCCAAATATAATACCATCCCAGCAGAAATTTCTTGGATAAGATTTCTGTGAACAAAGACAATTACCAGGGATGAAAATCCATTTGAAGTAAAAGAGATTGAATTGGACGACCTCTAAGGTCTCTTCCCACCCCTAGGAAAAAGAGGAAAGAAAGCTAGCCAGAAGGACTCCTTTCAACATGCAGAATGGCATCTTCTAGGACTATTTCTGTGGCAAATTGTTGCAAATGTGCAAGCGGCACTTCCTTTTTCTAAGTCACTCTTAAGTCCTGATTTGATTATACTAAACCTGTCCCACTTACCTTTGCCCTCAACACAAGGAGTTGTCATAGTTAAAGGTGAGGGGTCAGCAAACTTATTCTGTCAAGGGCTAGAGAATAAATATTTTTGGGTTTGTGGGCCATATGGTCTGTGCTGCAACTACCCAACTCTGCCCTTGTAGTTGAAAGCAGCTTTAGACAATTCGTAAACAAATGGTGTGGTTGTGTTCCAATAAAGTTTTATTTACACAGACAGGCACCTTTTCAGGGCTATAGTTTGTCAACCTCCGATTAAAGGTTAGCAGAGGCTAGCTGGGCGTGGTGGCTTGGGCCTGTAATCCCGGCTACTCAGGAGGCTGAGGCAGGAAGATCACTTGAGGCCAGGAGCTTGAGACCAGCCTGGGTAATATAGCAAGACCGTTTCTCTAAAAAAAAAAAAATTAAACATATTAAAGAAAGGTAAAGTGGTAAACGGAGACTAATGTTGGGAGTCAGAAAGAGACATTAGAGTAACTTCTCACTGGATCTGTTATAAGAGATAACTATTTAAGTGCCTGATGTCATTATATAGGTCCTTTGGAAAATAAAACATATGAGAAATGTAAACATACATGTTAAAAATTTAATTATGCTTATTGAGATAAGCCAAAATGTAAATAGGAATACATGAGCTTAGTTAGGCAAGCATAAGAACTGACAAAGGGGACATTGGTTCTTAATTGCTGATTGTACCAATTACTCTTCTCCCCCTACAGGCATCAATCCTATGGGTTGACTATAGCTAGATTTGTGGGATGAGTGGGGAGAACTTGAGTTGGAACTGGCCTGCCTTGAGGCCCCCTGCTTTGTGCTTAAGACTCTGATATGCACCCTGCACCCTGCAAACATCCCTCTGCTCCTGGTGTTGGTACCCCTTCTGGGTCTTTGCAATCAGGAGCTGCTGCTGCTGCTGTTACTTTGCCCTCCTTGTGGAAAAGCAAAATGTGGATTGTTATTTTGTTGTCACTGTATTTTCTTTCCCTACAGAGAATCCTAATTTAGAAATTCTTCCAAGCTAATGACCTTCATTGACTTACCGTCAACTTGCTGTGTCAGCTTTGAAAAGCATTAAGCCTCTAGGGGGTCGGTTAGGGTACCTATTCAGGTAGTTATTGATTCTCTAGGTGGTCTCTTCCTGTTCATGAAGTCTTCAGAGACCACCTGGGGAAGGGTGGGGGCAGTGCTGGCTCCCGTAGCAGCAGCTCCAGGGGCCCTGTATAGAGCTGACAGCTGTGATCATGAGAGTTTCCCCGTCCTTCTGCCCCTGTGCTTGTTGCAGGAACAAAGGGATGAGGACTCGACTGGGATGCCTGTCTCACAAGTCAGACTCGTGTAGTGATTTCACAGCTATTCTTCCAGACAAACCCAACCGCGCTCTCAAGTGAGTAGTACGGCCACGTGCCATTCCCTGGGTAATACAGCAAGTCATATAGCTCACTTCTTTAGTGAGATGCTGACCAGATGAGCCACTGGAAAAATCCTGTCTCTTGGCAGCTCCTTTTATATCCCTGGACGTGAGTGAAAGGAATGTTTATTTTCCTTTTCAAAACGTATAGCTTAGTGATCTCAGAATGGGAATCCTCTTTTTTTTTTTTTTCCTAAGTAAGCCATATCATCCATCTCTCATAAAACTGTGGGTGGCAAAGGATACTTCTTGGTTCTACTTAGTTGTCAATCTGAGCTCTCAATTTGGAAATAACTGTTCAAATTTACTCTAAAAATATGCTTAGATTCAAGTAACCTGAATTCAGCACCTCTTCTGTGCTGGTGCTGTATTAAATATCATAGATGTTACCTTGTGTGACCCTCACACAACTATGTAATGGGCATCATTATCCCCATTTCAGAAGTGCAGACATTTAGGTGACAGTAGGAATGGAGTCAGGAGCTGAGTCTAACTTTTCTGGCTCTAAGACCAGTTTCTTTCCATTGTTACCTCGATACCTTTAAATCATGTACTTACTTAGCTTTGTTCTTTAGACTAAAAGCCAACAGACAAAATTCACTGAATTTCAGTCTTGAGGTTTTTTTTCATCAGTTACTTAAGAATGTACAAATTTACAGTGACAGAATTGCAGGAATCCAGGTATAGTCTTCATTTGCTCCCTGCACCCTTCCCCACATTTTTCCAATTTGTTTTCTTGAGCAAATCTTAGCGGTTGTTGAGGGCAAGGAGGTTATTTCAGAAACATTCAAGACAGATGTTTCTTTTTTTCTAGGAGATTATCGACAGAAGAAGCTACGAGGTGGGCAGATTCCTTTGATGTGCTTCTCTCTCATAAGTGTAAGTAGAATTCAGGTCGTATCATGACATGGCAAATCATCTATTTAGTGAGAGATGTACCAAAGGCCTGTGATGATCCAGGCAGGTATGTACTAGGTGTTCCAGACCTCTGTGGGCCCCGCTCTCACAGAGCCTCCTGCCTAGAGGAGCATATAGAAAAGAAAATGAATGATTTAAATGCAGTGAGATGAGGGCCTCCTTTTCTGTTTTCTGGGTTCAAAGTATGATCCCAAGAAGCCTTCGTATTCTCAGCAGTTTTAGCAAGAGAGAGTTTAGCTTAGGGGTTTGGAATGTTGGGCTCACTTGGGAATGAGAGAAGCTAGGTTCCAGCCAGATCTTGTTTGTAGAATTGAATGGCCTCCCCGCAAATTATGGGAGAGTCTTGGGCTATGCATCAGTCAAATGAATATTTTGTGCATTTTATTATTCACTTGAGTTGACAGTTTTTGAGTTTTATTGTTGCTTTTTGTTTTGAGGGTTTGCTATCCCAGCTGCATTTTACCCCTCAATTTCTTACTGAGTATACATTTTACTGGAATACAACTTCTGCTATCCTTCCTTTTCCATTTTTCTCTTCCTCATCTGTAATGCCTTTTGTTTCCCACAAAGGCAGAAATAGTTGTGCATATTGTGGTGTGGAGAGGGCAATTTGATATCAGCCAAACTTTTCATCTCTTGCTTTTTCTCATTATGTACAAGTTCAAATTAATGGGCTTTGAAACTAGTGGCATTTAATACCTGGGCAAGGCAGAGCAGGGTTGAGGAAGAGGGAGGGGTTTTGTGAAGAGAAAGAAGGCTTCAAATAGACATTTCCTGCTCCTCTTAAATATGTCGCAGTGATATTAGAAGCCCTAACTGATCTGGGAACAGAGGGCTGCTTTTAGTTTGGAGTAGGGTTTCCACTTAATTGGAGAAAATGGTTTGGTACAATTAAATGAAAGGCACTGGGTGGGAGTCAGACCTGCGTTCTTGATTTTGACTCAGCGTTGTTACTAAGTAGTTGGGTGGTCTTGACAGAAACTCTCAGTCTTGGATGTCTTTAGAAGTGATTTTGCTTTCAATTTGATGAGCAGTTCCCTCCAGCTATGCTGCTGATCTGGATAAACTAATTAATAAATACGTTTGAATAGATTTTAGAATGAAATGCAAAATCTAAGAATAAGTACATATTGTAGCAAGCAGTTTTGTGAGACAAACAGTCACTTTAGTATTCTGTGGATTGCACTTAGGAAGGAAAATAAGACAGCATAGATATAGCATATGTAACATATGGCTACACCCCAAACAGCAAGCTTATGTGATGAATTTGCCAAGGTAATGACAAATGTATAATAATATTTAGGATTTGCAGTAATGCTATTTTTTTTAATGAGGCTATTCTGACTTTTTTTCTGGAGTCACATTAGGCTAAACAAGTGTCACTACCAATGTACGCCTTCTTTTCTGGCTGGATTTCATTCAAGGTCATCTTGAAGTTTGGTTTCTATTTTAGCCTCACAACTGACTCACTTAGTTCAAGTCCCTGAGGCTGTTTCCTCATTCTAAAATAGTGATGGAGATGCTTGCTACCTGTCACTGAATATGAGAAATTTAATAAGAGGACACCTTTCGTTGATTTCGGCTTCTCTACTTAAAGGTTCTCTACTTAAAGGTATTTTGTAAGGATATGGTGGGTTTTTTTTTTAAATGATACTTTTATTTATCAAATGCAAAATAAATGTGCCTTGAGAATAATATTACAAATTTTGCTGCCAATTATTAATATTAAGCCATTATGGTCGGAGTTTATGGTGGTGAAATTAGTGATAGGAAGCTTAGGATATATTTAGATTGCTGCAGTAGCAAGACCTAGAAATGTAAGAGGTTTAATTTTATTTGTCTGATTTGATGACTTTTAAATCTGAAGACACTTGTTTCTACTTCTGTCAGGGATGCTTTTGGTTTTTGGGAATGCAATGACACTTTTCTGAGATGGAGACTCTGATAAGGAGTTACAAGCTGACAGGTGCAGTGGCTCAGACGTATAATTCCAGCATTTTAGAGGCTGAGGCAGGAGGATCACTTGAGGCCAGGGGTTCAAGGCCAGCCTGGGCAACATGGCAAGACCCCATCTCTAAAAAAATAATAATTCTAACAAATTATCTGGATGTGGTGGCATGTGCCTGTAGTCCCAGCTACCTAGGAGGCTGAAGTGGCAGGATCACTTGAGCTTAGGAGTTCAGGGCCAGCTTGGGAAACATAGTGAGACCCTGTCTGTACTAAAATAAAAAATTAGTGGAGTGCGATGGTGAATGTCTGCAGTCCTAGCTACTCGGGAGGCTGAGGCAGGAGGATTTTGCTGAAGCCCAGGAGGTTGAGGCTGCAGTGATCTGTGATCACACCACTATATTCCAGCCTGGGTGACGGAGTGAGACCCTGTTTCTTAAAAAACAAAACAACAAGCTGACACCAGATTGCTTCTTTGTAAAACTACTGCAGAAATAGGCTTTTTGAACTTTGAAGTTTTGTGATCCTTCCTGGAGTCTGATGTTCTGTTTATATTTCTGTTTAGTATAGAAGTAAAAAGCCAGTGGAGTGAATGTCTTCGAAAAGAAAGGGTCTTTATTCAGGAGTCACTGGTAGAATTTCAAGCTTTTAGAATTTGAACACGTACTCCCCTGTGAAGGCTATGGAGCAGTCAGCCCAGGTTATCTTGAAGGATGTTGACAACTTTCTGAAAGTCTAATTAATTTGAGTTGGTATTGTGACTCAATTAGGGCTGATTAAGCTTTTCCAAAGGGATTGCACGTGTGCTCGTCTCTTAGGAGGGGCAGTGTTGATCAGAGGTTTGTGGAGCTTGCAATTAAGACAATAACATGTCCTAAGAAGCAAAGAGTGAAGAATCCCTGAATGACTGGGCTCCAAAAAAAATGTTCAGGAGTCTAGAACCCACTCCCTGGTAATTCTCTACATGTAGGCAGCTGTCCCCCTTAAGATTTCTATTTCAGAAAACACAGATGATTATTTCCCCCCCTCCCCATTCTCAATCTACAGGACATCTTTGCCATCCCTGTTCCGTTGGGTGTTTTGGGCACTCATTTATGTTTAAAAAGATGTACCAAGTGCTCATGGTGTGCAAAATCTATGGTAAGCAGCTGGAGGAGGGGAAGCACAAAGATGAACAAGGCACAGTCCATCTCTGGTGGAGAATGCAGCCTCTGAGCGAACAGGCATGCATACCAATAACACAGGAAACAATGCAGTGTGCTGACTACACGCTGGGTGGCCTCAAGATTCCAAATAGAATCCTGACATCAGTGCTCCTCTTCAATTCCGTCTTGTCAATATTAGAAGACCTAACTGATCTGGGGGCAGAGGCTGCTTTTGGTTTACAGCATGGTTTCCACTTAATTGGGGAACATGCTTTTGGACAATTAAGCGAAGAGCATTGTCTGGTAGTCAGATCTGTGTTCTCGATT
Organism: Homo sapiens; assembly: GCF_000001405.40. Taxonomy (NCBI): domain Eukaryota; kingdom Metazoa; phylum Chordata; class Mammalia; order Primates; family Hominidae; genus Homo; species Homo sapiens. The sequence continues at coordinate 182,662,510 of NC_000001.11, read as the reverse complement.
TTGACCCAGCTCTATTACTGGATATCTGGATGATCGGGATAGGATCTCTCAATCTCTTAGAAATTCTGTTTCTTCATCTATACAATGAAGCATCTGGAGTAGGAGGAGGTGTCAGAAGCTGGATCCAGGATGCTCTCTGTAGCAAACAGAGAGGCTGGGCAATAACCAATCACCTTTGGCAGGTAGTTTGACTCAGCGCTGCCTGCAGGGTTATGTAAAATACTGCTTCAGAGCTGAAATGGCTCCAGCACCAGAAGAGGGACTATGGTGCCTGTGTTAAAAAGCTTCTCCTCTCCTTGGCTGAGCACCTCATAGGCTGAAATCTCAGGCAAAAGAAAGCAACTTTGCTATTTTTTAAACCTTAGAATTTAAAAAATCTGGAGGGCAAATGTTTGGAGCCATTTTATTTCCAATTATATTTGTTTACAAATGCCATACAAAGTGGAAGAAGCACCCATGGAGGTCCAGGAAGTAACCACTAGCTAAGCACTCTTAAAAACAAAAAAACAAACACTAACAAACGAACAAGGAAATTGAAATTGCTGATGGCTTCATTAAATAGGGAAGGATTTCTAATGTGCATTAATTTGTCATCTTTTTCCTTTTCACCAGTAACAATTAGGCTCCATGTCTGTGAGTTGTGCATGTAGTCTGGCCCCAAGAGTGTGTGTGTGTGTGTGTGTGTGTGTGTGTGTGTGTGTGAATGTGTGTACACTCAGGAGACTTTCTGCTCTGCAGCTCATACCCAAGAGAGCAAAGTTTCCTCATTTGTGGAAGATCTTTTCTGACAGGTCTCTGGGAAACAGGCATAAAATCATGTGTATTCTTCTTTATTTCTCACAAGATTCATGCAAACTTTTTTTATTTGTTTAGCTTTTAGTGGAACATTAAGTCCTGAACTCTGAGTTGGTGCTCCCTTCATCTCCTTCATTCTCTCTCTTTCTTTCCTTCCTCCCTTCCTCCCTCCCTTCCTTCCCTTATTTCTCCCTTCCTTCTTGCCTCCCTCTGTCCTTTGATACTTTTTGAACATAAAAAGTTAGATTTATTCCAGTTTTAAGGTGAAGGTGAAGGCAGGGTTCCCTCACCTTTCCTCTCACTTCTTATGTGTGACCACACAGCTGGGTGAATGAGCACCTCACCCCAGGCATTTATTTGGTGTTTAGCCTTGTTTTGCTGTTTGCACAGGGCATGGAGGGTCTCCCTGACCTATCCCACCAGGCCCAGGGAATGCTGGGTTAATGGATAGTACAGTTAAAAGCTCTTCTGCATTTGCAGAGCTGTTATCTATCTCTGAGAACAGGATACCCACAGAGAAACTTTTAGTTTTTAAAAATTAGCCCCTTTTGAGATAATGGTTGAGATATAAAAATATAATGACTGGAGCTGGTCACACAGCAACCAAGCAGAAGACCCCAAACAATCAAATAAACAAACATTAAAATTATCAATTCATGAAATTTCTTAAACTATTCATCTAAATGGCCTGTAGCTCTAGAACATACAGTTGAACAGTCAGGCTTCCATTCACTGCGCAGCCCTCCCCACATCCCTCTCCAAGCCAAAAGGTTCTAGAACAGCATTACTCCAAGTGGTGTCCAAGGGAGGCAGCACCAATATCTACTGGGAGCTTGTGAGAAATAAAAATCTGCGGGTCCTCTCAGACCTACTGAATCAGGATCCCTGGGGCTGGGGCCTGGGGATCTTTTTCTCACAAACCCTCCAGGAAGGTTTATGCACATCTCAGCTTGAGAAACCCTGTTCTCAAAGGCACATGAGTAAAACCAGGAGTCTGGAGCATCCTGGTGGGGCAGGTGGCCTGTGCTTTCCAAGAAACATACTAAAGACTGTATCTCGTATGGAAGCTTTCCAAAGTGCTCAGACAGCGCATCCCTAGCAGTACATTGTGAATCCCAGTTTCCACATATGTAGGGAGGAGGGTTCCACAGTAAATAAACAAATATGGCAGGTGTACTTTCTGGATATATTCAGGATAAGAGCTAGAAAAAGATGTGCAAAGTAGAAATGGGTGGAAAATAAATGTCTTTGCTTCCTTGCCATCATCTTCACATTGTTGTAGTTTGTACTTGGACCCAGAAATGTGGGTGCATTTGGTCTTTATTGAAGGAATGCCTGGAATATATTAGGCAACTATTAAAAGCCTGTTGAGAAAGGTATGAATGAAAACAACTGGACAGGCTTCTAACCCCTTCTGTCACTTACCAGCGATGTGACTGTATTCAGATTACTTAACCTCTGTGAACCTCACTTTCCTCATCTGTAGAAGGGGAATGATGAGGCTTACCTTGTACAGTTGTGAGAGTTCAGTGTGATCATGGTTCTGAAATGCTAATCATGATGACTTCTCCATAGAGGAACTCAATAAAAAATAACTATTCTAATTATTTTTGCTCTAACATAATATTAAATTCTTTGAGAAAACATGCATTTCATGCCTGTTATATGCCAGAGATGGTGTCAGCTTCTTGATCCCACAGGCAGCTTGAGTTTGTGGATTGGAGGTAGTATTAGAATTGCCAATAGGGTTTCTTTGAATCCCATAATACTTGTCCCCTTTGCCTCATGAGCTTTTGGCAGGCCCCCTTCAAACCTCCCCATGCATGTGAGGGAATTCCATTGAGGATGTAGTTTTTAAAAGCCCAGAAGGTAAATTTGATATATTCCCTTTTTTTTTTGTGAGTCCCTGCAGTATTTCTACATCAAACTAACTAGACCAATATTTCTGGATACTTGATTTTCAAAATCTTTTAGGCTATGGACTGGTGTTCATGAGGGTTTTCTTTCCAGGGGGCGGGGTACGGAGTCTCACTCTGTTGCCCAAGCTGGAGTGCAGTGGCACAATCTTGGCTCACTGCAACCTTTGCCTCCCGGGTTCAAGCGATTCTCCTGCCTCAGCCTCCTAAGTAGCTGGGATTAGAAGCGCCTGCCACCATGCCCAGCTAATTTTTGCATTTTTAGTAGAGACAAGGTTTCACCATGTTGGTCAGGCCAGTCTCAAACTCCTGACCTCGTGATCTGCCCGCTTCAGTCTCCCAAAATGCTGAGACTATAGGCGTGAGCCACCGCGCCCGGCTACATGTTTTATAATACTTCTCCTGTATTAAAGGATTCCTTCGTGAATGCTAAACCTTCACCCTGTTAGGGGGACACTTCTTTTGTCTACCCCTTAATGGAAATTTCTTGCTGATTTCTTATAATAGTTGCAGATACAGGCTCCACCTTGATTTTCTGGTTATCTAACTCAGCTTCTCCTTGATAAAATAGGAAAGAACATTGGAATAGGAGTTGTAAACCCAGGCTCTCCTTACTCTTCTGCTATCACATCCTAAGAATAAGAAGCCATGCAACCTCAGAGCTCACCATTTTTGTGTCCAGTGTAGGGTTTGATCATAGGCTCTCTCATGTCCTTTCTGGTGCAAAGACTTTAACAATCTTCAAGTCCTAATACAACTATAATAAATCATCTTGCTACATATATACTAATGAAGTAGAGATCATTGAAGAAAATTACGTTAATCACACTACTGAAGTATAATTAGCATATCAAATGGTTGCCAATAAAATGTCACAACTGGAAATAGTTTGTTCTCTACGTAATCTCTCTACATAAATATTACTTAGTCCCAGTTATTTTTAAAATTTTTTAGAGACAGGGTCTTGCTCTGTTGCCGGGGCTGGAGTGCAGTAGCATGATCATAGCTCACTGCAGCCCTGAACTCCTGGGCTCAAGAGATCCTCCTGCCTTGGCCTCCTGAATATTTGGAATTACAGGTGCAAACCACTGTGGCCACCTCCAGTTATTTGTTTAAAAACAATTTATTTCACAGATTTCACAAAAGAAGAGCTGTGATCCTGATGCTATTCTCATCATGAATTTCAAAGCAGTGATTTGTTTCTGGATCAAAGAAGTTTTGGCATCACTATTAGTATATGTATCCTGGATTTTAGAAATGTAATTTCCATTCTTTTCCTCTATCTGGTCTTGGAACCCATTCACCAGCTTATTTTCTCCAGTTGTTCGGGGATACAAGAGGACTCTGGTTTTTAGGACAGCATTTTCATAAATAGAGAACTTAAAATAAATTGTTTTTGTTGTTGTGCTCTTGTATTTTTCCAAGCCTGGGAACTGAGCTAGGCTCAAGCCCACCCTGATGCCAGCTACATCAGTGCTCCTGGGCCTTGAACTGTTACCTAAGCTCCACTCCCTGCTGTACCAGCTGCACTGCTCATTCATAGTGACCCAGTTTCCTTTCTTATGTAAGCATCCTCCATCAAATAACTAGAGGGAGAAAGCCAGCCACAGGCAGCATGCACAGCTGAGGTGTGTTCTTGGAGATTCTGTGGATGCTCAGGTAGATGCCAATATTCTGCTCACTGTTCCAAGAATTCTGGACACAAGCCTTTCCCTTTCTGTCACTAGATGTGTATCAATCTCAAAAAATTATAATTTTCTTAGCACCCTTGACTTCTTGAAGGGTCGTACAAAGAAAACCAAAGTGAAATAAAAATGAAATGACAAAACAGCAGGTCCTTCTGTCATTTCTCTTCCCATTTTCCCAAACTGTTCACCACCTCCTTGCCTTTCAGTTACTCAGGATTGTTTTGTATTGGGTATGTTATGTTCTGTATGATGACTCCTTAAGCCACTGAAGTACAAGGAATAATAGTCACTAACCTGGATTGAACAATCACTGTCTATGTGTCAGGCCTGCATGTTGTTTACATGTATGAACTTACCACATCCCAGAACCCTATGGAGCAGATGCTATTAGGACCTGCATCTTACAAGTGAGGGAACTGAGGCACAGAGATGTTAAGTCTCTTGCCCAAGCTCACACTTAGCTGGTGTGGGTTAGAGCCATGACAGAATCCCAGGTGGAACAGCTTCAGGGGTCAGAGAGTAGTCACTCTTTCCAACTGCCTGAGATCTGTTGGGGGAAACTGGGGCGGGGGGACTTCAGTTGCCTGGGCTTGGGGAGGGAGCAGGGTCTGGGGTGCATGGGGCCCCGGCAGAGGAAACACAGCTAATGCAAAGCATGTCACCCTGAGAGATGCTGGGAGACACGAATGAGCCTTTCAGAAATAAACCAGCATCCTGTATTTGGAACCAACTACAGTTCATGGACAAGCAGGAGGGTCCTGGTGGAGGGAAAGGGGAAAGATAGAGGAAGAGGACAAAAAGGAAAGAGAACAGGAGAACAGGGAGAGGGGCAGGGAAAGATGCTGAGGAGTCAGGGAAAGGAGCAGATGAAAAGCTCGCTGGGAGGAGGTGGGAGGTGGATGGAAGGGGAGAAACAGTGTGGAGCTGGCTCTATTCCACGCAGTAGGCTAGGATTTTACGCAGTTGTGTTTGGATTTGTTTGCTTGGTCACATAAGCAGGAAAGGTGGGCCAGGGGGGTGGGTGGGGGAACAAGTGGTCTGTCCACAGAAGCCCGCTGCTGCCATCTGCTCCAGGCAAGAGGAGGGGCTCCTGCAGCAGTGCCCTCTACCACCTTCTCCCTTCCATTATTCAGACTAAAGTATCTCTTTGTTCAGTGCAGGCTCTGGGAATATAAAAAGAGTTGGGGGAGATTGGGGCTGAGAGGGATAGGCATACAAAGTGGGTGAGCAGAGGAGGAGGGGTGAGGGCAGGTGCAGTCTGCACAAGCCTTTGTGATCTGTGTCTGTTGGGGTGTCTTTGCCACAATCTGTTCTCTGTTGCATCTCAGGTCCAGACCCTCCCAGGAAGGGCCCATGAGGGAGGGCCATTCTCCCCTCCTTTCCCATCTCTCAAGCACTTCCCTTGAAATTCCAGGCAACTTTCAAGTTTCTTTTGGTTTTCCTCTCACTCTTTCTGAGCCTGCCCTGGAAATGCAGGCCACCACATTTTGGGCTGAGGCTGCCTGAGAGAACATGGCATCTTTACAAGGCCACTCAGCTGTTCTTCGTTACAGCATCCCCTGGCCATGGTTGGGAAAGATGCCTTTCTGCTCACACTTCAGCTCTTTTGACAAGAAAAAGCCACCCCACCAGGCCATCAGTTTTGTGGGAGAGAAGAGACTTTAGGCAGGTTCCAAGTTATTGGTGGCACCTAACGGCCTCAGTTCTTACCACAGAGAAGGCGACAGCAGGTGTCCTTTTGGTGGAGAATCTCCAGGTCTGTGAGCTAAATGGTACACTTGCTGGGCTGTGGTATGTGTGTGGTGTGTTTGCCTGATTTGGGCTTACAGTCCGTCTCTCCTTTGGAGGCCTGCCAGCTGTCACCAGAGGAGAGAGGAGGGTGGCTCCGAAGTCACGCAGATGTGTGTGCAAAGTCACTTCTCACCTTTTACTGGCCAAGCGACTACAAAGTAACTCTCCATGTCTCACTTTCCTTATTTATAAAACACACTTTGCTAAGAGCTAACACTTATTGACTGCTTATAATGAACTATTAGGCACTTTTCCGTGGCTTGCCTCATTTAATCCTTATAACAGCCCAATTCAGTAAGTCCTGACATTATTCATTATTCCCATTTTAGAGATGAGAACGCTTGGGCTTGGAGATGTTAAGGCACTTTTCCAAGGTCATGCCAGGCTGTGTGACGCCAGAGCCTCTGTCTGCTTAGGAGCGTTGATGTAAGGATTGAGTTAATGTATATAAACTGGGCAGCACAGAACTCGGTGATGACACTGACATTGACATTGATGAGGAGAAGGATGGAATTGTGGAGCTGTGAAAATCAATCAGCTAAGAGCTGTGTCTGATACAGGCTAATTTAAGTTGCCATGAGGACACCGAACAGAGTGCTAACTCTACCTGGGAAAGCTCATCATATCCAACCCCCTTAGTTTACAGATGAGGATGCTGGGGCCTAGTGAAGTTGAGTGTGTTGTCCAAAGTCACACAGTTAATGATAGGGCTGATTTTGGTCAGAACTGGTGCTCCCAGCTGAGACTCGTGGAGCTTCTGCCTCAGCAGGCTGCCAGGTAATGAGAGCTGGCTATGAGTTCACCACACATCTCCAACTCCAAATCTCCATCCCTGCCGAGTCGGCCTTAACTGCTTATGGTGTAACTTAGTTGAATTCTCCTGCCTATGCGCACCCTGTTTCTATGTTGACATATGCTCAGATACCCCTCTGCCTTCCTCAGTGACTTTTCTTATTTTCTCTCCACCCCACCTGGAAATGTCACCATCTGTGGTGTCACTTGTGGCCTCCTTGTCTTGCCCTACAGTGGGAGTCCTCTCCTTCCACTTCAGTGGTCACTGGCACAGGCATCCCTCAGGTTACTGTCACACAGAGCTAGAGGCTAGTCCTTCTACATGCGTGAGAATGCTGGCTTTGCAGTTTAGCATCCTTGCCACTTACAGACTGTGACCTTGTGGAAGTTATTTGGCTTCTCTAAGCTTTGTTTTTTTCTCCTAAAAAGTGGTGAAAATATCAGGACCTAAGCTATAGATGTGCCATGAGAAGCCAGTACCATAAGATTCATAAACCACTAGGTGCGGTGCTGGGCCCAAAGTAAGTGTGCTATCAATGCTTGCTGATGTTACTTTAAAATTCTTTCTCTGGCTTCAACTTTTTTTTTTTAACTTCCTGCTTGTCTTTCTCCTCTTCCTCTATGTCCCAATTGCCACTTGCTAAATCCTTGCTATTCTCCAGGTTCAAGGATCATCTGCCAGCCTGGAACTGATGGGTTCTCTCTTTGAATAATAGATGCACCATCAAATTAAAAGTTCTTGCTCCCTTTTTGGTGCATTGTAACTCCTCCAGGAATCTAAGTTTAAGCCTTTACAATTGTATGACGGTTTTTTTTTTATCACATTCTTATTTACTTTTCCAAGGTCGCTGTTCCAAACCCTTCCCACTCTTAGAGTTCCCCACTATAGCCCACTCTGCATTTGTAATTACTCAATTGATTATTTTAAATTATCACTTAATGTCGGTTACACTAGACTAGCCTCTAAATTCTATGAGGTGGTGACTTTATCTCATGTGTTTGTGCCGTAGCCCCAAAACCTAGCACGTGGGTGCAGCCCACATTCACAGTGACCTTATCCCAAATTAATAACAAAGATTAAGGCTGTTTGACTTGACATATCACAAATATGTCCCTTTTCTTGCTGTTTTTCTCTATCTTCCTCTACCTCTTTCCTTTTTTCTTTGCCTTTGTCCTTAAGGAAAAGAAGTTCTTTCACTTTTTCTAGGTCTCTCTACTCTAAAATTTGCCTTCACCAAATACTATTCTTTTGCTTCTTTTAATCTCCCATTTTCAATACCCTTTCCCTTCTGTCTGCACACACATCTGGAGAGACCTTGCTTTGGAGTCATATGGACCTGGCTAGGAATCTTGGCCCTGCTCTTGCTGGTTGTGTAATTGGGCCATGTATTCCACTTCTCTAAGCTTTAGTTTCTTCCTGTGGAAAGTGGAGTGATATTATCTATGGATCAGCTTTGTGAAAATAAATTGAGCTAATGTTTTGTAAAGTCCTGAGCAAAAAGCACGGTGTATAGTAAATAAGTAAAATTCCTTGCCCCGCATCCTAAATAAATAAGTAAAAACAACACCCTACCTTTCCTAGGCGCTACCATCTTCTCCAGCTAACATGAGACAGACTTTCAAGTTCCTGCCTGAAATGAGAAACTTTCCTGCATTCATACATAGCTCCTCTTTTTGCTCCTCATCCTATTTCTTCTACCTTCCTGGGTGCAACATTTTGTCAGTTAGATTCTTTTCTTGAACTTCAGCTCCTGCTGCTCAACTGGTCTTTTCTGATCAGATCAACATTTACACATACCCAAGTCTATCTCTTTTATTTTTATTTTTTTATTTTTGAGACAGAGTCTGGCTCTGTTGCCCGGGCTGGAATGCAGTGGTGCGATCTTGGCTTACTGCAACCTCCACCTCCCAGATTCAAGCAATTCTCCTGCCTCAGCCTCCTGAGTAACTGGGATTACAGGCGCATGCCACTGCACCTGGCTAATTTTTGTATTTTTAGTAGAGATGGGGTTTCACCATGTTGGTCAGGCTGGTCTCGAACTCCTGACCTCATAATCTGCTCTCCTCGGCCTCCCAAAGTGCTGGGATTACAGGTGTGAGCAACTGCGCCTGGCCCTACCCAAGTCTATCTTAAAAAAAAAAAAAAATCTCTTTCCTCGCTTCATGTTTCCTTCCAGCTATGCTGTCTTATTTCTCTACTTTTTTCTCTACCAAATTTGTTGCAGGCATCATCTGAATGACTGTTTCCACTTCATTCAGTCTCATTCACCACCGTACGTACCATGGGACACCTAGAACCCCATCACACCATGAAAACTCTTCCTGCCAACGCTTGCTGAATCTACTGACTGCTTCTCAGACTGTATCTAGCTTGACCTCTGGGCAGCACTAGACACAGTGACCACTTCCTTCTTGAAATAATCTCTTCCTGGTCTTTTGTAGTGCTGCAAAATTCTTCTGTCTTTCTGGCTCTTTCACAGGCCTCTTGGTGTATGCTATCCTATAAGCAGGTCTAGTCATTTTCAGCTGTATTACTATTAAATGCTTGTCTTAATGAACTACTTCCAATTACTCAAGTAAACTTTCTTAATTCTAGGCCTTCATTCCTGTGGTTCCCTCTTGCTGAAATTCTCTTCTCCTTCCTCTCCTTCCTTCCCTTGCTTAGCTGCCCTCTCCTCTACCTCCCATGTCAGCTAAGAAGCCTCTTCCTCCCACAGCTCTTCCCTTCCCTCCTCAGGGCCGGCAAAGGCACCCCTCCTGGGTCCTTCATGACCCCTCTGCTTTCTCTATCATGTAACTTATCACACTACATCATAATCATCATCATTATGTTTTCTTGGCTCAAACTTCCCCTTGACGGCATGTTCTGTGAAGTCACGATTATATCTGCTTTTAGCACATAGCATAGCCTGAGTCACATAACAAGTGAATGAATGAATGAAGATGACATTATTGCTATGTTGGATTGAAGGTGAGTATACCTTATATGAAGTTTTCAATGCTACATATTGTTAGCTATGTGAAATCGGGCAAGTCACTTTTCTTAGCATTGGTTTCCTCATCTGTAAGATGAGAAGTAAAGCAAGGCTCCTGGGAGCACTTTGCAGAAGTTATCTCTACTCATCCGCACAAAGACCCAACAGAGCTGAAACCTGGATTTAAGGAGGTGATGCCTGTACCTCATCTAGCACAGGGCCAGACAGTTTCCTTAGCAAGGCTATCTTTACAAGTACCATGAAGGAAGGCAGAAAGATAATATTCTTTCCTTGTTCATAACTGCATTCACCTTGCTCATAAGCACCTGTTTCTGTTTGGTTAAAAATTAAAATCTGACACAAACAACCTTAAACTCTCCCATTAGAAGAATATAGTCTCTTCTGGTTTAAAACCAACAACAGGCTCTTCTGAGTTGCTTTTCCAAGTCACTTTCCAGTTATTCTTTTAGACAAATTCACAGTCTTTTAGGGCCCCCTCATTCTCCTCCTCATTCACTGAATACAGTGGAAAATGTGGTAAGATGGAGGCAGAGAGGGAACCTCTGGCCTACGGACCCTCAGGTCCTCCCTGTGTCCATTGATAGTGAAATCGTGGACTGGTCACTGCTCAGAGTCCCCCCCTTGCTAAACCAGCCCTTCACTTAGTTCTCAAGGGCACTGGGTCTCCTTCAAGGAGAAAACCTCCTCCAAGAGCACTGAGGCTTCCACAGCTCCAGCTGTTTTTCCCTCCAACCTCTGCCTGTAGCCTCTGCCTCAGGGGTCCCTCCTACAAGCAGTGGGGATCTCCTGGCAGGCAGGCTGGCTGTCTAATCCGAGTTCCCTCTAGAGTCTGTGGAGACTTCTGGATCTTCTCCATGGAGAGGACAGAGTGAGGGAGGGGTGACAGAGTTTCCTTGAGAGATTTCATGGGCAAGGATTTTATGATTTTGTTCTCTGACTTACTATGGTTCAACTTATGATTTTTCGACTTTAGGGTGGTGTGAAAGTGATATATATATTCAGTGGAAACAGTACTTCAAATTTTGCATTTGGATCTTTTCCCAGGCTAGCAATATGTGATGTGATACTCTCTTGCAATGCTGGGCCAAATAATCTAACACAATGTCTGTTTTATAATAAAGTGCTGAATAGCTCATGTAATTTACTAAATACTGTACCAAAAGTGTTCTGAGCACATTTAGGGTAGGCTCGGCTGAGCTGTGATGTTCAGTAGGTTAGGTTTATTAAGTGCATTTTTGACTCTTGGTATTTTCAATCTATGATGGGTTTTTCAGGACATACCTCCATCATAAGTTCAGAAGCATCTGTACTTTGTTACATTAGTAGTTGTTTTAAAAGACATGGCTGAATTGAACGAATGATTCTCAGTCCATCTCTGCCTAAACATTGCCGTGTCATTGTTTCATTTTGATTTTCAGTTTATCTCGGGTTTCTATTCCCTTCCTCCAGAGTTTTGAATCCAATGTAGGAATGGGAGCAGGAGGTGCCCTGAGCAGACCTCTCATTTGAGTCTAAATTACGTTACTCTCATCTTCTTTTTTGATACAGGAAAATTTTATTTTCCACCTGCCTGACAGGAAGTAACCTTACATTATATTCTACTTTCTCTATGCTTTGTGGTTTAGAGTTAAGGTAATCATGTGTCCTGGGTTTTGCCTGTGGTGGTCATGGTTTATAATTATTGTCTGCATGTAATTAACAGTAATGCAGCCTTCACTCTCAACATGACCTGACTTGGATAAGTCTCAACCTCTAGGGTTCAGGTGATCCTCCCACCTCAACTTCCCGAATCGCTGGACACATGCCACCACAGCTGGCTAATTTTTGTATTTTTTGTAGAGATAGGGTTTTGCCATGTTGCCCAGGCTGGTCTCGAACTCCTGGGCTCAAGCAGTCTGTTCACCTCAGCCTCCCAAATGTTGAGACTACAGGTATGAACAACTGCACCCGGCCATTCCTACTTTTTAAAATGACTTTAAGCTCAGGCTTCCAAACTTAAATCTCCTTGTGACTTCAAGCTTAGTGTTGGGAGTCACCCGGAAACCTTTCTCTTAAGTTCCTGGCTCTTGCAAGTAAAGATGTGGCTTTTTTGATACTGTTCTAGTATAGACATTAAAATATGTATTTTGAAAGACAAAGATATACAATGACTTTTTTATTCAGAGAAATGAAAACATTTCAAGAAAGTAAAAGTAAGCATTGAATATATCAACAGCATGGCACCAGCAATCCATCAAATGACCCTGGCCAGTGCACGGTCCTGGTGGATAGTGGTGGACGTCAGATGCCCAGGTCATCCTGTCACCTAGAATTAAGAGTTGTTGGCCGGGCGTGGTGGCTCACGCCTGTAATCCCAGCACTTTGGGAGGCCGAGGCGGGTGGATCACAAGGTCAAGAGATCAAGACCATCCTGGCCAACATGGTGAAACCCTGTCTCTATTAAAAGTACAAAAATTAGCGAGGCGTAGTGGCGCACGCCTGTAATCCCAGCTATTTGGGAGGCTGAGGCAGGAGAATTGCTTGAACCCGGGAGGCACAGGTTGCAGTGAGTCGGAACTGTGCCACTGCACTCCAGCGTGGCGACAGAGCAAGACTCCATGCCCCCCACCCAAAAAAAAAAAAAAAAAGAGTTGTTAACATTTTGTTCTTCTGGGGGATTTTAGAAAAGAAATAAAAGATTATTGCCGGGGTCTTTTATAACCAGTAGAACACTTCTTTATTCTAGGTTGTATGTGCCCTTCCCCTGAGGACAGTTTATAGAAAACTATAGCTGTTATTTGATTAAAGGGAGTGTGTTGAGGTTGAAATAACTAATAAAAAATATTTTTAAATAAAAACATTAACTGGATGCATAAGCTATCAATAAATGTGATTTCCCTTTCTAACTTGACATGGTAACCCTGCTCATCTTGTGTTGGTTGGAAGCACTGCTTGACAATATGTATGACATTGATTAATAAAAATGAAAAGCCATATTAATTTGTTAAATCACTTGGCAGAAAAATTATGATCAATCTTAATTAAAACATAATTTGATAGGCAATATCTTTTAAAATAAAGGACACATGGAATAAAAGGTCAAAATACAGCACCTCAAAGGTTTTTTTTAAAAGAGGCTTGCAACCCCGTCCAGGTAACAGAATGAAACTGCCGACTGCATTTCAGTGGGTAGTTTACTTTCAGATTTTTTTTGGTAGTAGCAAAGGATGAGACATTCACACTTCCCTCTAGTTCATCTTGTAACAAGTTGTGTGTTTCCTCAGGGTGGTTGACTTGGATTAGGTTAGAGAACAAATAATTTGACCAAATTATTAAATAGCAACATAGCTCACCAGTAGACCCAGGGGATAGAGACACCTGTGCCCCAAATATATTACTACAACTTCCTAAATGTGGCTTCGTAATATTACTATGACTCTATTTTTTTTTTATGAGACGTATTTTTGGTCTTGTCGCCCAGGCTGGAGTGTAGTGGCGTGATCTCGGCTCACTGCAACCTCTGACCCCCAGGTTCAAGCAATTCTCCCACCTCAGCTTCCCAAGTAGCTGGAATTACAAGCATGCACCACCACACCCAGCTAATTCTTTGTATTTAGTAGAGATGACGTTTTGCCATGTTGGCCAGGCTGGTCTCGAACTCCTGACCTCAGATGATCCACCTGCCTCTGCCTCCCAAAGTGCTGGGATTACAGGCATGAGACACTGCGTCCAGCCCTATGACTCTTGAATATGAAGCATGGCTTGCCTCTGAGGACACTTTTGTGTCTAAGAGAATGGGGTCTTTTTTTTTCTTTTTTTGAGACGGAGTCTCGCTCTGTCGCCCAGATTGGAGTGCAATGGCATGATCTCAGCTCACTGCAACCTCTGCCTCCCGGGTTCAAGCGATTCTCCTGCCTCCCTGCCAAGTAGCTGGGATTATAGACATGTGCCACCATGCCCAGCTAATTTTTTTTGTATTTTTAGTAGAGATGGGATTTTACAATTTTGGCCAGGCTGGTCTCGAACTCATGACCTCAGGTGATCCACCCACCTCGGCCTCCCAAAGTGCTGAGATTACAGGCGTGAGCCACTGCACCCAGATGAGAATGGGGTCTTCAAGAGGGTGTGGAGGAGCAGTGAGCTTGGACAATTAGGGGCACCCTCACACTATTACTTCCTTTCTTTCTTCTACAGTTCTTAAACTTAAGCTGCTTCCTATCTCTCTTCTTTTCTTCCTCCCACATCCGCAGATGGGGTGGCTGCATTCCGTGCCTTCTTGAAGACGGAGTTCAGTGAGGAGAACCTGGAATTCTGGTTGGCCTGTGAGGAGTTCAAGAAGACCAGGTCAACTGCAAAACTGGTCTCTAAGGCCCATAGGATCTTTGAGGAGTTTGTGGATGTGCAGGCTCCACGGGAGGTGTGTTGGCAGCGGCGACCATCCTGTCTATCCATGGCTCCTAGCTTGCATTTCTCTCCTCAGAGAGGATCTGAGCCAGGCTTGATGAGGACTTTCTTATACTAAACTGAGCCTCATCACTCTGGTGGCCCTTGATGAAAAAAGGATCATTTTTAAGAAACTGAAACCCAGGGTTTCCATCAAAGGAGCTCCATTAGGAGTGTTTTAGTTATCTGTCAGTTAAACATGTGCTAGCAGGAACTGTGTTGCTACAGAGATTTTGCAAGAATAAGTGCTACCGAGTCTATGTTCATTTTCCTGATGGAAAGCAGCATAGCTTAATGAAATGTGGATCTGCTTTGAAATCTTGTTTCAATTTTAGCTCCACCACTTACTAGCTATGAGATCTTGGTCAAGTTACTAAACCTCTCTGGGTCTCAATTTCCCCAATGTAAAAGCGTACCTACTTTTCAGAACATGAGAGATAAAGCACCTGTTCAGTATTTGCCACTGCTCATTAATGAGTAATTACAATTATTTACATTATTTAATTATACTTATTTGTAATAATAGGATGAATTTCTATTATACTGCTGTTGTGAGTTATAATACAGAATTTCACTTGGGAGGGGAGGGTTTAAATGAAGAAAAATGTTTGCTACAAGTTTAAGTGCATTGCATTTTTAGATTCCTTCAATTATGCTTTGACTTGGGATGCGAGAAGTCTTTACCAGTTGGCTAGGATGCTACAGGCCCTTTATAATGCTGTTTGGAACACAGATGTGCATTCTAACCAGGGCCTCCCTCCACAGGGCATTTGTTTCCTTAGTAGACAAGAAAGGAGAGGACAGAAAGCTTACTTCAGGGGACTTGCGTTAGCAACTGGCTTGGATCTATCCCTTTGCCTGCCATGGTGAAGGTCCCTGGATTAGGGATTCAAGTAATTTGGGATTTTGCCTTGGCTCTGTTACTAACTTTCCATACTACTTTAAACAAGCTTTTTAGTCTCTTCTTTCCAGTATTGTTGTCTATAAATTGGGACTGAGAATATCTGGTCTTCAGACCCCACAGGATTCTTGCTGTGATCAAAAGGGATGACCTCCATGGAAGCAATTTGAAAAGCAGAAATCACCTTAAATATGTAGATGCTGTCATTCATAATTATTGCATAGTTAGGGCCAGCTGCCAGAAACCTTGGCCCTTGAGGGCCTGTGACCTTGCTCTCTGTTTGTATCTCTAGGTAAACATTGACTTCCAGACCCGAGAAGCCACGAGGAAGAACCTGCAGGAGCCATCCCTGACTTGCTTTGACCAAGCCCAAGGAAAAGTACACAGCCTCATGGAGAAAGACTCTTACCCCAGGTTCCTGAGGTCCAAAATGTACTTAGATCTGCTGTCCCAAAGCCAGAGGAGGCTCAGTTAGACCTCAGAAGGGAACTCCTGGAAATCACCGGCTTTCCCCTCCACTTGCTGCCAAGATCATATTCTAATGTGAAATGTCATAGGTGTTCAAAAGCGGTGGCATTGGGGGTGGGAGGCTGGGGGTGAGGAGGGAATGAAGGGCCATTCCAAAGTATGACCCAGCTGCCGGAGCTTGGACTCTATTCCATTTACCCATGTTTGTGTTTTGGTTAGTGGTAGCGCCTTGCCGCTGTCACCCTTTTCTGGGTCAGCAACTTGCCCTTCATATAATGCCTTGGGTCACCTCTGCTGAGAGGGCAGATTTGCTGTGCTAGGCTAATCTGTAAATAATGCAAATGCAATTCCCACCACCTCCACACCCTCCTCGGTTAGGATTCCTGACTCTCCACTTGTTGTAAATCCCTGGGAGGAATAGCTGAAAGACTTGGGCTCAACTCTGTGATTTGTAGTGGCCAGCTCTGCTCACTGGGATCTCACAGCTTAGGAGAGAGGTTTCTGTGGAATTCCAGGTTTCTAGTTCTGTCATTGACAGGTGACCTCTCAGAGAAGGAGTGAAATCCATGGAGTTGTTTGTTTCTTCCATTTCCATTGGACCAGTGTGAAAAACTGTGATTACTTCCCATCTTGGCCTAGGAAATTCACAAGACTACCCTAACCTTACATTTCCAGAAAGAGTCTTGGGTGATGTTCTTCATGACTTCTGAAGTGGAACTGCCATTAAGAAAGATACAGCTTGCAAATCTTCCTCAATTCTACGAAGAACTTTTCCAGAAGTCAAGAGACGAGGGCAAGTAGCACCAGTAGACTTCTATTCAAAGGGGTACCATGTAACCTGTCTGTTGCTCAGTGTCTTCTCTGCCCTCACCTCTCTGCAGCATCATACATCACTGATGTCTTAGGATGACAGCTTGGCAAAGGGAGGTGAATTCCTATAGCATGGAGTGCTCCCATGGTGCCTAATACTTTCCCTGTATCTCCACCTCCCCCCTTCCATGCCGGTCATGTAATTATGATGGGGGAGAATGGGAATTTAGGCTGAAACTCTTTCCAGCATACTTCCTGGGAAAATGCTTTCTTAGAAAGATCTCTCTCTTGGATACTATGAAGCACCTTCTTTCTTGATCTTTGACCTTTTGGAATTGAGCATGAAATAGGAGGTGTGGCTAAGAAGATCACTGTGAACATCTGGACGTGGACAACCTTCCTAAAATGCTTTCATGGTACCCTGCAGCTGCTCTTGGAAATGTGTCAGGCAATTCTTCCTTGGAGGATGAGTGAGCAGCCTGGAACCTACTCTAGCCACCCAGGAAAAAGCTGACTTTGGCACAAGACTAGTGCCCAGGAGATGAACCTTTAGCAGAGAGACCGGAAAGTGAAAGAGGGGCATGTAAGAGGCTGGTTTCCAGGTGGAGAGGATAACAGAGTGGAGTTACTATTGGAATAATTCACGACCAGTGGATTTGGATTCATTGCAGATCTACAAAACGTTCAGCTTGACTAAGTGGAACAGCACATGATTAGGCATAAGCTCTGGAGTGCAGATGATTGAGAACTGGGCTGAACCATTTTCCTTTTAAGGGGTGAGGGGCCTTTTAACGTTATGCTGGTGGCGTTCTAGTGCTTGTGTTCCTCTCCAGTAACTTTGAGAATCTCTTCCTTTTTTAGCTATAGCTAGACCAGGCCAAGAAAGCCCTTGAGTCCCACTAGTGCTAGGGCCACTGCACTGCTACAGCACATTGTTATCTGTGAGTGAGGGTGGGTGTGACTGTGTGAACCTCAAGGGGAGAGAAGAACACATGTCTCCTAGCCCTCACAGACACCGAAAAGACCTGTGGAATTTTGTGTTTGAGAACTCCAAAGCCTCAAATGGGTGTTCCTAGTTAGATCAGGTAGTATCCTCCCAACCGTGGTTAAAAAAACAAATCATTCTTTCTTAGATAAAGCTGCCAGAATTAATTTAATGATTAAATTCTCTAACAGGGTATTTTAAACATTGTTTACATATGAAATGTGCATCTGCTGCCAACTCTACTGTCGAATATGAGGTGCATATAAATTAGAACTGCACAGAGTTATAGAAATGTGAAACATTCTGAAAGGGGATTTTTCTCCACTTCCACTATTCCAAGGAGAAAAGCCTGAACAAGAGTGTCGTGCGATGGCCTCATAGAGAGGCCTAGAGTTCTTGCCAACTATTGAGGAAACGAAGGCTGCAGATGGTGGTGTCATGGCGCCCTGGTGACTTCCTCCCACAATGGGGAGGTGTGAAAGACCAAGCTTGGGGATCCTGAATTTTGCAGCTAAGCAAGGGTATGTGGGCATGTGTCCATGTGTAGAGGAACGTGATAGCTAAATTTATGGTACTCCTGTGGAGTGTCTCTGTGTGTTTGTGTGTGTGTGACAACTGTGAGCATTAGACTAGTACACGGCAGACATGATCTTCCCGTGGGGTGGAGCTTTCCTCATACCTTGTATGCCCTGCTTCCCACAAGAGGCACAGAGCTCTCCACTCTGATGCCTACTTTCAGGCACTCTGGTCGTGCCAACCCAGATTTTGGTCTGTGATGAAACAAAGAGAAATGTTTACAACATCTAGAGCAATATCCAAGCATACCTCATCCCTGAGCTTCCATGTTTCCCAGTCCTGCCCTCTCTCCCATTGCCTCTTCCGCAAGCCCATGTCCTTGGGTATCACTTCCATTTATTTCCTGTCTTCCTTGGCTCCTCAAGCCGAGCCTGTGCTGTGGACTTGCCTTCTGGACTTGAGGCTTGCTCAGTCCTGGGCCTATGCAGGCTCCAGGCAAGCCAGGGCAGGGCAAGTCCAGGCAAGTCTAGGCAGAGCTGTGACTTCTAGAATTGCTCTCCATCCCTGAGTGATCTTGCCCCACTGGAGGGCTAACTTGTTTGGGGGCTGGTGTGAGATTCGTCATTGCCCTTGGCAAACTAAATAGAATACTGTCAGTATCAACCATTCATGGCCTTGGGCACCTCTGGGGTGAGGAAGAATCCTCTGAGGCAGTCCTTCTCATTAAACTTGAGCATGCACAGGAATCACCTGGAAAGCCTGTGACACGTGCTAATTCCCAGGTGCACACCCAGAGATGCTGATCTGATAGACCTGAGATGGGGCCCAGAAATCCACATTTTTAATAAGTTCCTAGATGGCTAGTGGCCTGTGGACTTGGACTCTTAGACAGAGTCTCACGACCTTGGCTGCTCCTTAGAATCACCTAGGGAGTTTTTAAAACCCAGATGTCCAGGTCCCACCCCAGAACAGCCAAATCAGAAGCTTTTGTTAGAGACCCAGGCATCAGTCATTTTTAAAGCTCCACAGGTGATTCCAATGTGCAGCTGAACTTAGGAAGCATTGAGTCTAAGGAGTGAGGAGGAACACAGCGCGGGGGCGGGGGGGCTGGGGGAGGGGGGAGACACAGCTGTGTGGGCCAAGGGGGCTGGTGTATCTCCACATGCAAGCACGTAGATACCGAGGAACCTGGCCAGCCCTGCAGCCTGACTCGGGATGGCTGCCTCTATGCCCTCTGCGTCTGACTTTCTCCTTTGAGATAAAGGTGTTTTGGCCCAAGCTGAGTGCATTGCTGGGCAGCGGCCATGCCGAAGGTGGTAGCTGAAGGGACCCTTGATCGAAAGACGCTCTGCCATGCTTTCTGAGTCCTGTCTCCTCCAAGCTTGTCTCCTAGACTGTTTCCCCTGTCTGTTTTCCTGCGCCCTTGTGTTTGGCCATTTTTGCATTAGGCTGTGTCTCTGTACCCAAGGCCACGTGACAAGGTAGTTGGAACCCCCACTCAAGTGGTGAGTGAAGAGCGTCGTGGTAATAATAATAGTAGTAACACAACTTCCAAATTTCTCAGTGGAGAGTGTCACGTCCTGGGGGTATCAAGATCTGTGAGGCCTTTCCAAGCCCTCACCATTCCCTCTTTGGTCCCACGTTGGGTGGGCAGCTGGGAAGGTCCTAGTTGATTTTAATCTCCGGTGCTTTCCCCAGAACTGCTGCTCTGAATAAACCAAAGCTGTGAAAGAGTGTTCTGCGCAGGCTGCGGGCCCAGCCTCTGGGTGCAGGCCCTGGGCACTTGAGCTGAGCAGCTCAGCTGGCTCTGCTGTGAGGGAAAGCCGTGAACTTAACTGTGCTGAGAGCTGGGTGAGGGCAAAATGGGGAAGACTGAAGAAGAAGGAGCAGGTGGGAGAGACCAGCCGCTAACATGGTGTCTACTTCTCCGTGGATCAGAGAAGGGATGAGTAGCAAATGCAGAGGCAGGGTGGTCTCCCAGCAACAAGGATGTCCAGAGTTCTCCTGACCCTGTCTGCACCCACTTCCATGCAAGGCAGAGGCATCACAGTTTTCCATCCCAGGCCACCCTTCACTCTTCCAAGTGTCAGGCCTCTTTAAATCTGCATCCCTTTGGGTTAGAAGCAAGAGAGGTGGCAAAGTCTCCCTGGCACTGAGAGCCTGTCCCACCATGCCACTCGGCATGAGATGGTGGAGGAAGAAGCCAAGAGCAGGGATGCCTTCCTGTCCCCGTGGCCTCTCAGGACTCCACAAGATGCTGTGGACCAAGATGAGAGATTTCAGGATGGGGCCACTGGCCTTCCTAGGTTGGGCTCTGGGTCCTTTCAATAAACTGTTCCTTTCCTGATTCTTACTCCCTTCTGGTCCTTCCACTCCCTTCCCTCTGCCAGGTATGGAAAAGGTGGCTGGGCTCGGTGTGCGCTCCAACCCCGGTAGCATTAGCTGAGTCACGCGGCGAGCACACAACAGATTTGTAGCAGCTCATCTGCCATATAAACCGCTTGGCTGATGGAGTCCTCATTGAGTTTTTTCATTATCGTGTAAAGTGGAATCATGTCATTCACCTTTACTATAAACAAGGCTGTGAGAACATAATAAACAGAACCTGAACAAGCTGCTCTCTGCTCTCTGTCCACATTTCTGCCCAGCTGACTCTTTATGAAGAAACTGTCCACATCACACATGGACTCGCTGGAGGGAGGGCACGTGGGCCCACCTGGCAGTGGCTGGCACAGGGCTGGCCATCAGGAGAAGCAGGGGTGTGGGTGGAAATGGATTGGCCTGGCTTGGGGATGAGCGTGGGGTGGAGAGTGACTATGGGTTATGAAAGTGGCTTTGAAACTGTAAAGTGCTGGCCCAGTTTGAGGTAGTGTTTTTATTAGTACCACCTACTGCTTGAAAATGCAGAGAGAAAAAAAGGATGGGGATGGTTTTTGTATTTGTTCAGCTGGAGCAATCTGGAAATGCAGTGGGTTCATACTGCTTAGGGCTGTACCTCACTTTATACAATCAGTGTGTCCCCAAAAAGTGTGTATTAGTCATCAGATCTTTAAGTGCCTCTGGTGATCAGGTCCTGTGGAGGGGATGGAAGGAGAATAAGGCACTGTATCTGCTCACAAAAGCTCATTCTTAAAGTAGGGTGATAAGACAGAGATATGCAAAACCTTAACCATCCACATAATTGAAAATGCTCTGGAAAAGGTCTGTCTTTAAAGGAAAGCTGACATTTCTTCAAAGATGAATCCTTTGGGTTAAAAGAAAAGTCCTTTTGTAAAGCAAATGATCACCCTCAATTCCAATTTTGTAGACTGGGCAAGGAGTAGTGGCAGGTTGGGCTGCTGCAGACAGGGGTCCGCCACTTGGGAGGGGGTGTGGCTGGTTTCTGTCTTTCTGGCTTTGCTCTTCTACTCCTTCTACCCCTATTCCCACATGGGGCTCCTGACCCCTCCAGGAGAGAGTGGAAGGGGAAAGATGAGAGGTCAGGGATGAGGGGTGTGGGTGGGGGGTCAGGCCTGATGTAGATGCCATCTGAGATAGGCTGTGGGCTCTCCAGCCTTGGAGGACTCTGTGGAGGGGAAAGGGGAGTCCTTCCTGGTTCATTGGAGACCGTGTGTCTTGGGAATCTGCTCCCTGCAGTCTCCCAGTGAGGGTGAATGATTCACTCTGGCGGGTGGACTGGTCCTTCCTGACAGTGCCCCAGCTTCTCTCTGCTGCAGTCCGCTTGCCCACTTGGACAGGTCCTAGGTTGAACTCATGCTAGTCTTCTCTCCAGAGGCCCACAGTGGGCCCATTGGGACCATTTGGATCTTATTTTTCCCTAGAATTAGAAGAAAGCAGCTGCTCTTCTTGCTCTGTAGCCAGAGCCACCAGCCAGCCCGCTGCTAACATTTTTTATTTTCCAGGCTGGAATAGACACCCATCTCCTGGGTCCTCAAGCATCAGGGGGCACATGTCAGGCTCCAAGGACCCACAGAACCCACACTCCCTTGGAGTGAGGTGAGACGTAGGCACCCTGCCCGTCCTTCCAGGGGGCTGGGGCTCACAGCACACCAATAGTTCTCTCCAAAAACTTTCACAAGTTCTCTCCAGCCCCTGATCTTTTGCTGAGGGATGGATTCTCAGTGCCACTCACTTGTTCTCCACTCCCTCCCTGGAGTGTTGGCTTGGTCTGGAACCTGCTTTGGTATCTGAGATCACTCTCCTAGGCCTTGACAGAGGCTCTTACACGTGTAAGACACTTAGCACTAAGCCTGGCATCTCACTAACACGCAGCACATGTACAGAAACAAAAGCCAAGTCCCTTCTGGTCCTAGGATCTACAAACAAAGCCATGGAGAGAGAGAGAGACAGAAGAGATCACTGAGATAACTTCCTCTGGAGGATGTGCTTCTTAGTTGGGGCCTGTCTTAATCTGTTTGGACTGCTGTAACAAAGTGCCACAGACTGGTGGTTTATAAACAACAGATATTGTTCTTCACAGTTCTGGAGCCTGGAAGTCCAAGATCAGAGTGCCAGCACGGTCGGGCTCTGGGGAGGGCTCTCTTCCAGGTTGTGGACGGTCAACTTCTTGTTATATCCCCACATGGTGGAAGGAACGCTACCCAGCTCTCTGGTTTCTTATAAAAGTCACTAATCCCATTCACAAGGGCTCCACCCTCATGGCCTCATCACCTCCCACAGGCTCCACTTTTTAATACCATCCCATTGGGCTCATGGTTTCAGTATATAAGTGTTGGGGTCTGGGCACAAATATTCAGTCCATTTTAGAGTCTGTCCTGGTCCCCTATCCAGAAAGGGTAGTAAAGCTGGAGGGAAAGGGTGGGGACATGCTATGTGTGCTGCCTCCCATGTTCATGCCTCATTCCACAGCACAGAGGGACATCCCAGTCCACACCCTGGGTCACTGGCTGGATGCTCAGCCATGGAAACAGAAAAGCCACAAGCCTGAGAGCCTTTGACTAGGGTTACATGAGCACGCTGTTCCTGGTAGTTTGGGCTGTGATGCCAGATTAGGTTTCAATCTCAGCTTTAACTCTTACAAGTTGTGTGATCCTAGGGAATTTACTTCCCTGTGCCTCAGTTTTCCCATCTGTAAAACTAAAATAATAACAGAGTCAACTGCTTGGGGTCATTATGAACATTAAGCTAGGAAGAATGTGGCACCTAGTAGGCACACAGTATGTGCTAAGTGGCATCATTCTCTCATATTGGAATCACTAGGGAGTCAAGCCAGCACCTTATTCATAACTCACTTGCTTCTCAGATAAATGCAAAAGAAAAACACTCAAAGCAAATGATATTACAGAATCGACATCACATCCCTTCCCTACTAAACTCTAAAATCCCTGAAGGTAGAGAGAGATTGTAATTCCAGACCCAGACTCCCTGGGTCTCTTTTGTTTACTGCCCTAGTTCCTAAATATTTATTGGAAGAACATTACATCTACAAATGTTTTTTGAGCACCTCTTTCTTTTCTTTTCTTTTCTTTCTTTTTTTTTTTTTTTTTGAGATGGAGTCTTGCTCTGTCGCCCAGGCTGGAGTGCAGTGGCATGATCTCGGCTCACTGCAAGCTCCGCCTCCCAGGTTCACGCCATTCTCCTGCCTCAGCCTCCCAAGTAGCTGGGACTACAGGTGCCCGCCACCATGCCCGGCTATTTTTTGTATTTTTAGTAGAGACGGGGTTTCACCGTGTTAGCCAGGATGGTCTCGATCTCCTGACCTTGTGATCCACCTGCCTTAGCCTCCCGAAGAGCTGGGATTACAGGCATGAACCACCACGCCCGGCTGAGCACCTCTTATAGATTAGTCACTTGGGTAGATTGGGGGTGGAGGCAAGAAATCTAAAACCTGGACTCTCATAGAACTTACTTGATTCTTAGAAAGACTTAATGCTTTATAAGCCTTGGCACTTACCAAATGAGTGGTATAGAAAGTAAATGGCTGCATGATGAGAAGCTGCTATGCTAATAGGAAACACTTAGGGGCCAGGTACTTTACCAGCAATTTAGATGGTTCATCTAGTTGGGTCCCTGCAACAGTTTATTATTACTGTTATTATTATTTTAGAGATGGGTCTCATCTATCACCTAGGCTGGAGTACAGTGGTGCTATCATAGCTTGCTGCAGCCTCAAACTCCTGGACACAACAATCCTTCTACCTCTGCCTCCTAAGTAGCTGGGATTGCAGGTGTGCACCACTATACCCAGCTAATTTAAAAAATTGTTTTGTAGAGACAGTGTCTCACTATGTTGCCCAGGCTGGCCTTGAACTGGGCTCAAGCATTCCTTCCACCTCAGACCCCTGAGTAGCTGAAATTACAGGGATGAGCCACCAAGCCCAGCCCCTGCAACAATTATATGAGGCAACGTATGAGTTTGCTCGGGCTAAGAAAACAAAGTATCACACACAGAGTGGCTTAAACAAGAGTTTTATTGTCTCACAGTTCTGGAAGCTAGAAGTGCAAGATTAAGGCGCTGGCAGGGTTGGTTTCTTCTGAGGTCTCTCCTTTTGGCTTGCAGATGGCTGCCTTCTTGCTGTGTCCTCACAATCTTTCTTCTGTACTCTAACCCTTGGTGTCTCTTCCTCTTCTTATAAGAACACCAGTCATATTAAAGCCCCATCCTAATGGCCTCATTTAACTTAATCGCCTCGTACAAGCCCTATCCCCAGATACAGACATATTTTGAGGTACTAGGGTTAGGCTTCATCATAGGAATTTGGGGGACTCAGTTCAGCCCATCACAGATAAACACTATTATTAATCCCCATGTACAGGTGAGGAAACCGAAGCACAGAGAGGTACTTCAGTGATCTACCCAAGGCCGTACAGTGTGTACGTGGCAGAATTGGGATTTAAAGCCCTGGATTTAGAAATCCAGAGCTGGTGCTCTGAACCTCTACTGTGCTGTGGACTAGACGGAAATATGGGGAAGAGATGGGAGTGGGGCAGGTGCATAGGTGCCGGGGGGCAAGGAAATGGGGGTGGCAGGGTGTTGTCAGGGGTGCTGGAGCTAAATCGCTCATAGGATGTCATGGATGAGTCCACACCAATGCTGGTCTGCTACAGATGAAGGTAGGAGGAGAAATGGGAGGGTCAGTTCTCTCTGTCTTTTGCTCGCTCAGAAATCTGAGCTCCTGGAGAAGCTGGAGGCCTGGTGGGAAATGGTGGCTAAAAGACATGCTGCAAAGCCCGCTGGAAATTGGACTAGCCAATTATCCGCCCAAGCTGTTCGTTTCCAGGCAGCGGGTACAGGCGCAGCCATGCGAGTTTGTCCCACATCCTCGGAGCATGTCATCCTTCCTGGGGAGGCGGAGTCCTGGTCTTGCCCACAACTCCGAAGACAAGTGTTGCTCCATCCCCTGAATCTGCCGAAAGGAGAACACACCAGTGGGGCGCAGGCTGCAGGCATGCCCTTCTCAAGGAGAGAGAAGTAGCCCCCATCTCCTCTCACACTAATACCAGCTCACAGGCACCATGAGTGGCAGGGGGCTCTCCCCAGAGCCATGTGATGAGGGAATAGAGGTGAGATTTGGATGCAGACAGGCCTGAGTTCAAATCCTGATGCTGTTGCTTACTCAGTGTGTGTGAGATGCCGGGGATGGTACTTGGCCACTCACAGCCTCAGTTTTCTTACTAGAAAAAGGGGGATTACAAAACCCACATTTCCAGGCAGGTTGCTGCAAGGATGAGAGATGATGTGCAAAGCATCTGGAGCAGGACCTGGTATTGAGTAGGTGCTCAAAAATTAGAAGCTGTGAGTATTGGAGATATCCTGGCTTATAGACATCTCAGCACTAGGTCTCTAAATCTTTATTTTATTTATTTATTTTTTTATGAGATAGAGTCTCACTCTGTCGCCAGGCTGGAGTGCAGTAGCACGATCTCGGCTCACTGCAACCTCTGCCTCCCAGGTTGAAGCAATTCTCCTGCCTCTGCCCCCTTGAGTAGCTGGGACTACAGGAGCGCACCACCACACCCAGCTGATTTTTGTATTTTTAGTAGAGACAGGGTTTCACCATTTTGGCCAGGATTGTCTCAATCTCTTGACCTCATGATCCGCCTGCCTCTGCCTCCCAAAGTGCTGGGATTACAGGCATGAGCCACTGCACCTGGCTAGTCTCTAAATCTTGCCTGGGGGACAGAGCATGTTGTGGAGCAGTTAGCAGCAGAGAGTCAATGGAGTTGGGTTGAATGTAAGTGTACTTGCAGAAAAGGAGGCCCTCTGTCAGCTAGAAACAAAACAAAATGCCTTTCATTCAGAATTGTGCTCTGCCCCAACTAGGGTATTAGCAGCCCTCCTTAGGTGCCCTATGAGCTAAATATAACAGGGATGATGCACTGGTCACATAGGCTTTTCACTGCAACCTCCAAAATGCAAGCAGATTAACTGGATATTTGAGGTGGCAGAGTTAAAAAAAAAAAAACCACAAAATCCCTGAGCCAAATCAACTGATCACGTACTTTCGACATGCTCTTATCTCATTTATCCTGAGATGACCAGAATTGTACTTTTGACTTAACTTTTGGGAAATACTGGAAACATAACTGATGTGGATGTTCTCATTCAAGGTGTAGAGTTTGTAAGTGGCTCTGGAATAGATTAAAATGGAACTCATCTTGATGACAGAATAGCTGCGTGTAGGTTTGCTGGGGGGTTTTTGTATTTATTTATTTATTTATTTTTGAGACAGAGTCTCGCTCTGTCGCCCAGGCTGGAGTGCAGTGGCACGATCTTGGCTCACTGCAACCTCCGCCTCCCAGGTTCAAGCAATTCTCCTGCCTCAGCCTCCTGAGTAGCTGGGATTACAGGCATGCGCTACCACGTCTCAAACTCCTGACCTTGTGATCCACCCGCCTCGGCCTTCCAAAGTGCTGGGATTACAGGAGTGAGCCAACGTGCCCAGCCGGTTTGCTGGATATTAAGGGAAATGGTTTTAATTGTATGTTCTAAAAATGAAATTGTCAGGATTTTCCAGTAAGTGCTTTATTAGGTCAGTTTTTACCAATAAGCAAGATTGATTGAAACCTGCAACTCCTCAGAGCCTAGATCGGCAGCATCTCCCAGGAAATAGTGAGGAGGGGGTGAGGAGCTGGGAAGGGGTTGTGGGACCGTGTGTATCATAATCACATGCAAATCACAGCAGCCTAGGAGACAGTGGCATGCTGGGTCAGGGCAATCTTCCTCTCCCGCCTCCCTGCAACATGGGGAGAAGGAGAGTTGGTTTCTGGGGGATGAATATAGAGCAAGTGCTCATAAGCAGTTTTGGCCCTCATTTTGGCCATGGCATGGTTGAAATGGGGCAGGCCCAGTGAGAACTGATCCAAGACCAGAGGGAAAATAGGCTTGCATTCCGGACTCAGGGGCTGCAGTTGCTGTGATAAAGTGACTTGCAGAAGAGAAGGGGAGCTATGGGACCCTCGCTCATCCCGCTGGCTAACGGCCCTTTGCAGGTGACTCTGTGGAGAGACTTGTTTCAGCCAAGAGGACACATCCTCATGCAGAGGGGCAGCATCTGGGCCTGCTCTGCAGCCATGGAGACAAACTTGCTCTGTCAAGGGAGCAGCTGCTGGCCACCTGCTCACCAGTCCAGGCTAAGCCCTTTTCTGAGCAGGAGTGTAGGAGCCTGATCCCTAGAATACAGGGCTGGAGGTACAGTAGTGAGCGAGCATGGTGTGTTTTTGCTAGCCTGGGCCATTAGTTTTCCAAGGTGGCCCGGGTGCCCACCCCACCTAAGGTCCCATACACAGGGAACTCTCAGCATGCTGAGGTTCCATGCATAGGGACCCCTCAGCTGTCCTTGCCTGCTGACCTTTTTGTCTCAGTAACACCTAGACCTGCTCCCACTTCCTTGCACCAGAAGCAGCATCTGTTGCAGAGCTGGACCAGCTAGCAGGAGGCCGGGCAGAGATTAGTAAGGCCAGGCCACTTTGGAGGAATTCTGGGGCTTCAGCCTACTCTCCTTTGTCCTCCACAAGGACACATGCGGTCTACCCTGTGGGCCCGATCAGAGCCAACAGTTGCCACACTGCCTCTCTAATGTTCATTCTCTCCCTTTTTACCCAGACTATAAACTCTCAGAGGGCAAGACTCAAATCTGATACCTCCTGGCCGGGACACTTATAGGATACATGATTAATACCTACATGCTGTGCGATGATGCATCAAGGTAACACGGGGCTGTCCTTCTGTGCAAAGATGATATCCTGACCCTCTATATGTAGGGCTTCAATATTAGGTCATTTTTCCAGCTATGATCCACACTCTCCCCTTATCTCCCTTAAAATCTTTAGTAAATTCCACCAGAAGAAGGCCAGGCTGAAGGAAGATCTGTGGCCTTGGGAAAGAGTGAGACTCCTGTCCCTGAGCCTGAAGGGACTCCGAAGAGGGGTTTTATAGGCCCTACCACGACGTAAATAGACACAGATCGGTGAACCCTGTAAGCCTGAGGGCAGCGAACAGCTGGTGTGCCAAGGGCATATTTGCCTGGTAATTTTAATTTTTAATTGAATGCCCATCTGCCCCATCGCTGACATCATAGTGCAGCTGCAGGTCTTGTTTTTCCTTCCTGTTTCATGCGCCTGCGGCATGGCCTTGCACTCAGGGATAATTAAATGGCTCTGTGGGTGGCCTCACCCTGGTTAGTGGATGTATGGGTTGGGGTTGGGGGCAGCCCAGGCCAGAGGGCCAGAAGTCTCCAACAAGGGAGCCTCAGGCTTTGTGTCAGTGTACCATGGGGGAGGGTGGGGCCCGACTGGGGCAGAGCCTGGGAATACCTTATTTGATGGGAGGGAGTAAGTGTCTTGGGAACAGGCTTGTCCTGAAGCCTGGAAAGATTTGCCCCTTCCATAAGAAAGCCCTCAGTCCTGGAGATTAAAGGGTTCTTGTTCCGAACCAGGGCCAGAGTTTTCCTAACCTCTGGGGCTTACCCAGCATAGGCCGAGGCACATGAAAACAGGTATACAAGTGCCCAGAACCTTCAGTAAATAGAAACTCTTGTCTCAAGCTTGTATAGTTTCCTCATTACTCTGATTTCCCCCTACATCCCCCATCTCCAATTTTTTCCTCAACTTCTGTTCTTTAGAGCAGTCCTGGATTCAAATCCTGATTCTGGTTATTTACTAGCTGTATGATTTTGAACAGTCTCATTAACTTCTCTCAGCCTCAGTTTCCTCATCTGTAAAATGGACCCAGCAACTCCACTCCTAAATATGTTAATCTCAGAAACATTTTTTATGTGAACACCAGAAAACATGTACAAGAATGCTCTTAGCAGAACTGTTAGCAATAGCAAAAGACTGGAGACCATACAAAGGGCTCTCATGAGAAGAATGAGAAGGATAAACTGTGGTACATGAGCACAGTGGAATATCATAAAGCTGTGAAATGAATGAACTCTAGGGACACTATAGTAACCATATAGATGAATCTTAGCAAAATAATATTGGAAAAAGGCAAGTTATTTTATTACAATTTAAATATAATCAAAATAAACAATATATTTTAAGATTTCCATATACATGGAATAAATCTAAAAGAGAGCAAAGAAATGATTGGGGATGGGGTTGGCTTGGGTAAGGGAAGGTGTAGCAGGATGAGCCGCAGACAAAACTTCTCAGACACCGAGTTAAAGAAGGAAGTGGTTTATTTGGCCGGGAGCATCAGGCAAGACTCCTGTCTCAAGAGCCGAGCTCCCCGAGTGAACAATTCCTGTCCCTTTTAAGGGCTCACAACTCTAAGGGGGTCCACGCAAGAGGGTCATGATCGATTGAGCAACAGAGGGTACGTGACAGGAGCTGCATGCACCGGTGGTCAGGCTGAAACAGAACAGACCAGGAAGTTTCACAATGTCTTTTCTATACAATATCTGGAATCTATAGATAACATAACCGGTTAGGTCAGGGGTCAATCTTTAACTACCAAGCTTAGGTCAGGCAGGCCCAGGCCTGGTTTCGGGTCTGGTTCCTAGGCTTCGGGCCAACTGCTTTTAGTTTTGCTTTTCTTTTTTTTTTTTTTCTGAGTATAAAACAATATAAAACAATATGAGAAGGTCTGTCTCTCTTCTCTCATTTCCTCCCTAGTAAATAGAAATTCTTTTCTCAAGCTTGTATAGTTTCCTCATCGCTCTAATTTCCCCCTACATCCCCCATCTCCAATTTTTTCCTCAACTTCTATTCTTTAGAGCTGTCCTGGTTTCAAATCCTGATTCTGGTTATTTACTAGCTGTATGATTTTGAACAGTCTCATTAACTTCTTTCAGCCTCAGTTTCCTCATCTATAAAATGGACCCAGCAACTCCACTCCTAAATATGTAAATCTCAGAAACATTTTTTATGTGAACACCAGGAAACATGTACAAGAATGCTCTTAGCAGCACTGTTAGCAATAGCAAAAGACTGGAGACCATACAAAAGGCTCTCATGAGAAGAATGAGAAGGATAAACTGTGGTACATGTGCACAGTGGAATATCATAAAGCTGTGAAATGAATGAACTCTAGGGACACTATAGTAACCATATAGATGAATCTTAGCAAAATAATATTGGAAAAAGGCAAGTTATTTTATTACAATTTAAAGATAATCAAAATAAGCAATGTATTTTACGGTTTCCATATACATGGAATAAATCTAAAAGAGAGCAAAGAAATGATTGGGGATGGGGTTGGCTTGGGTAAGGGAAGGGAGGGGAACAAGCAGATGAATAGATGTAAGTTACCATCAGTGTAATTCCTGGGTTGGGTATAGGTTCAAGGGTAATCACCAAATCAATAAAATAAATGATTGAAAGAGAGAACAAATAAATATTTAAGACCCAAGCATGCACTAATAAGTACAGCATGAAATGAATCAAAGATTATAAAGATTAATTCAATTTTGTACACTGAAGTCTATTAACAAATATGATTGCAGGGATTGTGAGATTGCATTAAATGAGATAATGTACATCATGACCTACTAATGCACTAGCTGTCATCCAGTAGGTGTTCAAAAATAAAGTTAATCTCTCTATTCTCCTAGCCAAGCAGGGACCTTATCATGCTTCCCATAATTCAGGATTCTTAGTGCTTTGATCCTTTAGGGCTGAATCCTAAATTGCCCACTAACTTCCTTCCATTTCTTCCCTCCCTTCCTCTACCCTCCTGCTCCACCCCAGAGCAAATAAATCTTCCCTGTCCTATGTTACAGAGTTGTGGGAACAGGATATATGAGAAGGCTTTGAGACTATTCAGTGCCCCCAGTACACTCTTGTTTTCCTGTGTGCCCTGCATTCCATCAGTGGATGAAAGAAGGCACAACTCTTGAGCCTAGGTAGCTTCCAGTCCTTTGTGAGGCTCACTCACAGGTGGAAAGGACACATGGCCATGCTCTTGGTGTTCAGAGGGGAGAGAGACTGTGTGATCTGTAATATTCTAGGAGGATACTGGAGAAGGTGGTCTGAGGTTGCACCTGAAATGACATCCATGGGCTTAATGGAAAGTATCTTGGATTGGAACTTGGAGCTATAAAATCTTGTAAAATCTTGAGATTCTCACTCACTGGCTGTAGGTGGGCAAGTTAATTAGCCTTACTGAGCCCTGCTTTTCTCATCTGTGTAATGCAACTTGGAATGCTTGGAATGTAAACTAAGCACACATACTCACAACCAACACAATGCTGGGCACAGAGTGGACATTCCAAAAACATTTGCTGAATCTGAACCCCATATCCTCTCCAGAACCCTAGTTTCCCTCTGGGAGATTGGCTGGTACACTCACTCCGACTGGAGTGGAAATGGCTTTATCTAGATTTGGCAGGAAAGTGTCACTTTGAGTTTCAATGCTGACAAATTGGTAGGACAGATAGGTGACATTTGTCATGGGGTTGGAAGCAGTTTCCTGATTCCCAACCATGCCTCCTGAGCCCCATATCCATGGGAGCAGAACGCTGGGAAAAGATGTGACAAGTCACACGCACAGGTGCCTCTTTTCTCAACCGTGTGCCACATGGAACCAAGGAAATAGGACAATCAGAGCAGTCCCAGGAGGGAAAAGAGATCACTGAACAGCAATTCTGGAGAGCCCTGATGGTGAGGGAAACTGGGGGAGAGGGCTGATGAGGGGCACTGGTGATTTTATAAACCATAGGCCTTTTAAAGCTTGTTAGGCTTGGCTGGAGAAAGTTACCTCTTTTTATCAAAAATGTGACTTAGCCCAGTCCAGCAGCATGATTCGGTCTGTGGGACAGACAGGAAGCCTGGAGTGAATTCTGCCATTTATTTTCAAAACAGAGATATACTGAACACCCATTATGTGCTGGCCAGGGTGCTAATTAAGCTTTTTATATACTTAAAAAAAAAATCTTCACAGTATCTAACCATTGAATGTCTCCAAATATTCATTTTCTAGGTAAGAAACAGACTTGCCACAGTTTCTTAGGTCAGATGGGGTTATCCAGAGATAAACAGTGAAAATGTGGGTGCAGAAACCAGGAGTGGGGGTGGAGGTGACTGATGGTGGTGGGTGTTGCCCGCTGCCACAGACAGGAAGTAAGGGCATCCTGTATCTTAGGTCACCCCTGCCTGTCTAACTCAGAGGCGGGGGTGGTGTCTGCGGATTTTGACCAGGGCACAGTTATGAGACTTCAGAGGGCAAGGTGGCTCTGGAGGTCCCCAGCTCAGTTAGAAATATCCCTGCCATTCATTACTGACCTTTCCACAGAGCCAATCCTGCCACACTATGTGGTAAATGGAGGGTGACTAATGTGTGCCCATCACAACAGCCACATTTGCATTTAGCTGAGACAAAAGCCTCAGTTACACCAAGTTGGGGATAACAGTTGGTGAGATTTTAAGCATCAGTCAGAATTTGGGAGAGAAGGAAGAGTTTAATCACAAGGCCCTTTGGGTGCCCTGCTCACCATGCAAGAGGAGCTGAATTTTGTCCTGGTTGAAAATGCGGCCTGTCTTCTCTCCCCTACCCTCCTTATGTTTGAAACTCTGGGATATTTGCTTGTCTTTGTGTCTTTGTGAGTAGGGAAGATATTTGGGAGCTCTTTTTTGAGATAAGGTATATGAAAGTGTTTTATAAATAGTAAAAGGTTACATAAGAGCAAGGCGATGCTTTTATTACTGCTTCCTATGGAGCCAGCTGCAGGAGAAGGCCTCTGATCTCACTCCCAATAGGAGCCTTTCTCCATTCACTGGAGCCTGACCCAGATTGGACACTCAGGAATACATCTTATGTAAGATTTGGCTAAATTGAACAAAGCCCATCTTTCCAGTCCACGTTTGGGTTGATTTATTTCAATTAAAAGTTTCTATTGAGTGTTCACAATGTACACAGGCACTGTATATAGCTAAAGATATAAAGGAGAATAATATATACATGAT
Organism: Homo sapiens; assembly: GCF_000001405.40. Taxonomy (NCBI): domain Eukaryota; kingdom Metazoa; phylum Chordata; class Mammalia; order Primates; family Hominidae; genus Homo; species Homo sapiens. The sequence continues at coordinate 182,629,061 of NC_000001.11, read as the reverse complement.
TCCTATCTTCAAGGAATTTACAGTTCAGTGGAGAGATTTTTAAAAGGGTGGAAATCCTTTTGTTAAAGAAAATTTTAGTTAAAACTCCAATACCTAAAATGAAAAGGGAGCTGCTTTGATTAAGGTGGAGGTAGAAGAAAGGAGAGGCAGAGAAGGTAGGAGAGGAGGAGGGAGGCCAGGGTGCTGTTGGCTGGACCTCACCATTGCCCCCAGAGGCCTTTCAAGGGTTTCTCAGAGGCCAGTTCAAGCAGCCACAATTTCCATAAGACTTCTAGAAGAAAACAGGAGAATATTGTAATGGCTTGAGGAGCGGCAAAAATTTCTTAGGACATAAAAAGCTCTAAGCATAAAAGGAAAAAAAACTGATAAATTGGTTGGGTGCAGTGGCTCACACCTGTAATCCCAGCACTTTGGGAGGCTGAGGCAGGTAGATCACCTGAGGTCAGGAGTTCAAGACTAGCCTGGCCAACATGGTGAAACCCCATCTCTATTAAAAATACAAAAACTAGCCGGGTGTGGTGGTGAGCTCTTGTAATCCCAGCTACTTGGGAGGCTGAGGCAGGAGAATTGCTTAAACCCGGGAGGCGGAGATTGCAGTGAGCCAAGATCACGCCACTGTACTCCAACCTGGGTGACAGAGCGAACTCCATCAAAAGCAAAAACAAACAAACAAACAAAAACTGATAAATTATACTACCTCAAAAATGAAAATTTCCACTTATCATGTAATACTGTTAAAATAAATAGGGAAGCCAGATTGGGAGAAGATATTTGCAATATATGTATCTGACAATAGACGTGTGTCAAGAATATGTAAAGAATTCCTACAACTCAATAGAAAACAAACAAAATACAATTTTCAAATTAATCAAAAGACTTAAACACACACTTCACAAAATAATATACATGAATGCCAATAAACCAAATCAAAACCTGGTGAACACCATCACTTGTTAGGAGAATGCAAATCAGATAATTTGCCAAAAGTTTGCTTTGTAAACAGTGGTGCCAGAATTGGAAACAGCCTGTGCCCTTCTCTGTTCCATGGATCTCCAAGTACATTTTCCTATTTTAGTTATACAATGTTTTTCATATCCCTTCTCTGCCTCCAAATTATTTTTATCTACAGTACTAAAGCCATGAGGAGACAGCTAGATTTCCATAGATGTCAATGGTTATGTAATTCTTCACTTACGGCCCTGGAGGCCTCTTTTCTAAGTTCACAAATGACATATTAATATTTCTCTTTGCTAGGGAGTAATCTCCCAGTGAGCTGCAGTTACTGCCCTCTGTAAATATGAAACACACATTACTATTAGTGTATTACCATAATGGTTCTCTCCTGCCCATAAACAGCCGCACATGTGAAATATAAATGGCAACCAAAAAGAGTGCTAAGGGGCCCCTGCTCAGAGCTGTAAGAGGGTCTTCCAGGGACTAGGGACCATTAGGAAAAATAATGCCAAAAACCACAGTGAAGTTCTACTATGTATCCACTAGAATATGTAAAATGAAAATCCAGCTAACAAAAGGGGGTTGGTAAGGCTGTAGCATGACTGCAATTCTTATATAGTGCTGGTGTAAATGTAAAATGGTACAAAGCACTTTATAAGGCAGCTTGATAGTTTCTTATAAATCTAAATATATACCTTCCGTATGGCCCAGCTACTCCACTCACAGGTCTAAAAACATATGTCCACAAAAAGACATATCTGCAAATGTTCATCACAGCTTTATTCACAATAGGCAAAAACTTGAAACAACACAAGCAAGCAAGACAATGAATAAGAAATTGTGGAATTCTACTCAGCAATGGAAAAAGACGCACTACTGATAAATGCACCAACTCAGATGAATCTCAATAACATGCAGCGTGCAAGAAGCCAGATGCAGAAAGACTGCATTCTGTATCAAAGTCTAGAACAGGCAAACTAATCTATGTTTTAAAAACATCAGGAAAGTAGATGCCTGGTTGGGGACAGGGTGGCAGTGGGAAATCGGAAGAGGGTACAAGGGAACTATCTGGGATGATGGGAATGTTCCATGTATCAATATTGAGGTAGGTTACATGAATGAATGCATTTGTCAGAACTTCCTGAATTAAAACTGTTAAGATCCCAGCATTTTGCTTTCTGTAAATTACATCTCAATATGAAATGTTAGGCAATGACATTCTGGAAAATAAAACTGTAGATGGTAAAAAGATCACTGATTGCCAGAGGCTTTGGAGGGTGGAATAGACAGAGCACAGAGGATTTTTAGGGCAGAGAGATGACTCTGTGTGATACTGTGATGTGGATGCATGTCATTATACATTGTCCAAACTTGTAGAACACAGGGCACCAAGAGTGAACTCTAACGTAAACTATGGACTCTGGGTGATAAGGATGTGCCAATGCAGCTTTCTCTGTTGTAACAAATGTACCCCTCTGCTGGGGGATACTGATAGTGAGGGAGGCTGTGCATGTATAGAGGCTAGGAATCTATGGGAATCTCTGTACCTTCTCCTCAATTTTGCTGTGAACCTAAAACTGCTCTAAAAAATAAAGCCTAACTTTAAAACATATTAGGCAAATAAATCACTAGATTCCTATTTCAAGAAGGCAGAGTTGAGTCCTTTCTGTACCCTTCTTTCTTAAAAACAATGGGCAAACAATTAGAATAAGAAACAGCAAAATAAACTTTAGCTTGTGAAACTAGAATAACATCTGTAACCCACATGAAGACAGACAGCAGAGGGAGGAATGACAAATGACTCACCAGAGAGGATGGAAGCCAAACCTGATCCCAGAGGGTGAGCAGGGAAGGGTGGGGTGGGGGTTAACTGACAAGGGGCAAGTTCTTCGCCTCAAGAGTCCCTGAAAGGCTCAGGTACTAGAGGAATCAGCAGGAAGGTGGGCAAGAGGGATGCTGATGGAAGCAGGACTGTTTCAGAGCCTGCTGAGAAGGGTTCACTTTACCCTTCCCTCCACTTCCCTAAGATACCATCTGTATAAACCCACAGATTCCTTCTCCTTTTCCTTTTCTGTAAACCTGAACCCTTCTAAAGGCTTTAGGTCTGGGAAATCCAAAGCCAGGAAGATCTGCAGGCTACTTTTGTTTTTCTACTCTGTACAATACTTGCCTGACAAAATAAGGTGCAGAGTCAGCTATTTGCTTGAATGAAGGGAAATAGGAAATTTTAGGTAGAAAACACACACAGACACAGACAGACACACACATACATTAATATTGCCAAATATCATCTAGCTACTTATACAGAAATATTTTATGGCTTGTTTATTATCCATTTTTTAGTATTATACCTTATGCAGTATTTCCACCTTAAATAAATCTGGGGGGTAGAGCAGACACAATTATTCCCTACCATAGTGCAGATAAGGGGAATTGAGGCACACAAAGGTTATATGACTTGTCTAAGGTCAAACAACATGTTGCTGTCTAACCAGAACAACAGTCCTGGACTCTGGGCTCCAAGATCAGTATTTCAGCATTCAATGATGAGTGCTTATTGCTCTTCAAAAATATGGGCAGACAGACAAAAAAGAAGAGAGAGAATATACTATATGATTCCATTTATATACAACTCTAAAAAATGCAAACTAATCCATAGTGACAGAAAGCAGATCAGTGGTTGCCTGGGGCTAGGAGGGTGGGGAGGAGGGGAGCAGGGATTACACAGAGGCATGAGAGACTTTCGGGATAGTGGATGCGCCCACTCTTTTGATTGTGATGATTTCACTAGGTGTTTGCCTATGTCAAAACTTGTCAAGTTGTCCACTTCAACCATGTTAACTGTATGTTGATTATCCCTCACTAAAGCTATTTTAAAAAATATGGGCATAAATGACTCACTTGCTGGGCCTCCCTGCAATAATCATTTCCACCTTTTTAACATTTACAGAACATCCAAATACATGCTAGACATATAGAGGGGATATATGCAGAGGGGTACAATATCCCCCTGCCTTCATGGGGAAAATGCTTAAAAGAGAGGGTTTCAAACAGGGAAGTAAAGAGAACAAACATTTACCGAACATCAAACATATTATCTTTTTCAATCTTCACTAAACTCTACATGACGGATATTATCATCATATCCATTTTCCTGGTAAGGAAATTCTCAAGCCAGTAATAGCTGGGGTTTGAGGGAGCCAGTAACTAACACCTCTGCTTTTCACTCACTTCCTGAGTTCAGAACCCTTTGACACAGGAGTCAGATACCTGATGATGAAAACGTCAGCTTTATTACAGAAAAAGCTGGTTTTGAGGGCTTGGCTAAGAGCCACATGCTGCCAAATGGGTGTGCTAACAGATTCTCCTGAATTGAACTTAATTCTCAAACTGCAGACTTCCTCTCAGGCTCCACTAAACTTACCATAGAGTAGGAATTGTGGGTCTCCTGGGGACAGGCCACTCCTGAAGAGAAGTGAGTATGTCTGGTTCCTTTTTCTAAACTCACCAAGCAATGAGTTGCTACTTCTATGGGTAGGGCTTACTAGATTTAGGGGGAAAGTTGGGGAGAGAAGTCACAATTATAACTTTAGGGCAACCCCTTCTCATGAAAACATAGGAATCAAAAAGAAGTGTTGCCCTGAAAGGTTAAGTGGGATTCAGACCCAGATTCATGTTCTAAAGCAGTTATTACATCCATGGTTTTCATTCTAAAAATTTTGTGCAAACTAATTTATGTGCACCGAGTCCTAAATTAAATGGACTACAGGACATTGGATTTGAAGGAACACAGTGGTGAACTTTTTGCTAATGGGTGACTTTTTATATTCTTTCATTCATTTAAATAGTTTTTGTGCACCTATCCTGCAATAGGCCCTGAGCCCATCACTAGGCAGGCCAGGATAAATGTCCTGGCCTCTCCCTGTCCTCAGGGAGCTGGAGGACTCATCAGCCATCTCCAAGTTTCAGCTCTGGCCTCAGCTTTCTTTTTCAGCATATCTTCTGTTGACTGATTCCTTTTGTGCCTGCTATAACCAACAAACAGGATTTCTCCTTGAGGCCTCAACACATAACACCCCACTCCCTTTCTCATCCCTTGACTTTACTTATACTGTTTCCTATACCTGGAATCCAATTCAGTTAAGCAAACATTTTTGAGCATCTGCTGTGTTAGAGCTGTGAGAGGTAGAGCTACAAAAAGGAATAATATCTAGCTACAGTATCCTGTAAAGCTTGGCCTTTAAATGTTTAAATCCTATCCATCCTTCAAGGTCCACTTCCTCCATGAAGTCTTCTTAGGTTCCTCAATCAGCTGTAATCACTGGTATTTGCCTCAATTGTAGCTTTGAATGATGCTTTCACCTGCTGACCGAGGACTCCTCAGCCACCTGTACCTAAGGGAGCACAATGGGAATACCCCATAGTTCCATGACTCACCTCTATAGCCGCGTCCCTGAAAAATCGAGTCTTTCATTCCCATGCCTAAAATGTTGCTGCCCAGCATACAATGGGCAGGAAAGGACACAATCAATGGATGGCAAAGACCACCACTTACTTGGCCTCTCCCTATACCTTGCTTGGCTACCTCCCCCCGAGTTCACCTTTGCCTCAGTGGCAAAGGAAGACCCTCCTGTTGCCATGGCTACTGGTCCTCTCCCCATACCACTCTCCTGACCTCCCACCACATCCCCTGCACTTCAAGCTTGAATGCGCCTCAGCTGCAGATGCTCTCACCTCCCCCTCCAGTCCAGGACCTCAGCCTTTCCGGTCCTTCCTTTCATTCCTTCCCACAGTCCTAACCCTTCGCTAGGAAGCCAGAGCTGCTCTGTCCTGGGCCCAGAGCCAGGTTATATTTTGATGCAACCCTAGGGACTCTTTGGGGTTTTTTTCCAGGTTTAGACTTATCGAACATCTTGCCAGACCAGGGAATATAGTCAGATTTCTTTTTCTGCTGCCTATACAGGAAGGAGAAGTGGGGGAGTCCCCTTCTATTATTAGAGAAATTTTGGTTTGCAACAGAAATTCAACTCAAACCAGCATGAATAAAAGGGAGTTTTGGTGAGAATACTGGAACACCCCATGGAATCTGTGAGCAGAAACAGTGAGCAGAACCCTAAGGAATGCAGAAGCCCTGACTTTCCTCCTCTTTTCAGTTTCTCTCTGCGTACTACCTTTCTCTTTTCTTGCTGACTGTTCTCTGTTTACCAGTTCACATGGCAAAAAATGGTCAATAGTTCCCACATTTACATCATCAGTCTTAACACAAAGATATGGCCAGGTGTGGTGGCTCACGCCTGTAATCCCAGCACTTTGGGAGGCCGAGGCGGGCGGATCACGAGGTCAGGAGTTCGAGACCAGCCTGGTCAACATGATGAAACCCCGTCTCTACTAAAAATACAAAAAAATTAGCCGGGCATGGTGGCGGACGCCTGTAGTCCCAGCTACTTGGGAGGCTGAGGCAGGAGAATCGCTTGAACCCAGGAGGTGGAGGTTGCAGTGAGCCGAGATCGCACCATTGCACTCCAGCCTGGGGGACAAGAGCCAGACTCTGTCTCAAAAAAAAAAAAAAAAAAAAAAAAAAAAAAAAAAAAAGACACTGAGAGGGAAACCAATCTATCCTTCATCCTGGGGTCCAAAATTCCCAGGTAAGAGACGGATTGGCCCAGGTTAATTTGAATGTGCTCAATCTGGTCAAGGAGGCAAGATCACATTATCAGAGCACAGCATTTCTGCTGCAACCACATGGACACAAGAAGGGAAGGGAAACTTTCTACAGAGGGGTACTGGGGCCAAAATCCAAAAGGTGTCTCCCAGACCCTCTCATGGAGCAAATTTTAACAGCCACCTCTCTAGGAAACTGGTCCCCCTCATTCTACATCTAGCCACCTAGGCGATATTGCTGATAATATGCTATTTACAGTTGTATCTTTTGCACCACTCCCCACCCCTCCTTAATCTCCTGGAGGACAGGGGCATGCTTAGGGTTGTTTGTGCCCTCCAGTGCTTATCCAGTGCCTGCACTCAGCAGGTTCATCTCATGTCTGCTGAGAGAACATGATGTTTACATGTACCAAGAATTGTTCTGGGCCCTTGACACATTAACACATAATCCTTGAAATAACCCTATGAGGTAGGAACATGTGAGGAGGGCGAGGAGGGTATGTAACTTGTCCAAAATCACAGTTAGTCAGTGTCATAGCCAGGATTCAAACCCAGGTGGTCTGGCACTCTGCTCTTAGTTCCTGGCCAGTAGACTTCACCACCTCTCCATCTGTGTTTGGTGAGTTTCTAGCTTAATCCTCAGGTTTTCTCAAGAGAGCCAAATCTGTAGATGCACACAGGCAGCGGTGTTTCTGGATAAGAAGGGAAAGTAGGAGTCAGGAGGTACTTGGCTCTTCCAAGATGGAACTGGCTACTCTCTCTTTCATGCCCATACCTTATCTGTGCACAGGTAGCACCTGGAACTTTTTCCTTCACCGATTTGTTTATGTGTCTGTTTTACATACATGACCAGTAGTGTTTGTTTTTAAAATTTATTTAATATAGTCTTATTTTAAATAAAAGTATTGCTGGGCAACTGGTTTTAAGTTGTATATGTAGAAGAAAATAATAAAATTAACTATCTCTTATTCATCTCCCCTCTGCTCCACCTCCCTTTCTCCAGTGAAAACCATTTTCAATGTTAAGGTATTCATCTGGTACTTCCCCTATATTTCTAACTCACAGAGTATGTGGCTGTCTCTTGAGTCATTAATTTCAGACATTAGTTATAGACTTCCTATTATGGTAATGAAGATATTAAAATCATGTACATTTTCCTCTTTTCTGCTAGCTCCCTAGTCCCCCAATTTCTGGTTAACAAAGCTTTTGTTATTGTGATTGTATAAATATTGTTTGCTATTAAGCCAAGTAATATATCTTATTTACCTGTACATTCTTGCATATTGTTTTTCTTTTTTCCTGGAGTTAGTAATTGCCTCTAATTTTTATTTGTTTAGTTTTCTATCAGCACCTGACTAAGCCCTCCCATGTGCTCCCACAGCTCTGTGAAACATGGCTCAATAACATTTCCACATTGTCAAGTCTATCAGATTTTTTTTTTTTTTTTTTTTTTTTTTTTTTGCCTCTGAGACATCTTTCCTGGAGCTCTTTGATGTCTTATTCAGGGTTGGCTGCTCTCATGGCCCACTGTTGTCCTACCCTTCCTTCCTTTGCCTACTTCCTGAGAACTCCTTCTACTTTCCTCTTATCTCTCGAGTTCTGTCTTCCACTCCATCCTTTCCTGTTTTATGGACTTACATATTTTCTAGTGTAGCTTTCTGAGGGTACATGGGAGATAATGTTTTTGAGACTTTTCTGACTGAAAATCTTCATTCTCTGCTCACTCTTGAGGTGGGTGACATAGAATTCCAGGTTGAAAATAATTTTCACCAGGCGTGGTGGCATTCACCTGTAATCCCAGCTACTCAGGAGGCTGAGGCAGGAGAACCACTTGAACCTGAGAGGCAAGGGTTGCAGTGAGCTGAGATCGTGCCACTGCACTCCAGCTTGGGTGACAGATCAAGACTCCATCTCAAAAAAAATTTATTATATTATTTAAAATATAATTATTATTATTTTCACTTAGAACCTTGGAAGTGTTCAATGTTATTATTGAGAAGACTGATGTTATTTCAATTCCTGTGTATTGTTTGTGGTCTGTTCCCCAATCCCCCTCAATCCCCCGGTCTCTAGGTTCTTAGGACCACCTTTGTATCCTAGGGTTCTGAATTTATAATGATGTCTGGGTTTTTGTATTCAATATGAGCTGAGCGCGTGGTAGCCCGGTCAGTGTGGAGACTGACACTTTGGGGATGGTTTGCTTATAGGATTTCTTTGATAATTTCCTCCCCACTGTTTTTTCTGGCATTCGTATTAGTTATAAATGAAACGTCTTGGCTTTATCCTTTAATTTTCTTTCTTTCTTTTTTTTTTTTTTTTTTGAGATGGAGTTTCACTCGTTACCCAGGCTGGAGTGCAATGGCGTGATCTCGGCTCACCGCAACCTCCACCTCCCAGGTTCAAGAGATACTCCTGCCTCAGCCTCCCGAGTAGCTGGGATTAGAGGCATGCGCCACTGTGCCTGGCTAATTTTATATTTTTTAGTAGAAATGGGGTTTCTCCATGTTGGTCAGGCTGGTCTCGAACTCCCGACCTCAAGTGATCCACCCACCTCGGCCTCCCAAAGTGCTGGGATTACAGGCGTGAGCCACCGTGCCCAGCTTTATCCTTTAATTTTCTAATTTATTATTTCCAATGTCCCTTTTTTTCTGACTTTCTGAAAGATTTCCTCAACATTGTTTTTGAACACTTCTGTTGATTTTTTTGGTATCACATTTTTAATTCCCAAGAGGTTATAATTTTTCTCTGTTTCTTAGAAAACAAAATTCTGTTCTTGTTTTATAGTTGCAATATTTTCTCTTATTTCCCTGAAGCTATGAATGATGGGTTTTGGTTTGTTTTAATTTGTTTCCTTTCTATTCTGTTTCCTGAATTGTTTCTGTTTCTCTTGGGTTCCCTTTTATTGTTTACTTTAGTCTCTTTCTTTCAAGTTGAGGGCTTTGCTCTAAGGTCTGGTGATCCTTGATTGTTCACTCATATTTAAAACCAAGGCAATAAGAGTGTGACTGAGAGCTCTGTGTGTATGAACAGGACTTTTACAGCAACTCACTGTTTTTTTCCATAGGGAAGCCCAAATGTCAGCATCTGGTCTCTTCTCTGGAGTGGTTTGATCTCTCCACTGGAAAGAGATTCTCCTGGGGCTGGGACATGAAGGAATAAATAGCTTCTGGATTATTAAAGCAGAAGTGGCCTGGGTCTGTTTTCCAGGGCATCCCTGCGGACTCAGCGAGAAGCTAGAGAGGATTGGCTGAGAGGGCAAGGGGTCCATAGACAGCACTGCAAGAGGTTCACACAGACCAAGAGAAATAACCGAGCAGCAGAGAGTCATCAGACTCAAGCAACATGTAGACAGGGATTGGCTATCTCAGCAGAAACCTGAGTGGACACAAGACCAAACACCAGAGGATCACTCACACCCACTATTTGGTACCTTGGCATTGTATAAAGCCTCATAATCTTGGTATCACTCATGGAGAGGTACCTTGGGAAGGTCTGATTTCTTATTTGTTTGTTTTGTTGCCTAACAGTCTGCACAAGGAAAACTCTGAGAAATCAAGTTAAGCTATAGGAAATAGAAAAAATAGTTTGTGGACTGAGATTCATAACTGGTATGCACTATTTGCATATAAACAAATGCCAAGTGTATAAAATAACAATGACATTAAATAAATTCCTAGGCTCCAAATGCAGGAATTCTGAATAGGCTTCTTAGGCTCCCTGGCTGCCCTCAGCCTCTCCATTCTGGGTCTAGGTTGTATCTCTCATTGGAGGAGGCTGAAGAATGCTTCTACTTGCATCTCTGTAGTCATATATCATCTGGGAATCACCAACTCTACAATGGGAAAGCTAAATAAATGCAGCTGAAACTGTTGACATCTCTGGAGAGAATTTCAATCTTTTAGTTTAGGAATCACACATGTGATATACATAGGCATGCACACGTGAACTGGGTTCTTAACTCTAGCCATCACGGGAAAGATGGGGGAATCAAGCTCACTTTCTTCCCAATCCCTGCCCACGGGTCTCTAGGCAGGGCCCCACTGCCTCTGGAGATGCAACCACAGTCCTAAACAGGAATCCAGGGCAGGAGTCTGACAGTTCCAGAAAGGCAGGGTGAAAAAGAGAGATGAATTCAGAGCAGTGAGGCACACAGGAAGATGCTGAAAGGGACTGGACTCTCTCCTGAGCGCTGGTGAGAAGCAGCCCTCGCTCCCCTCCTCCATCTCCCTGAAAGCCCCAGCGCTGAGACAGTGTGTCACCATTATTTTCAGCAATTCTGCTAAGTTGTGTCTCAGAGAAGGGAAAGAAAAATCTCCAGAGGTTTGCATGTTTGATTCACACCTAACACAGCAGCTGTCTGCTGCCAGGAGAAACACTTCTGTGTAGATTTCCAGCAGCAGCCGGAGACAATCCTAAACCTTATTGCCAGTTTGCCTGCCGTGTTTTCTCAGGTCTTGGGGAAAAGTGTGAATGATGTAATGCCACTCCCCACTACTTGCTAGAAATGACTCAGGCACTGGCACTTTGGGGAAAAATAGAAACCTGATCCAGGGGAGGGCACATAGCAAGAGGGGGCAGCAACCTCTCCACCACAACCAGAGGCGATATGTTTCTCTCTTCATAGGTGCACACAGATTGCAGTTCAATAATACTTTATGCTTATCTCAAAGGGGCTTAAACAGTGCCTCATTAAAATCTCATGGCAGCCTCATGATGTATACTAAAGACTCTGCTCCATATTGCAATGAGAGAAACCTAGTCCTGAAAGGTTGGCTGGGGTAGCCCGCATTTAACCAGTAATAGAAAGGCCCAGAAATCCATATTTGTTTTTACTGCCTCTATCTCTCCTCTTTTTCCTCATTCTTTTTGACCAGATTACCCCTTTTAAAGGACTGATTTATTACTACACCACTAAGTATATGCATGCAACCTGATTAATAAAAGCCAAGAAAAAAATCATATTCACAATACAAATGTCTTAGGGGATGATCTTTTTATCAAGCAGTAATTTTTTCACTTTATAAGATGATTCACCTGGGAATCCATTAATGGTGAACTTCCTTGGTATATTTAAATATTGATTTATAGATTGCTGCTTGCCAAGAAAAGTAAGGAAGTGGGGGCAATAAAACTTTAAGCTAAAGTGCCTGATTGTCAATGAGAGCTGAAGAGCAGGTGGAGATTAACAATGGTTTTTGAAATGATGATGTAATCCAATCAGTATAGAATCAATTCACAAACATTCAGCTCACATATGTGTTTGTGTAAAGTGAGCCTTACCTGTAGCAGTGTAAACCCGTAGGTGTAGAACCTCAGAGGACCTTTATGGAAGCTATGAGGGATAAAGGTCAGCGGGGTGGAGGAGTCTGCCTTGACACGGGAGGAACCAAGTGGCCTCACAGAGCTCATCTACCTGGGAGGTTGGGACGGCTGCAGTGGTCAGGGTATCAGGAGGGGTCTGTAGGTGGTGGGCAGGGTCAGGGGCTGTAGAGACCGTGGTCATAAATTCAGATGGAGTGTCCCCTCTCCCCACATGTCATGGCTGGGATTTTGGAGCAGGGATCACTTCTGTGCTGATAACTTTTTGCCTTTCCCCTTAGGAGGCAGTGTGTGCTCCCCAGAGCATTACAAACCTGAGTTCAAATTTGGGCTCCACCCCTTCTTACACCGGAGAACCTGGACAAGATTCCTAACCTCTCTAAGCCTTTAGATTATGCATTTGAAAATGGGGAGAGTAATTAACTACCTTGCAAGGGCTAGCCTCAGAAATGAAGGCTTATTTCTGTGGTAGATTTGCATATAAACAGGCACTCAAAATTAGTAGCTACTATTTTTTATTGGAAGAGAGGCTGAAATGCTATCAGGAGGGGAGAGAAAAGGCTGCACCAGCCAAACTGGGTCGTGTGTGTTTGATGGGATTTCAACAGCGTGGATGAATTGTAAGTCCCCCTCCCCACCAAGCCCTCCCCCTCCGCTGTGCTCAGGTCTGTATGCTCAGCAGCACTGGGAATGGTGCCAGAGGCTGCGCGTTTGCCCAGTACAGCTTGGAGTTTTGCATCAGAAGCAGCGGGGTGCCAATTAGGCACACTCTGGAGGTGGTGATGCAATGCAAAGAAATGGGGTGGTGGAGAATCCGCTGTGGGGTCCGCGGTGGCTGCCGCATCCGGTTTAGGGGCGGCAGAGCCAGCGGGGTGTCTGGGGAGTTCCAGCGTTGGTTGTGGAGTAGGATGTGGTGTCTAGCTTTCAGCAGTAGCACCTGTTTGGTCCTCATCAAAGTGGTTTAGAGGAGGGACTTTTGGCTGCGGAGCCTCCCTTTGTTCTTGTCTGTATTCTGAGACATCCTGATAATTCTGTGGGTTACCCCAAACTCTTAACAAAGTTTTTTCTCTTTAAGTCAGAGAGAGTCCATTTCTGCCCTTATGAACAGAAACTCCAACCCAAACCATCTTACTGAAAGTAGTTCTTCCTTTTACTCAATTCCTTTATGGGATGAATCTCCACTGACAATTATTTTACCAATTTGAAACTTGTTCATGATCTTTCTTCGCTTCCAGAATGCAAGCTACTTGAGGGACCTCGTCTGCTGTCGTCACCATGCCTTTCCCTGCCAGGCTCCTAGGAGCTGCTTGGCGGCGGGTAGTGGTTAAGCCCACAGAGGCTGGGGCCAGACTGCCTGGCTTTGAATGGTGGCTCTACAATTGTGAGATTAACAGCCCCTACTTAAGGTTGTGGGAATTAAACCAGTTAATACACGTAAAGAGCGCCAGGCACGTACTGTTTATGAATGGATGCACTTAGCAGAAATTCAGTTGAGAATAACGGTTGTTTTTCAGGATTTTAAGATCTTTGTCCCATCACCTCCACCCCCACACTCTGGGAGCGATCCTTTCCCAAGGGTCAGGCTGAAAGTTTGCCAGATTGGAATTTCGGGTCTGCTGGGTCACAGAGCCAAGGGCCCAGTCTTCAAGGTGATCTCCACTTCGGAGCACTTTATGCCGCCCACGTTTTGTTCTATAACAATCCCAAACTGGCCCTCCGAGCCTGGGAAGTCGAGTTTCTCCGAAACCACTGAGTCCTGGAGAGCCCCGCGGCCTCCCGCCCTTTCTCCGCAGCCTGAGAGGGCCAGTGGGGCCGCCGCTGCTTCCTGGAAGAGCTTCGCCTTCCGGAGCCGCAGGCCGCGGAGCTCACAAGAGCTTCGGAGCAGGGCATCTCGCGCGGACAGGGCTGGCGATGGGCAGCCGACCAAAACGCCGCGTTCCTGGTGACTGCTTTTCCCTGGCAGGCACGCGTTCGCTGCTCCGCGGCCGCGGCTCTTCCGGGGCCGAGGGCTGCGGCGCGTGAGCCGACGTCTGTGTCCTGCGCAAGCTGCTGATGGTGCCACAGAGCCCGGGGCGGCGAGCCGCGGATATTTGCTGCTCTATTTTAAGATTCTCTGTCCTGTCTGTTTCCGAGCAGTTGTCACTTGGTCAGAGGAAAGGGAAAGCGGGGGTGGAGACAGTGAGGCCCGAGCCTCGGGCGCTTATTACTTCCAGCTGGGTGGAAATTCCCATCCCTCGGAGAAGACAAGCGTGGCCCCTCTCCTCCCGCTCCTCCCACTCCTCCGCCCCCTCCCCCAAAACTGAGTGAGTCAATTCGTCGCTGGTCAGGGCAAGTCTCGCTCATTTTAATAACAAAAATAAGGATAATGCCGCACTATTTGCACAGCATCTCAGACTTTTCAGAGCACTTAAGCACTTTTCAAACACTTTCCTTTTATTTTATTTTATTTTTTTTTTGGAGACGGAGCCTCCGCTCTGTCGCCCAGGCTGGAGTGCGGTGGCGCGATCTCGGCTCACTGCAATCTCCGCCTCCCGGGTTCAAGCGATTCTCCTGCCTCAGCCTCCCGAGTAGCTGGGATTACAGGCGCACGACACCACGCCCGGCCATTTTTTTTTTTTTTGTATTTTAGTAGAGAGCGGGTTTCACCGTGTTGCCCAGGCTGGTGTTGAACTCTGGAGCTCAGGCGGTCCGCTCGCCTCGGCCTCCCAAAGTGCTAAGGTTACAGGCTTGAGCCACCGCGCCCGGCCTCAAAACACTTTTCTCCACTTATTGGCCAAGACACATTATTACTCCCTGTTTGCAAGTGAGAAAACAGAGGCACAGAGAGGTTAGTGTTTGGACATGGTCACACAGCCAGTTAATCATATGACCACAGAGGCTGGATCTCCTGAGTTTTAAACTGAGCTGTCATTCAGTCCATAGCCATTTATTGTCTTTCCTCCCAGGCACGGCGCCTTTCCTGTGCTCGCTCATGAGCTTCTGTGTTATGAAGAATGAAGCATCAAAGGGTAGTGTATGGTTAACTCTGGCGTCTTCCCACTCCGGTGGCTTATTAATTCTCAAGGACAGCCTCATAGGAGAGGATATTCAGGCATGCAAGCAGTTATTGAGTGCCTACTGTGTGCAGCTACTGTACTTTTACACAGCCTATGGGAGAAAGTTTCTTAGCACATAATTACAATGAAATGTGATTAAGTTGTTGATAATGCACAATATTAGGGAAATAGAGAAAGAGGTAATCCATGTTGTCACGGGGCAGCCTTTAAAGCGTTTCCCCCAACTTTTTATTATACAGATTTTCAGGCATGCAGAATAGTTGAAAGATTGTTATAATGACTACCACTTCAATTCAACCAGTATAGATATGTAGATGGATAGAGAGATAGATATAGATACTGCCCCAGAAGCAAAAGTTTTTCTCTGATCTTCTCTTGCCCTCCTGTCTCAGTCTCATTGTCCCACAAGGCAAGCCATAGGAACTAGGAACTAGAATTCCCCTTCTCCAAGGCAGCCGTATAAACCAGAACCCCCTTTTCCCAAAGTCAGCCATGAAACCTAAAATCATTACTCTAATTTTCTCTTCATCTTTCTGTGTAAAAACTGACCATAAAGAAATGATCTGTTCTACGTTGTTCCAGAGAGGGTCCTGCCCCACATCCAGAAGGAAGGTGTGAAAAGAAAATATCTTGGGCCCCTTCAAGCTGGGAACCGCTCAGGGCCTCCCATTCTATTCAGAGTCATCCCTCTGCTCACAGAGATAACAAAGATAGATGCATATTCTGATTGTCTCCTTTGGAAAGACTTATCAGAAACTCAAAAGAATGCAGCCATCTGTCTGTCAGCTACCTGTGACCTGGAAGGTAGGGGGCTTGGTTTGAGTTGTCTCCATCTTTCTGGATAGAGCTAATGTACTTCTTACATATATTGATTGGTGTCTCATGTCTCCCTAAAATGTATAAAACCAAGCTGTGCCCCGGCCACCTTGGGCACATGTCATCAGGACTTCCTGAGGTTGTGTCACAGGCTGGCCCTCAAACTTGGCAAAATAAACTTTCTGGACTGAGAGCTGTCTCAGATTTTCTGGGTTCACAGAGGAATGCATGCTCAGAGAGGCCAAGAAGAATCCAGACAGGCAGGCCTTGCTTGGTTTCCCCACTCAGTCTATTAGCATTAGATCATACCCTTTTTGTTCAATCATATTTCTACATGGCTGTCCATACTTTGTTGTACCCAACCATAAAAATGGACAATTTCCCCTGTGTCTTTGGGTCTTCATTTTGAAGGTTCATGTGTACTCACATTAAATAAATTTGTGTGACTTTTATCCTATTAATCAATCTGCCTCATGTCAGTGATTTTCAGTGAACCTCCAGGGAACCAAAGGCCTTGTCCTCCATAAGATGAAGAGAGTGGCCCCAGGGTCAAAGGCTGCTGAGAGCCACAGTACCTAGACCCTCTTTAAACTGCACCTAGGCAGCTAAAGTTCCTTTCCTCTGCCCCCTCTAACCCCTCCCAAGATGTGAAGGCTAGACTGAACTGTAAGAGAAGGTAAACATTCATTTTGGGAATCCTCTTGGAGCTGGGAATGTGAGCATTTCAGAACTCAGAGCAGGAAAGAACTTTTTGTAACTGTGGGAGCTGGGGATGGAGGAAGTCTGCAGAATGCGTAGCTAACTGCATGGACAGTCAGATGACCCAGTACCAAATCATGGCACGAGCCTTCCATCTCTTCCTCCATTAAGCTCTCTATGCTTCAGTTTCCCCGTCTGTAAAACAATGGTCAGAGGACCTTCTTCAGAGGTTAGTGTGAGGATTAAATGAGACGAGGACTGTAAGAGCCATAAATGTAGAGCACAGTGGAAGTGTGCACACCAGTTGTTAGTGACTATCATTGTGTTTACTGCAGCCAGGGTGTTTGGGACGCCTGGGGACTTGGATCCAGAAAGTTCCCCTGTGGTCACATTTGGAGCAGCACTACAGCTAGATGGCTGGCGGAGGAGGTGTGGCTCACCCAGGCTCAGTCACACAGCTCACCGCGTGTGCCCCCCTGCTCAAATGTGTGGGGCCTATTAGGGAGAGCTCATTTCTATCTCTGCAAAAACATCATGCACCCCCTGCTGTGCTCTTCTCTCTGTCCACCTGGGCCTGTTTCTAGGACAGCTGCTGTGTCAGGGGCTGAGGGCCTGGGAGCTTGTGAAAGGACCACCTGTTCCCATTGCTTTCTCCGGCCCTCCTCCCCCGCCGCCACTCTGCCGGCCCAGCCTCCCAGCTGCTCACACATCACACCACGTTTCTCCCTCTGCTCAGGTGTTGTGAGCACATTGTGAGAGGCATGATCCCTTCCAACTTGTCGCCACATTACAGCTAGTGTTGGTGCTTTTGTTGAGCCTCCCCTGCTTTCCTATAAAATGGTTTTTCTTCTGTGCCCCTGCACCAGACTGCCCCACCCCCACCCCCTACTCTCCCTGTTGACATGGGGACTCCTGGAAGGTGACTCAAAGGAGGAGGAGGTACCCCACAGAAAGTAGGTCCTTAACTCCCAGGAGATGACAAAGCCCCTCCCATGCCTCTGACCTGACATCTCTGCACGTGTGTGTGGTATTCACATGTTGGGGCTTGCTGTTCCTGGGGTCCTTATGTCTCATCTGTGGCCTAGGTAAGCACCTAGAAATTTCTGACTAGAACAAGGAGGAGAAATGGCCTGAAGTAGCAGCCAAGGTCCAGGGGGAGAGATGCTCAGAGGCTAGGGAACATGGGGACAAGGCATTGAATAGCCCTGGGGTTGGACCTTGTGGATAGAACTGGGTTTCTAGCCTGGCACTCCCATTCACTAGGTGTGTCACTGTGGGGAGATTACTTACGCACCGATGTCTGTTTCCCCTTCTGTACAGGTGGCATCTGTAAGGCCCTGAGTCCAGCGTTGGATCATGGAGGGCCCTAAAAATGGTAGTTTCCTTTTCTCTAAGACAGGGCCTGGAGGAAGACCAGACATCAACCTCCCAAGCTGGCTGAAATCGTCTTACTGTCTGACACAGAGCCGGGTTCTCCCTAGTACATGCTGCTCTGGAATACCTAGGAGAGGAAGAGGAAGGAGGCAAGGTAAGCTGGGGGCTTTTCACACTAAAGGCCTACAGAGGGGTAGGTGGAGTCGGCATAGGTGCCATGTGTGTTTGGTGTCTTGCTTCCGACTCTAGCTGGGCTCTGGAGCCACTGATGTCTGCTTGACCCTTCCCTGATTTTGCTCCAGTTTGCTCTGCACTGGGAGACTGCAAGCCACAGGGGGAGGGGAGTGTAAGAGGGCTGCAGAGTAATAAGTTTCACTGCATAATTCAGCCCTCCTGGGACCCGTTTCCAGAAAGCTGACTGGCTGAAGTTTAGCTGAGAATGCCTGCAATCTGGAGGATCTGGGGCAGGCAGGGTTGACAGTTAATCTCCAAGGATATTCACCATGTTTGGAGTGGGATTCATTCACTCATTATTTAATGAGTGTCTCTATTGTGTTAGACACTGCACTAGGCACCGAGATTTGGGCTCCAGACCTCCCTGAGGCTGTTTTAGACCTGTCCAAGTAAGCATCCACATCTCAAAGGCAGCTTTGGAATGGAGGAGAGAACACTGAATGTCTCTGGAAACAGAGGTAGTCTGATATGTTGAGTTTTCCAAGAAATGAGGGTGGTTGGCCACTCATAGAGGTTCTCCTCTGCGAAGGTCTTTCAGTTCCCTGCCCCTACACACACACACACACACACACACACACACACACACACACACAAACACACACAATATTTGAGAGTAAAACAATGTTCTCTCCTCACCTATTCTATATCCCCGTTCTCTTGACACAACAGTTAGGCCAAAGAGCAGAATACTTTCCTCTTGCCCACGATGTTACACATCAGCACTGGCTGTTGCCTTGGTGAGAGAATATGGTGTGGGGAGCGATGGTCAGAATCCCTCCTCTACTCCCAGATTAGGGGTGGCACCTGTTAGATTTCTTCTGGTGCTTATTTCCTTCTAGAGATAGAGGCACCATCTGGGGTGCTATGCCTGTCTGACTTTCCAGTTCTAAAATAAAAATGTGCTCCATCCTCAGTTTGCAAAGGACTAGGGGACGGGAAATATAAACATCACCTTTCAGTCATTTGCAAATCCCAGGCCTCACGTTTCCCCCCTCTAATCTTTCATTCTGACTGGCTTCTCAGGGTCTTGGAAAATCATTACAGTAAAATGCAGATTCTAATAAGCCTTGTTTCTAAGTCTTAGTGAATGGAAATGAGATACTCTCAGAAAAATGACTTTTGTGACAAAGGTGAAGAAGGCAAGGAGGAGGTATGGTGGGAAAGAGGAAGACATTTAGAAACTCAGGCTTCTTAGGTAACTCTCTTACTTCGGAAATGGAAGTGTTAAGGTGAGATGGGCCCATTTATTACTGATGACTTACTTGGTACTTTAGGGAATGCAGCAAGGTGATGGCAGGGGTGGGCAGGGGTTTGCAGAGTGGAGACAGCATGGGCTGGTGAGCACAGGGAGAGGTGGAGGAAGCTGGGCGCTGGCAGGCAGGGAAAGTTCGGGAGCCTGGAGGGAGGTAGACTATCGGGTTATAGGGTGGGGTGAAGTGGACCTTACAGTCAGGCAGGTAAGCTCACGGGTTTCAGACCACAAAACGCTAAGATCTGGGCCTGGGAAGGGCCAAGCCAGCATGTGAGAACCAAGAAAGCATAAACCTCAGAGGGCCAGGCGCCATCCCCCAGCTCTCAGGTTCCCAGGAGGATGGGGAGGAACAAAGGTCTTGGGTTTTGACACATCCCAAAGACTTTGGGAGCTGCCCCTGGTCTCCCTCCCAGGTGGGAACCAGGCTTTTCCATGAGCAAAAGAAGATGGGACAGCATGGGCTGGAAAGTGTGGCAGGGGAACACAGAGCTGAATTCTGAGTTTTCCTGAAAAAGAGATATAAAAACCCACATGCTAACAGAGGGACTTGAGCAGAGAAAGGGACTCTCCACAGCCATACTCGGGAACTGTATACACAAGGGACTGGGAAGTGAAGCAGCAGAAAAATCCAGAGCCTGTGATGACATCACAGCTAAGGGCAAAGACAGGAAGTGGAAAATGTGAATGGGGAGGGAGGAATGGAGTGAGCAAGAAAGAGAGGATACAAGGAAACAAAACTGCAGAAGACAGAAGGATGACCTGAAACATTGTGCCGTGATTCCCCAAGGATGTGCTTCATTCTTCTCATAGCAAGCCAATTCTGAGTTCTAGAAAATACCACATGGCAAGCCGACGTAGTGTTTGCTTAGGAACCCAGGTCCTGGAGTTGGACTATCTGAAATCAAAACCCAACTCGACCACCTAATAGCTTTGTGGCCATAGGCAAGTTACTTAACCAATCTCTGTTTACTCAACGTAAACAGAGTTTACTCAAATGTAAAATGGGGAAAATATATTACTGATCTTATGAGTGTAATTGTGAGCATTGAAAGAGATACTTCAAGTCAAAGCACACAGAACAGAGCCTGGCACATAGTAAGTGTTCGATAAATGTTAGCTTTTATTATTTGTGTTGAAACAGAAGCCATCTACCCAGCCAACATTTATGGAACATATGCAGAACTGAGCATGGTGATAGGGGCTGAAGATAAAAAAAGATGACCAAGGCAATAGTCCCTGCCCTCCAGGAGTGCACAGAGGAAACAGACTGTACATTGATTCTATCAGTACAGGGCAACAGGGATGGCTCAAAGGAGGCCTGGCCAACTCTGCTTGCAGATGCGGGGAGGGAGGAGGAATTAGGGATGGTATGATAGAATAGAAGGCAGTTGAGCTAGGTCTCAAAAATAGGTAGAAAAGTCAAGAAAAGTCAATACCAATGTATGGTTCTAGGACTTAGGCTAGTGGTCACCTCTGTTTAGGGGAGAAATTTGCTGGAGCAGGCATGAGGAGTGATGGAAGCCATAGCTTGATTACATATTGGTTACATGGGTGTATACATTTGTCAAAACTCATTGAATTGTACTCTTAAGATTTGTGCATTTTATTATATGTAATTGTATCTCAATATATAAGTAAAATCAGTTTATTGAAAAATATTTTTTTAACTGAGTAGTACAGGAAGGGGAAGGACCTTCAGGCCAAGAGAATTTTATGCTCAAGGGTTTGTGGGTATAAGGCAGCATGATGCCCAGGATAATGTGCCAATTGCTGAGTTTGGCTGGAATTTAGGGTGTATAAAGGATATGAGACCAAGTGGTTAGAGCCTTAGATGCCTTACAGAGGAGTCTAGACGTCATCCTCCAAGTCTAGGTTTGGGAGAAGTGGGGAGGGAGGGAAAAGAAGAAACCAGAGAGGACTAATATAGCAGCAAAGCAAGCTGCATGCAATACCCTAAACAGTAATCATTAATCATAGTAAAAGTCATTTCCTACAACCAGGCTGAATTTGGTCAACTTCTCCTACCCAGGAGGAGAGGGTGCCCAAAGTTTTTGTCATGAACCAGTGGGGAAATGTCCCCAGTGATTGCCTATTTCACTTCTGCTGGAGATGATCACTGCCTCCTCATTCAGCTGCTTCAGGATACGCTCTTAAATCTAAAAGTGGCATCCAATTGTGTCCCACAACCCTAAGTGCTTCTGCAGCATTTAATAAATTCCTTAGTCTTTCTGCACCTTTGCTGTACCTGCAAATGATAAGAGCTTTTCCTGTTTCTTTCACTTTCATGCCTCCTCCTACTTCTTCTGCTTTTCACTGGCTACCATGGCTCCATCACTTCTTTTTCAATACTGTCAACCGTCTCTAATCAGCCTCTTCCCTTGACATCTGTTTCTGTGACAAACAATAGTTTCCTTTCACTTTCCCTGCTCCCCACCATGCAGTTCTATTTCCTTAGCTAGATTATAAGGTCCTTGAATTCAGGGAAGAGCCTTAAAAGCTATTGTTTTCCCACCAACTTGGGAATATAGTAAATTCATAAGAAATATGTATTTGTAGATTGATGATTGAATTTGGAGGACCTAAACCACTGTGAGGATCATCTGAGCTAAATCAGAAAAATGGAGGAAGAGTTCTCATTTCTGCTTACCATTATCAGTAGACAAAGATCCCCATCTAGACTTCTGCCTCCATGGAAAGGGTAGTGCTGGGGGCTGGGAGCTGAAGGAGATGAAAGGCAATATGGCTGGGATGCTGTGGGACATTTAATCTTGACTACGGCTTTGCCCAGACTGCTGACCCCAGATGACCCAGGGTGCAGAGCCGTGCCCCCATGCTGCCATCCATTAAAGAGATCACATCTGCTCTGGGAGTGCTGGGCAAAAATGAGGTCAGGTTTTGTCCAAGCCAGTGCAATTCATAAGTGAGCTCAACTTGCTGGATTTACAGCAACTGTCGAGTCATCCTGCATTACCGAAACTGCAGATATGAACCGACCTGCTGGGAAGATAATTTGGGATAAATTGTGAACTTCAAAAAGTTTCTGCCTGGAAACTGAAGAGGTAACCATGGCAACAAAGAGGCAGGTTGAACTTGGAGAGGGCCGTTCATCTAGAGTAGGGAGCTTTGTGCTCTCAGATTTGCTGGTCTGTGCACTGTGCATCAATGCCTTTGTTTTTTTTGCAATGGCGCGATCTCGGCTTACTGCAACCTCTACCTCCTGGGTTCAAGAGATTCTCCTGCCTCAGCCTCCCAAGTAGCTGGGATTACAGGCACCCACCACCATGCCTGGGTATGTTTTTGTATTTTTAGTAGCGACTGGGTTTCGCCATGTTGGCCAGGCTGGTCTCGAACTCCTGACCTCAGGTGATCTGCCCGCCTCAGCCTCCCAAAGTTCTGGGATTACAGGCGTGAGCCACTGCTCCTGGCACCGTTTATTTTGCTTTCTTTATCAGAGCAGGAGAAAGTACTAGCTCAGGAATTGGGAGATAGGATCCAATTTCCAGCTATTTCCTGTTCCAGTACACTTAACTAAGAGTGCCTCAGGTGTACTTAACTAAGAGTGCCTCAGTATACACTGCCTATACTGTATTCCAAGAGGCACAAAAGACTCACTAATTTTCCTTATTGCTAGCAATCCCAGTATCCCTATTAAGTAAAACTGAAAGCTATTATAACATTTATTGACTGCTGACTACATGTTGAGCACTGTCATATAAGCACCTTATATGTTGTCACGGATGCTGTGCGGTGCCACCCAGATCCCGTCTTGGGGACTGTGATCATCATTTCCCAGGGTGTTAGTCTCTCTCCAGGAATTGCTCTTGACAAAGGGCACTGCCTTAAGATTAGGCTGTCTTCTTGGGCAGCTGTATGCAATGAATGGTCTTTATGGGGTTACCAGGGCCTTGTCCTCTTGCTTCAGTGGACAGTTCCAAAGGGCCAGCTGAGCTTCCGGGCATTCCTTGGAACCAGCTGGGGTCTCTGTTGAAATGGCATGGCCTTCAACTCCTCCCTCTGCCCAGACCTGCTTTCTTTACTCCCTCTTAATTCTGATAACTCTCCCCAGTAAACCTCCTGCATGCAAGTGTCTACCCGAGTCTAGTTCCTAGGAACTCAAACTAAGAATTAATTTATTTAGTTCTCACAACCACCTTATGAAATAAGTTGTTCTCTTCGTAGAGACAAGGAAATGGAGGCATAGAAAGGTTAAGCAGTTTGCCTCGTCTCCCATCAGTAGCCAGTTAACAGTGAACGTGGCCTTCCTGCAGCTGGGTCTTCAGCAGGTCACCTGGCAGAGCCATGACTTGAAACCTGAAAATCTAACTCTAGACCCTGTACTTTTAACCTCACATACAGCCTCTTAATAGCAATCCCAATGCCTTTATGGGAAGATGAGGTGAGAGGAAGGGCATTTATTACCTTTATGTCAGAGATGGAGACAATAAGGTATTAACTGCTTAAACCCAGGATCGTCCACAGGTATAGCCGTGACCGGGTACTAACCTTTGTGTGTGTGTGTGGTGTGTGTGTGTGTGTGTGTGTGTGTGTGTGCAATGGAAAAAGAATGGCAAATTCACATTTGAATTTTGGAGCCAACACTTACTAGCTGCACATCTTTGAGCAAGTTATTTAATAACTAAGACTTTGAGCAAGTCTTACTTATGTGCCTAGCACATAGTAGGTGTTCAATAAACTACTCATCCCTATTCCACTTTTCTGTCATCTCCAACTGTGATCTTGGACAAGTTTATTTAGCTTTCTGATTCTCGATTTCTTCATCTATAAAATGGAGATGATGATGAAGAGCTTACTTAGCCCCGTGTCCATCATGGTAAGAGCCTCGTAAAGGGTACTTATCAGTATAATCAGATGCTGTTTTGCCCAGGTTTGCACCCTGTGCGCCTGTCCTCAGGACCCAGCAGGCTCAGACTTGCCTGCGATCAAAGAAAGCCCTGTGTGCCTCCCAGACCCACCACCCCCGTGCAAACTCTCTCAACACGACACCGCTGCGTGACTTTCCTGCTGTTACTAGAGGTCGGCAGGTACTTTTCCCTAGGAAACTGGGTGTGCACGTCTCATCCCCGTGCCAATTCTCTTGCCGCTTTTCCTTCCACACGCGGCGTCCTCTGGGCGGAGGGTGCAGCTCCGCGTGCTCCAGCTGCCGCGAAAGTTGCACCCGGCCCAGTCTGGCTGCGGGCCCCGCCTCCGCCTTCTCAGCGCCCAGCCCCACCCTCCGATTGGTCAGCAGTGCCCAGCCCCGCCCCGCTCCTCCGAGGGGATTTAAAGCAGCGGCCGCTCAGTCTGGGCGCTTGCAGGCTGCTAAACCCAACCGCAGTTGACTAGCACCTGCTACCGCGCCTTTGCTTCCTGGCGCACGCGGAGCCTCCTGGAGCCTGCCACCATCCTGCCTACTACGTGCTGCCCTGCGCCCGCAGCCATGTGCCGCACCCTGGCCGCCTTCCCCACCACCTGCCTGGAGAGGTAAGGGGAGGTTGTCCAACTGCTTGGGGGAAGTCCCACCAACTCTTAGGGAGTGGAGCGGCAGGCCTGGGGACCTGGGTGGGCGCGGGGATGGGGCGCTAGAGGCTTGAGTAGAGAGGTAGAAGCGCACTTGATGCCACGTGCTCAGATTCCAGGAGCAGGGAGAAAGCAAGGGGAAGGGAAGCAAGGGCCCGCGGCTTGCTGCCATCCCCATCCTCTGACAAACTGCAGTCGTGCTCAGGTGACCTGCTGAAGACCCGGCTGCGGGAAGGCCACGTTGACATTTCCAGGCAGCACTGAGCCTGCCCATTTCTTAAGCATTTGTTTTTCATTCCTCAGACCAGAGCTAGGGGCATTGCCTCCTCTGCCCCTGGAAGACAGGGAGATTTTTTTTTTTTTGGTGGGGTGTGTGGGGGTGGGGGCTCCCACTGTTGAGGGTGTGTCCATATTCCAGAGAGCTACTCAACAGCTTCCAATCCTTACTGGCTGGGAAGGAAAAAGTAAAGATGAAGGCAGGAATCAGTTTCCCACACAGTTCAGAAATACTTCTGAAAAGAATGCTGAGTTCTTTTCTGAATCAACAGGCACGAAGAGAGATCAGTGTGACTTTAGGGAAAAGCCCATATATGCAGCGTGTGTATTACCCAGAAAGTGTAAGACCTACCACAGCATAGCTCAAACATTGCTTTTGTTGCTTTGGGGTTGATGATGCTGATAAGAGAAGCACTCTTGGCCTGGGGACAGCCAAGAGTTTCCAGGAACTCTTGAGGCTAAAGTTTGGGTGGCACCACCCAGAGCTCTTCTGGGACCCATAAACCTCTCCACACTGGCTGAGCAAATGAGAGAATGCTTTCATGTTCCTGATTTGTTTTTCAGAGCCAAAGAGTTCAAGACACGTCTGGGGATCTTTCTTCACAAATCAGAGCTGGGCTGCGATACTGGGAGTACTGGCAAGTTCGAGTGGGGCAGTAAACACAGCAAAGAGAAGTAAGTGTTGCTGACCAGCTCAGGGCTCCGAGAGGGAAGGGAGTGGGAAGGGAGTCATGAGGAGGGAAATACAGGGAGAAGCCAGGACACGCTAAGTGGACCTTGGCAACACCTCCCTAGAGATTTTAGTGGGACTTGTTGCTGGTCTGTTATGACTACTTGGCTCATGGGTGAGTGGGTAGGTGGCTCCAGGGCTCCAAGTCCATCCACGGATGAGGGCACACAGGGCATGAATGCCTAGTTCCCAGACTCTCCCACCTCGGGATTCATTGCACGTGCATCCAGGGCTAGGACAGAATCCAAGACCACTTGAAGTTTTCTAGTATGCACCTTGCCTAGAAACTCTTTCATATTGGCTATCAACTGTACCAAACTCTGGAGTTATGTGTAGATGTAATCTCTATTTATGAGGACCTTATTTCCTTGGGAAGGTGTACAAAACAAATCTTTGAGAGTCAGGGGAATTGAAATAATTTTTGGACAGAGACGAGACAGGCTTAGAGATATTGACTGAGGACTAAAGAGTCCCTGGCTTTGATTTCTGGTTGCTGAATTGTGCTCTAGAAAGCACTACTGCTTACCCTAAGTCCAACTAAGAGTTTGAGGTGTCAGCTTCAGCAATCACCAAGCAAGCCTTTCTGTGAATTTTATGCAGTTTTCCATCAGAGTTCTGGCTAGAATTTGTACTATGCTTTGGTTTGTTGATTTTTTTTCTTACTCTTTTTTTTTCTTTTTGTCTTTTAGTAGAAACTTCTCAGAAGATGTGCTGGGGTGGAGAGAGTCGTTCGACCTGCTGCTGAGCAGTAAAAGTGAGTAGGAGCCTTTTGTGTCTGTCTCTGGGTGGCACATGTGTACTCATGTGCTTTGGAGCCAGCCCCAGGACTGCTGAGAGCCTGGGCAGAATAATAGTAGTAGTAATAATAATAATAATGATCCCCTAGTGTGCCAGCCTCTATTCAACATATAAAGGCAGGTCATTGTTCAAGAAAATTATGTTCTAAAAATAGAGCCATTAATTGCAATTGCTTTCCTTTCTTCTTGTATTCCCTGCTGTCCCTCCAGCTGACCTATTTCCTCTTCTTTCCCGCAACCCCAGATGGAGTGGCTGCCTTCCACGCTTTCCTGAAGACAGAGTTCAGTGAGGAGAACCTGGAGTTCTGGCTGGCCTGTGAGGAGTTCAAGAAGATCCGATCAGCTACCAAGCTGGCCTCCAGGGCACACCAGATCTTTGAGGAGTTCATTTGCAGTGAGGCCCCTAAAGAGGTTAGAGCCCCCATATGCCCAGTGAATCCTCACGACCCTGCCTGCTCCTTCCCCTCTGAGAATCAGGGCTAGAGGGGAGGAAGGGCTAGGTGTAGAGGTAGAAGGGCCTTACTTGGCACAGGGGTGACTGGGCTTCTGTGACCAGAGACTAGGAAAGCCAGGCCCAGTGCCACTCCTGGGTGCTTAACCCTAAGACTCATGATGGGGCAGGATGTGTTGGCAGGTTTTTCGGCTTCTGTCCATACCCACCTTTATAAACCCATCCGTTTTTAGAGGCTCAAAACACTTAGCAACTGGGGAGACAAGGTCAGCACAGGGACCTTATGTAACCTGGCTCAGTCCCCAGGCTGACCTGCCTGAGGCCTGCTGGTCTGTGGTCTGTGATTTTTTTGTCTACCTTCTCTCCTGGCCGCTAAACGCATGGCAGCTGCATTTGCTAAAGAACACAGCGCCACCTGGTGGAAAGATAAGAGTAATGCCTTACTTTTGTACCTTATTTTTGTTTTCTGACCGCTGATTGATTCCACATAATTCTGTAAAGGTGTATTGAGCCCCAATTATATTCAAGACACTGTTACAGTCACTGTGTATGTCACAGTGAGCCACACAAAGTCCCTTACCTAATGAAACTTATAATTTGAATGGGGGAAGATGCCAATAACCAACTAGACAAATATATGCCAGGTGATGAGCTATGCACTCATAAAAATACAGCAGGAAATGAGAGACAGGGAGTACCAGAGGTAGGGCCTGGGAAGACGTAAGGTTTTCCATTCTGTAAAGGGAAGTGAGGACATATGAACAGAGATAAGAAAGAATTCAGGGAGGGAAGAACATTCCAACACAGGAAGCAGCAAATGCAATGGCCAGAGCCTGCCTGTCACAGTCACGGATGAGCAAATGGACCTGTGTAGAGCAGGGCAAGAGCAGGAGATGAGGTCAGGCATGAGGAGGATGGCCAGGTGTGGGCTTGGGGAGCCTCGTGGGCCCAGCAAGCCCTTTGGCTCTTCTTCTGAAAGACATGAGGAGACAACAGAGGAGCTACCAAACTGAGTTGGGTTTTTAAAGGCTCACTGTAGCGACTGGGTAGAGAACAAACCACAGGGGTGGGGGGTAAGGTAGCAGAGAGACCAGGTAGGAGGCCTTGGTGCAAATCCCAGGAGAGCTGATAGTGACTTGAAGCAGGGTTGCTGTAGAAGAAAGGGTGAAAGGGGATTGCGTTTGTATACATTCTTGATAGATCCTCATGTTAATTCTGAGAGATTGGAGGACAGACACTGGATCAGATGTGGGTACAAGCCCAGAGCTGAAAAGCTAGTGATCAACTCAGGAGCCCCCACTTCCTGATGCAGCATCCGATGCTCTTTCCAATGCCCAGCCTGCCGTTGGCCCTCCCTCAGCCATGCCCACCCTCTTCCCCAACTCACCCTGTGTGTGTCCTCCTTCCCGCAGGTCAACATTGACCATGAGACCCACGAGCTGACGAGGATGAACCTGCAGACTGCCACAGCCACATGCTTTGATGCGGCTCAGGGGAAGACACGTACCCTGATGGAGAAGGACTCCTACCCACGCTTCCTGAAGTCGCCTGCTTACCGGGACCTGGCTGCCCAAGCCTCAGCCGCCTCTGCCACTCTGTCCAGCTGCAGCCTGGACGAGCCCTCACACACCTGAGTCTCCACGGCAGTGAGGAAGCCAGCCGGGAAGAGAGGTTGAGTCACCCATCCCCGAGGTGGCTGCCCCTGTGTGGGAGGCAGGTTCTGCAAAGCAAGTGCAAGAGGACAAAAAAAAAAAAAAAAAAAAAAAAAATGCGCTCCAGCAGCCTGTTTGGGAAGCAGCAGTCTCTCCTTCAGATACTGTGGGACTCATGCTGGAGAGGAGCCGCCCACTTCCAGGACCTGTGAATAAGGGCTAATGATGAGGGTTGGTGGGGCTCTCTGTGGGGCAAAAAGGTGGTATGGGGGTTAGCACTGGCTCTCGTTCTCACCGGAGAAGGAAGTGTTCTAGTGTGGTTTAGGAAACATGTGGATAAAGGGAACCATGAAAATGAGAGGAGGAAAGACATCCAGATCAGCTGTTTTGCCTGTTGCTCAGTTGACTCTGATTGCATCCTGTTTTCCTAATTCCCAGACTGTTCTGGGCACGGAAGGGACCCTGGATGTGGAGTCTTCCCCTTTGGCCCTCCTCACTGGCCTCTGGGCTAGCCCAGAGTCCCTTAGCTTGTACCTCGTAACACTCCTGTGTGTCTGTCCAGCCTTGCAGTCATGTCAAGGCCAGCAAGCTGATGTGACTCTTGCCCCATGCGAGATATTTATACCTCAAACACTGGCCTGTGAGCCCTTTCCAAGTCAGTGGAGAGCCCTGAAAGGAGGCTCACTTGAATCCAGCTCAGTGCTCTGGGTGGCCCCCTGCAGGTGGCCCCTGACCCTGCGTTGCAGCAGGGTCCACCTGTGAGCAGGCCCGCCCTGGGGCCTCTTCCTGGATGTGCCCTCTCTGAGTTCTGTGCTGTCTCTTGGAGGCAGGGCCCAGGAGAACAAAGTGTGGAGGCCTCGGGGAGTGGCTTTTCCAGCTCTCATGCCCCGCAGTGTGGAACAAGGCAGAAAAGGATCCTAGGAAATAAGTCTCTTGGCGGTCCCTGAGAGTCCTGCTGAAATCCAGCCAGTGTTTTTTGTGGTATGAGAACAGGCAAAAAGAGATGCCCCGAGATAGAAGGGGAGCCTTGTGTTTCTTTCCTGCAGACGTGAGATGAACACTGGAGTGGGCAGAGGTGGCCCAGGACCATGGCACCCTTAGAGTGCAGAAGCTGGGGGGAGAGGCTGCTTCGAAGGGCAGGACTGGGGATAATCAGAACCTGCCTGTCACCTCAGGGCATCACTGAACAAACATTTCCTGATGGCAACTCCTGCGGCAGAGCCCAGGCTGGGGAAGTGAACTACCCAGGGCAGCCCCTTTGTGGCCCAGGATAATCAACACTGTTCTCTCTGTACCATGAGCTCCTCCAGGAGATTATTTAAGTGTATTGTATCATTGGTTTTCTGTGATTGTCATAACATTGTTTTTGTTATTGTTGGTGCTGTTGTTATTTATTATTGTAATTTCAGTTTGCCTCTACTGGAGAATCTCAGCAGGGGTTTCAGCCTGACTGTCTCCCTTTCTCTACCAGACTCTACCTCTGAATGTGCTGGGAACCTCTTGGAGCCTGTCAGGAACTCCTCACTGTTTAAATATTTATTTATTGTGACAAATGGAGCTGGTTTCCTAGATATGAATGATGTTTGCAATCCCCATTTTCCTGTTTCAGCATGTTATATTCTTATAAAATAAAAGCAAAAGTCAAATATGACATCCTGTCTTCAAGTGCTGTGTGGGTCAGGGGAAAAGGGGAAGTGTTGTGGAGAGCTCTGGGGAGGAGCTGGCTTTTGGGAATTCCACAGGACAGGCGAGTAAGCTTCCATGGCACAGGCAGAAGTACAGGGAGAGCTTGATATTCACCTGGTACCTGCCAGAGTCAAGAGAAGGGATAGGTTCTAACGAGGCTGCTATGATCAGTGACTTTTTAAGCTCGTGACAGCCCCACTTGTGTTGGGCTGTTGTGTGGATTGGACTGGGCTCAGCCCACTGTCATTTCAGAGCCCGTATCTTTTGCCCACCTGGCTGGGACTCGGCATGAGCCATTTCCAATTCTGCCTGTAACAGTGCAGGGGTCAGTACCCCTTGGTCAAGTAGCAAGACATCATCAGTTAGGTGGTGACTTTTGTAGGATTTTTACTTTTAAAAGTAATTTGTAATTAAATTCAATTACAAATCTTTTGTAATTTATATTCAAGAAATTATTATTCTTTTTATAATTTCATAGAAGTATCTGAGATGAGGTATATGAAGCCACTCTGTACATGAGGCTGCTCCATTCCATGGGCCAAGGGAATAAGGGTTGAACTGTGCTTGAAAGAATTTGGGGGTACGGAGACAGGCGCGGTGGCTCATGCCTGTGAGCACTGAGGGAGGGAGGCTGAGGAGGGTGGATCACTTAAGCCCAGGAGCTCAAGACCAGGCTGGGCAACATGGCAAAACCCAGTTTCTACAAAAAGTCAAACATTAGCAGAGTGTGGTGGCACATGCCTGTAGTCCCAGCTACTTGGGAGACTGAGGTGGGAGGATGGCTTATGCTGGGGAGGTCAAGGCTGCCATGAGCTGAGATCACTCTACCGCACTCCAGCCTGGGGGACACAGTGAGACCCTGGGGGTAGGTTTGCAAGGATCAAAATCTGTTCTTCCTCTGCTAATTGCCTGCTTGTTCTCCTTTTTCATCCTACTGAATCCCTCTCATTTTTTTCTGATTACGACTACTTAAAAAAATGTTTTCTTCTCTGTTGAATGATCTGTTTATACACAGATCTGGACCTTAAATGAACCTTTATTTCTTCCCTATTGATAGTCTGAGTAAAGTGATCAGACTTCAGGAACATGGGGTAGAAATCCCCATAGAATCACATCTTAAGCACAGATCTAAGGAGGGATTCTGTGGGTGACACCAGGGAGGATCCTGAAATTAAGGGCCTGGGAAGGAAGACAGGGACCAACACTGTGGCAGGCCCTGAGCTCTGTTAGTCCTTACAACAGCTCTGTGGAGTGGGTCTGAACACTTTATCATCCAGAGAAGGAAACAAGCTCTGAGAGGGAGGGACATGCTTGGGGCAGCCAGCCAGTGAGTGGCAGAATGGGGATCTGAACTCAGTTATGCCATGGGGAGTCCAGTCTGTGAAAGATGGGTGGAGGAATGTGACTGATAAGGGAAGGAAGAGCGGAGGACCCAGAAAGACAGGGAGGTACTAACACTCGCCCTTTCCTACTGCTCTCCTTCCATCTTTATGCCTTTAACATGCATGTATTGAGTGCATCGAAATCCCTCAGACCCAAATGCGTTGGGTCCAGCTTCTGCACAGGCTCACCAAGGCTTCCTTAGAGGACTCTCTCATCCTCTCCAATCAGATACCACAATTTCCCGGCGGGTCTCCCTACCCCAGCCTCTCCCTGTGCTGGTTCATTTTCCACACTGTGCCAGTCTTCAGCTCTAAAGCACAGATCTGAGCACTTTGTGGCTACGTTAGAACCCCTCAGCGGTTCACTTTTGACTCTAAAATAAAGTCCAGCTTTAATCCTGACACACAAGGGGGTCTCTGACCTGACCCAAGTCCCTCTCCAGACGTATCTCCTGCCTGGACAGCCTTCATTCTCAGACTTTTCCCTTCTCTCTCTCTCTCTTTTTTTTTTTTTGTGGCTACACATGCTGTTCTCTCTGCCTAGAACACCTCTTTCTCCTCTTTTTTAGAAAAAATTGGGGGTTGAGGTGCGAGGAGGAGAATGCCAACTTTCAAAATCCAGCAAAAACATCACCTCCTCAGTGAAGCCTTCCCAGATGTCCCTGTACAGAGTTAATTGCTCCCAACTTGCATGATTCTAAGACACAGTGTTCTTACTTTGATTGTAGCACATATGGTATTCCTCCATAACTTCTTTCTTCATGGCTTTTGCTCTCCTATTAAACTGAGCTCTTCAAAGTCAGGGTCATATTATTCACCTTGGTGAGATGGGGCAGAACAGACTACAGCAAAGCAGTTCTCCAGTCCCAGCTGTGGAGCCGGAATGTTGGGTTGGAATCCTGGCCATTCACCTTGGAAAGTTGCTTAAGCCTCAGCTGTAAAATGAGGATAATAAGAGTAAGCGTCACAGGGAACACTGAATGAAATAAAAGTGTGCGGCACAATGTTAATGCCTCATGACTATTGGCTATTATTATTATCTGATTCCCAGTACTTAGCACAGTGATTTGTATACAGTAGGCATTAGTCAAGTCAAAAAGTCTTTTGACTTCTTGAATAAAATGGCAGGATCAGAATTTCAACTCAGGATTCTAAATCTACTTTTTTTTTTAGCTGCTTCAGTACCATATTTTGTCTGATGTTTACAGCATTCCAGAATTTCAGAAAAAGAAATGGAAGGCTGGAGGCATTAAGTAAGCCAGGGTATTAGAGGGACCATGGGATTCCTGGAAACCAGGTCAGCCAACGCTGTTTTCAAATATGTGCCCTGTGACTGTGCGAGGCTGCTTGTCTCTCACCCTCTACTGCCTCACTGTGGCCATGCCAGGCAATGCAAGCTTTTAAAGTTTGGCTTCTTCCTTTGGAATTATACATCCAATGGCTTTCATTTGTTTCACTGTAGTTTTATTTATTAATGCATTTTAATAAACATGTGAAATTTTAACAGAAATGAGAATTATTAATATCACTACTGAGACAGCACAGCAGGTATAGGAGTTAAACCGAGATTCTTTAGTTTATAGGGATGAAATTACTTTTAAAAATGGAAGCTGTAAGGTAGAGAGAAAAAAGGTGTCAGGGGGCCGGGCGCGGTGGCTCAGGCCTGTAATCCCAGCACTTTGGGATGCTGAGGTGGGCAGATCACCTGAGGTCAGGAGTTCAAGACCAGCCTGGCTAACATGGTGAAACCCCGTTTCTACTAAAAATACAAAAAATTAGCCGGGCATGGTGGCACGCACCTGTAATCCCAGCTACTCAGGAGGCTGAGGCAGGAGAATCGCTTGAACCCAGGAGGCGGAGGTTGCAGTGAGCCGAGATCGCGCCATTGCACTCCAGCTTGGGCAACAAGAGCAAAACTTCCAATTAAAAAAAAAAGTGTCAGGGCCTATTGCCTTGCTGACTGCAAAGTAATTTACTGTCACGAATCTTTTAAATTGGTCCAGTTATTCAAATTGCTTTAAGGAAGAAAAGAAAGACTTGAAACTTACATAACTGAGGTGTGCTCCTGAGGGTAAGAGATATACGGCGGTTAGGCGCTGGATAATGGAGTTGGAGTCCCCATCATTTAGAAAAGATGTTTCTTGATTCACAGTGTTGGTGATTTTCAAGCTTTGATCTGTAACCTGGAGAATGATTTAATTTAATCTTTGAGAAAAGCAACAATGTGTGGATTAATCTTATGATTGTAATGGGATGCCACTTAAGGGACAGTTCCGTGCCGGGGAGGAGAATTGCCTTAGCTCAGTTAATCTCACAGTTCCAAGGCGCAGCCTCACAGGCAGCGTGGTATAACCTAATCATGGAGTCAGCAGGCTCGGAAGTTAGGCAACTGAATTAAGTTCCACATCTGCTATTTATCAGCTGAGTAAACTGCAGCACATTACTCAATTTCTCAGAGCCTCACTTTTTCCTGTAAAATGTGAATAACAATAATATTATCTTCATAGGACTTTTGTGATGACAATGAGAACATTTAGGAAAAATATTTATCATAGCACTTAAAAGTAAGTGTTCAAAAATGGTAGCTGCTTGTATGTGGCAGGCAATGTTCTAAGTCCTTCGCGTATGTTAATTTCTGTAATCCTCATGATACTCCTATGAGTTAGCTACTATTATTATCATCCTCATTATATAGACACAGAAATCAAGGCCTAGAAAGTTTAAGTAAATTGCCCAAATTCAAAGAGCTAGCAAGTAGCTATGTCAGTTAGCCATTGCTACATAACATCAAACCATTCCAAACCATTCTCATATTACTGATGTGAGCACATCAGTGTAATCTTTCTTTCTTTCTTTCTTTTTTCTTTCTTTCTTTCTTTCTTTCTTTCTTTCTTTCTTTCGTTCTTTCTTTCTTTCTTTCTTCCTTCCTTCCTTTCTTTCTTCTTTCTTTCTTTTTTTCTTTCTTCTTTTCTTTTCTTTCTTTCTTTCTTTCTTCTTTTCTTTTCTTTCTTTTCTTTTCTCTCTTTCTTTCTTCTTTTTCTTTTTGAGACAGGGTCTCATTCTGTCACCCAGGCTGGAGTGCAGTGATCAATTCGACCCCATTGTCTTCTCACCAAGATCCAAGAAGGGCTTTTGGCAAGTAAAATGCAATTTATTCCTAAGCTTAGAGAAAATCTCTGCAGTCCCAGCGATCTTTCTTGTCAAAGGAAGGAAAGGTTAAGAACATTGCTTAATTCTAACATCTTGAGTGTGGGAAGGAGGGAGCCAGAGGGAAGGAGGAAGGTATCCTTACATTTCACCTTGGCCTTGGTTTCTCTCTCCATGTTCCCAGCCTGGAATTCGCATCCACTGCTGGGAGGGGTCTCTTCTGCTCTTGGTGATTCTGTCTTCAGAGTCTGGGCCTCTGAACCAGCAGCGACTGGGGTCTCTTTGTGGACAGACTGATCTCTCCTTCTGCCAGGACTGTTGTCAGACTCCACCTGTCTCTTGGGGCACCCCCCTCCTTGATACTCCTGGCTCCCATGGAACAAAACAATTCTGCAGAATGCCAACAATAATTGATGATGTTGTCCTATGACTACAGTGGAACAAGACAGAAATAAGGCCACTTCTTAATGAGGACTGAACACGAGGTGAAGAAAAGATGCCATACCACCATAAAAGTAACCAACACCCCCTCTCCTGGGTAACATGAGCCACCTGTTCCTTGAGCAGTGACAGTGCTAGCTACACTTTGTTCCTCCTGATTCCTAGATGATCATAATGAAGGCACCAAAGTGCTTCTGCTTCCTGACACCACCCAATTGAGAACAAACCTCTATTTCCTTAAACCCTTCCCCAAATCACCTGACAAAAAGCTCAAACCCTAAAATAAGTATCCTGATTCCCTTTTAGAAGATATCCTGGGGCTGGGTGGAATGGCTCACATCTATAATCTCAGTGCTTTGGGAGCACAAAGCTGGAGGATTGCTTGAAGCCAGGAGTTCAAAATCAGCCTGGGCAACACAGTGAGAACCCATCTCTACAAAAAATTTTAAAAATTAGCCGGGCATGGTGGTGCATGCCTCACAATGGGTCCTAGTTATTTGGGAGGCTGAGGCAGGAGGTTCACTTGAGCCCAGGAAGTTGAGGTTGCAATGAGCTATATGATCTATATGATTGTGCCACTGCACTCCAGCCTGGGTGGCACAGCAAGATCATGTCTCTTAAAAAAAAAAAAAAAAAGCAGGGCGCAGTGGCTCATGCCCATAATCCCAGCACTTTGGGAGGCTGAGGTGGGCGAATCACAAGGTCAGGAGTTCGAGACCAGCCTGGCCAACATGATGAAACCCTGTCTGTACTAAAAATACAGAAAAATTAGCTGGGCGTGGTGGCAGGCACCTGTAATCCTAGCTATTCGGGAGGCTGAGGCAGGAGAATCGCTTGAACCCAGGAGGCAGCAGTTGCAGTGAACCGAGATCACACCACTGCACTCCAGCCCAGGTGACAGTCCAAGACTCCATCTCAAAAAAAAAAAAAAAAATACTCTGCAGTTCCTGGGATGAGTCCTCCCTCGCTGTAGTTGGTAATACACTTGCCTTGGTTTCACTGTAGGTATGATTCTGCTCACTAGACTTTAACATATGTCATTATGACCAGAAAGGTCAGCATTCTCCAAGAGTTTTTACCAAATCATCTGTTCAGGACAAACTAACATCCACTGTTACCACTATGCTACCACCCTGGTCTGGGCCACCGTTGACTCTCAGCTGGATTATTGCAATAGCCTTCTAACGGATTTTCCAACTTCTCCCTTTGCTTTCAATCCCCAGATTCTTCTCAGCACAGGACTGATTAAGATCCTCTAAAAAAAAAGCCATGGAGATCATGTTACTCCTCTGCTCCAATACTCCAATGGCTACCATGTTGTTTAGTGTGGAAGCCAAAAGCCTTACAACGGGCCCTAAGGTCGCGCCTGACCTGAACCTCTGCTTATCAACTCCCCTCCCTCACTCTGCTCCAGCCTCACTGGCCTCCTTGCTGCTGCTTGTTCCCACCAGGCATGCTCCCACCTCAGGACCTGTGTGCTTGCTGTTTCCTCTGTCTGCTGTGTTCTTGGTGCAGACATCTGCATAGCCTGTTGCTGCATCTTCCGCAAGTCTTTGCTCAAACGTCACCTTCTGAACAAGACCCTTCCCGACTACTTTGTTTAATATCCCCATCCCCATCCTGGCACTTTTAACCCTCCTTATTCTATCTTAATATTTTCTGTAGATTTGTTGCCTACAATACACTACATGATTTACTTATTTTGTTCATTATCTTGCTTCAGTAAGAATGGGGGCAGGGGCTGGGCATGGTGGGTCACACCTGTAATCCCAGAACTTTGGGAGGCCGAGGTGGGTGGATAACTCGAGGTCAGGAGTTCGAGACCAGCCTGGCCAACATGGTGAAACCCTGTTTCTACTAAAAATACAAAAATTAGCCAGGCATGGTGGCTCATGCTTGTAATTCCAGCTACTTGGGAGGCTGGGGCACGAGAATCACTTGAACCTGGGAGGTGGAGGTTGTGGTGAGCCGAGATCACACCACTGCACTCCAGCCTGGGTGACAGAGCAAGACTCCATCTCAAAAAACTCACACCTGTAATCCCAGCACTTTGGGAGGCTGAGGTGGATGGATAATGAGGTCGGGAGTTTGAGACCAGCCTGACCAACGTGGTGAAACCCCATCTCTACTAAAAATACAAAAATTAGCTGGATGTGGTGGTGTGTGCCTGTAATCCCAGCTCCTCAGGAGGCTAAGGCAAGAGAATCGCTTGAACCCAGGAGACAGAGGTTTCAGTGAGCCAAGATCGCGCCACTGCACTCCAGCCTGGGTGACAGAGTGAGACTCCGTCTTGAAAAGAAAAAAAAAAAGAAAAGAATGGGGACAAGCTGTTTCTCTGTGATGTTCAGTGATATAGATCAAATCCTTAGAGCAAGTTACTTAACCACTTTATGCTTCAGTTTTCTTATCTGCAAAACGGAGACAAAAATAGTATATACATCATAAGGATAAGATTAAATAATTTAATACATATATAAAGTGTTCAGAACAGTTCCTGGACCATATTAAAGAGCTATGTAAATGTTTGTCATTATTAACAGAATCATCCACATTTTCATCACTCTTACTAATATCATTAGTTCTGGTAGCAAGGCAGCATAGGTCAAGATATAGAGGTAGAAGCATATGACATAATGTGACAAGGAACTGGAGGCTAGCACTGATGATGCCCATGAGGAGTAGGGACAGGCAGGGACTGTATTATAACCTGAAATCATGATATGTTGGGTTTTTCAACTGTTTATGATCTATTTCTGCCTATTAAGATGCAAGCTCCTAGAAGAACTCTGTGAGGAACTGGTGTGGTAAATCATTCTATGCCAGATATGCAGAATAGTCACTGGTAACATAGTCAGTGCTCAATAAGTTTTTTTTTTTTTTTTGAGACGGAGTCTTGCTCTGTCATCCAGGCTGGAGTGTAGTGGTACTATGTTGGCTCACTTCAACCTCCACCTCCCGGGTTCGAGCAATTCTCCTGCCTCAGCCTCCCGAGTAGCTGGGATTACAGGTGCACAACACCACACCTGGCTACTTTTTGTATTTTTAGTAGAGACGCGGTTTCACCATGTTGGCCAGGCTGGTCTTGAACTCCTGAACTCAGGTGATCTGCCTGCCTTGGCCTCCCAAAGTGCTGGGATTACAGGTGTGAGCCACCACGCCTGTCCAACAAGTATTAATTAAATGAATAATGGGTTAAGGATTTTTGAACTTTGTCCTGAAAATGATGGTGGGTCAATGATGCAGGGTGGAACAATGGATGAAGGGCTAGGAAGCAAGTCATCAATTTCTTGCTATAAATGATGACAAGGACTCGAATGGTCATCCCTTTGTAGATGAAAGCAAGAGACTTGGTGTTGGGATGAGGATGAGGGGTGGCCTCCGGGTGATGGTGCCATCTGTGGAGATGGAATAAGTGGGAGGAGGGGCAGATTTAGGAAAAGATGAGTATTTCCATTTGACACATATTCAAGATTTGTAGGTCTAAAGCTCAGCAGAGAGGCTGGGGTTAGAGAGCGAGGCCTGGGAATCCCTGGTGTATAAGGGGTGGTAGAGGCCCCGGGTCTGGATGGTGTGACACAGGTGGTCGTCAAGTGACCATGCACTACTTGTTGTTCACAAGTCCCAGGGCTTTGTCTCCCCAGCAAGACTGGGTATTCTTTGGGGATGGAAATACTTTCCACTACAGCACTAAGTACACAGTACACAGCTCATTGCTAGGAAGATAGTCAAGAACAGAACTTGTAGAGCAGAAAGGAACCTTCAAAACCAAGTTATAGGAGAGAACTGAGGCCCTACATGGTTAAATCACATGCCTGAGGTCACTCAGCTAAGCAGCCACAGAGCTGGCTGTAGGATCAGGTCTCCAGACTGCCAGTCCGGTACCCTTCTGAGAAGGCCGCACTGCCTCAGAGCTGTGAGTTGAGTGAGCTGAGAAAGGTGACAGGGCTTGGGCTTTGGGCTTACTTAGCTTCTATGAGCCTGCGTTTCATAATCAACAAGATTGTCAGGGGTTAACTGGGACCATGCTGCATGTAAAGCATTGTGTCTGGAACACAATAGGTGCTCAATATGTGTTTACTTTCCATTCCTTTCTTCCAAGAAGACCAGAATTTGCAATGACAAAGAAAGGATGCAAGAGTGATGGATGCAGTTGGCTGCTGCCACCTGAAAGGCTGCAAGACTGAGAGGTGAGTGACATGACCCCGGGCATCACATTCCTCATCAGCAGACAGAAAGTGGCTATTGCTTTCCTCCAGAAGGTGTGCAAGTAGAAGCTTTGCTCCTGGTGCCAGAGTGAGCCTGTGGCTGCTTTCCCTCCCACACTCCTCACTCCTTTCTTGGCTCCGCCCTGCTGACTCAGTGACGCAGCAGGAGGAAACTGCTCGGGCTGCAAGCAGTCTTCCAGGCTTTGCGGCTGCCAAAGGAATAATTGAGACGTCTGAGTTGAGCAGGTAAGGCAGGCAGAAGGAGGAAAGCTAGAAAACCTCGATAAGTCGATCCTGAAGAATTCTTGGGCTTTGGAGACTGGAGAGGCCAGGGGCTGGAGGACTTGGGAAGTGGGAGGGGAGCTCCCAGCCCTTGGCTGCCCGGAAGGATCTTCCTCCAGTGCCCTTCCAGAGTTCTGTCAGAGTCCACACGTCATTTATCCATGTCCTCAGTTTCTCAGGCATCTCTTTGCGACTTACTCAGGTCGCACAGAGAAAGTGAAATTGAAAGCAGGATTGTCTGTTGGAGTACTTCCGCAGGCTCGTCTCTTCTCTACTCTGATGCGTCACTCAGGGCTTCCTTGATATTTCCTCTCCTTCCCGGCTCCTTTGTTTATACCAGCCCACCTCACATCTGATTGTAATGGGGACGGTCTACACAAACACTTTGGTTCAAAGATTTCATTGCCTGGTGATCGTGTATGTGTTGCACAATTAATTAAACTTCTAAGAGGCTAATCAATTAACCTCTGAGGCTTTGAAACTGTCAGAGTGGTGAGATTGCTGAAAAAGGGTTGCTTCGTGAATTCTATAGCAGATGCAGTTATTTAAATATTCAGGTAACAGTTTCGGGCTGTCTGATGATTGAACTGGATCTGTAATTCTCAGATCTGATTGACAGTTGGACGAAATTGATAGCTGCCAGTTGCCTATTCGTGTAGTAGCTATATGCACATGTGTAGGGAGAATAGAATTCACTAAGCAATTTATTTTTTCATAACGGGATATAATTAGCTCTAACATTCATTGAGTGGCTAATATTTGCAACACTCCATACTTTAATGTACTTTACACACATGACTGTATTTATTTTTGTCTCCATTTCAGGAAATAGAAAATTGAGATTCAACAATCCAAGGTTACAGGAAGTAATAGTAAAAAATTACACAGCCACAAGCTCAAACTTAGATCTCCCTAAGGTCAGAGTACAAGCTCTTTTCACTACTGCAGATACTCCTTGACTTATGATGGGGTTACATACAGATAAACCCATCCTAAATTGAAAATATTGTAGGTCAAAAGCACATTTAATACACCTAATCTACTGAACGTCATAGCTTATCCTAGCTTACCTTAAATGTGCTCAGAACACTTACATTAGGCTACAGTTGGGCAAAATCATCTAGCTCAAAGCTTATTTTATAATAAAGTGTTAAATGTCTCATGTATTTATCGAATGCTATGCTGAAATAAAAAACAGAATGGTTGTATGTGTACTTGAAGTGTGGTTTCTACTGAATGTTTATTGCTTTTCCACCACTGCAAAGTCAAAAAATCATAAATCAAAGTCAAAAAACATAAGTCAGATATTGTCTGTACTTTAAATAGGGGCACAGGGTTGTACAAAGAGGACATGCACAGAGTCAGCAAACACAGTGATCAACCTTCCTGGTGACATAAGAAATGCAAAGGGAAAAAAAGCCAAGAAATATATTTTTCTTATTGAATGAGGGTTCTTCTTTTTTTATTGATAAATAATTGATGTGCATATTTTCATGGTCTTTTTTTTTTTTTTTTGGAAGCCACCTATCTCTGGTAAGAATATATTTATATGACATTGAAAGCAATTTGTTAATATAGGTTAAGAATCCTAAATACAATCATATCTTTTGAATAGTCATTAAATTCTTTGAAGTCTATCATATGAAATCTATCATAAGATCTATCGAAAGAAAATAAACTAAAATAAGCTGAATTTGCTGCAACATCATTTAGATTTTTTAAATTTTTAATTTTAAAAAACCCTTTAAAACTTATTTTTGAAAACCACTCAGTAATAGAGAAATGAAACAACTGTATGATTTCATATTACATAGTCATGAAAAATGTTTTACAAGACTTTGCAATAACACAGGAAATGACTTATAGTATGGTATTAAATGAAAGGAAGTAGGATACAGTTACTTACAGAGTATAATTCCAAATGTCTTAAAAAATATATAGAAATACACTAAAATATTAACATTGGCTGTTTCTGGGCATTGGGACTAGAGAAATAATTTTCTTATTTTGAATTTACATATATTTATAATATTCTGTAATTTAAAAGTTTTATAAGAAATAAATATATGTATTTAGAAAAAATGCTAATATAATTAATTTCTCTGATTCAAGTGTTTTCTCCCTATTGTAAAATTACAAAGCACCTCTCTTCGTTGCCAGGTGGAATGTCAGAAGACTGAGAACATTGTTCCTTCTTCATACTGCTGCTCTGTTGCCAGAGAATCCCAATTTACACTCAAAGCTTCTTTGATTAAGTGCTAGGAGATAAATTTGCATTTTCTCAAGGAAAAGGCTAAAAGTGGTAGCAGGTGGCATTTACCGTCATGGAGAGCAGGGATCATAACAACCCCCAGGAGGGACCCACGTCCTCCAGCGGTAGAAGGGCTGCAGTGGAAGACAATCACTTGCTGATTAAAGCTGTTCAAAACGAAGATGTTGACCTGGTCCAGCAATTGCTGGAAGGTGGAGCCAATGTTAATTTCCAGGAAGAGGAAGGGGGCTGGACACCTCTGCATAACGCAGTACAAATGAGCAGGGAGGACATTGTGGAACTTCTGCTTCGTCATGGTGCTGACCCTGTTCTGAGGAAGAAGAATGGGGCCACGCCTTTTATCCTCGCAGCGATTGCGGGGAGCGTGAAGCTGCTGAAACTTTTCCTTTCTAAAGGAGCAGATGTCAATGAGTGTGATTTTTATGGCTTCACAGCCTTCATGGAAGCCGCTGTGTATGGTAAGGTCAAAGCCCTAAAATTCCTTTATAAGAGAGGAGCAAATGTGAATTTGAGGCGAAAGACAAAGGAGGATCAAGAGCGGCTGAGGAAAGGAGGGGCCACAGCTCTCATGGACGCTGCTGAAAAAGGACACGTAGAGGTCTTGAAGATTCTCCTTGATGAGATGGGGGCAGATGTAAACGCCTGTGACAATATGGGCAGAAATGCCTTGATCCATGCTCTCCTGAGCTCTGACGATAGTGATGTGGAGGCTATTACGCATCTGCTGCTGGACCATGGGGCTGATGTCAATGTGAGGGGAGAAAGAGGGAAGACTCCCCTGATCCTGGCAGTGGAGAAGAAGCACTTGGGTTTGGTGCAGAGGCTTCTGGAGCAAGAGCACATAGAGATTAATGACACAGACAGTGATGGCAAAACAGCACTGCTGCTTGCTGTTGAACTCAAACTGAAGAAAATCGCCGAGTTGCTGTGCAAACGTGGAGCCAGTACAGATTGTGGGGATCTTGTTATGACAGCGAGGCGGAATTATGACCATTCCCTTGTGAAGGTTCTTCTCTCTCATGGAGCCAAAGAAGATTTTCACCCTCCTGCTGAAGACTGGAAGCCTCAGAGCTCACACTGGGGGGCAGCCCTGAAGGATCTCCACAGAATATACCGCCCTATGATTGGCAAACTCAAGTTCTTTATTGATGAAAAATACAAAATTGCTGATACTTCAGAAGGAGGCATCTACCTGGGGTTCTATGAGAAGCAAGAAGTAGCTGTGAAGACGTTCTGTGAGGGCAGCCCACGTGCACAGCGGGAAGTCTCTTGTCTGCAAAGCAGCCGAGAGAACAGTCACTTGGTGACATTCTATGGGAGTGAGAGCCACAGGGGCCACTTGTTTGTGTGTGTCACCCTCTGTGAGCAGACTCTGGAAGCGTGTTTGGATGTGCACAGAGGGGAAGATGTGGAAAATGAGGAAGATGAATTTGCCCGAAATGTCCTGTCATCTATATTTAAGGCTGTTCAAGAACTACACTTGTCCTGTGGATACACCCACCAGGATCTGCAACCACAAAACATCTTAATAGGTGAGTCCCCAATCCCCAATTCTCTCTTAGAAATTGTGGGATCTTTGTTTATGATAGGAAAAGTTTTTCATTGCAGAGAGGAAAGGCCTAGAGTAAATGTGGATGATTCAATTTGTGGATCATTATTACAACAAATTCATAATTACAGTGCAGTGTCTCCTGCTACCAATTATAACTGGGTTCTGTTAGTCTACATGAAGGTTGGTAGATGCCAACAGAATACCAGGCTAGCCTTAGATTGCCATTGGCAAAATAAACAGATGAAGGCATGTCATGGATCAAAGTAGCTCCAGAAATCTGAGAATCCTAGAGGTGAGTTCCTTCAGACAAGGTGGCAGTAACCATGAAACTTACTGACAAAATTGAGGTCAAAGTTGAGGATGTCAGGACAAGATGTGACGTAGTGAAGACACAGACTCCAAGGCAGAACAAGTCAGAATCCACTAGTCCAAGCCAAACAAAGGGAAGGAAAATAGCATTTTCTTTTAAATGTTAAAAGAAAAGCAAGGCTGACCGTAAAGTCCCAGGAAGCAATATGGTGCGGGGGAGCAAGCCAGGGCTTCAGCGATGATTAGGGTGGCTTGAAGCCTAGTCTCACTAGTTTGTAGTTTTGTAACCTCAGACAAGTCACTTGATACTGTGAGCCTCAGTTCCTCACTTGAGGCTGATAATGCCTCCTTCGTAAGTTTGTTATGAGGTCTAAGTGCAATGATGAAATAGTAAGTCATTTGGTACATCATAGGTGCTCAGGAAAGGCTGTTCTTGCCTGAAAGGTCTAAGCAGAGTACATACCTTATCCATAGACATGCACTGAGATTTAAGCTCAGTGTAAGGGAACAGCTCCTTTACAAATCTGTGCTTTCGGCCCCTGGAATTGCATGAACGAGGAGCTGGTTAAATTTGTCCTCATCCCTTCCTACCCCCTGGCCTGGAAAAAATA
Source organism: Homo sapiens (assembly GCF_000001405.40). Lineage (NCBI taxonomy): Eukaryota > Metazoa > Chordata > Mammalia > Primates > Hominidae > Homo > Homo sapiens. The sequence goes on along the minus strand of NC_000001.11, from coordinate 182,584,386 downwards.
AAATGTAAGTGCTGCTCTTGGCAGATACCTAACAGATCAAATGAAACAGTGCACATGGCAGTGTTTTGAGGGGTGAATGGCAAATACAGATATAAGGTTTATTATTGCCTTCCACAGAGATGATGATTTTTATAGCATGTTACATATTTATATAAATCAATTGACTCTCACTTTATGGAGAATGAGTATTTTCAATGTGCCTCTGCAAACTTTTCCTTAGATTCTAAGAAAGCTGCTCACCTGGCAGATTTTGATAAGAGCATCAAGTGGGCTGGAGATCCACAGGAAGTCAAGAGAGATCTAGAGGTAAATTCTACAATCCAGTTTACCTTTCTTCTTTCTGCTTCCTTATTCTTTCATGTAGTAGTCAGGGTTCTCTAGAGGGACAGAACTAGTAGGACATATGTATATATGAAAGGGAGTTTATTAAGGAGAATTGACTCACACGGTCACAACATAAAGTCCCATAATAAGCCATCTGCAAGTTGAGGAACAAGGAAGCCAGTGATGGGTCAGTCTGAGTACCAAAACCTCAAAAGTAGGGAAGCCGACAGTGCAGCCTTCAGTCTGTGGCCAAAGGCCTGAAAGCCCCTGGCAAACCACTGGTGTAAGTCCAAAACTCCATAAGCTGAAGAACTTGGATACTGATGTTTGAGGGCAGGAAGCATCCAGCACGGGAGAAAGATGAAGGCCAGAAGTCTTAGCAAGTTGTCTGCTCTTTCATTTTCTGCCTGCTTTATTTTAGCCATGCTGGCAGCTGATTAGATGGTGCCCACCGTGACTGAATGTGGGTCTGCCTCTCCCAGTCCACTGACTCAAATGTTGCTCTCCTTCGGCAACACCCTCACAGACACACCCAGTCACAATACTTTGTATCCTTCAACTCAATCAAGTTGACACTCAATATTAACCGTCACAGTTCATTACCTTATTTCCTATGGGCAATTGGAGGGCATTCTATTTTAACCAGGAAAAAAAGAATGTTCAAGGCTTTCCCCATCTTGCTCACTGTCCTGACTCCCCTGTAGGCCATGGCATTTCCTTGGGCTTCTCCCGCAGCAGAGCTTTCAAGATGACAATGGGAAGGTGCAACAGCTTGGGTCGGTGTGGAGTTGGCTGTCACTGTGGACCCTTACTGTATCTCTTTGAATCTCTCTTCCTCCACTACCTTAATAAGTAAATAAACTGAGCATGCCACATCTTCTCTCCAGGAGAGAATTTCAAATATCTCCAATATTCATTGAGGAGTTATTTTTCTACCTAGGAACAAAGTAAGTGAGGTTTCTTTCACCACAAACTCAAACTCGTGGGCTACACTCTGCAGAAGGCTGGATACTAAGGTTCTCTGAAAACTCCTGGGAGGAGTGAGGTCAATTCCCAGCTTGAAAGAACCTAAGCTTGGCCAAAAAGATGAGGACTCTGAAATAGCTGTTGCTCCTGAGGGGACATGGAGATTGGCCGCTGTAGACCAAAGCCCCCAGGCTGATTCTGACCCTGTCAGGGTAGGTCTTTCCTGGAGAGTTTTACAGGGTGCTGCACTTTCAACCCAGTGGGTGAGACTCTCCACCCATATGTCTGGCCTCCTGGTTTGGTGGCATCAGATTTCAGCTCCCTCCTTGACTGGTGGCTAGTGCAAAGAGTTCCTTAGGCGACCTTCTTCTTGGCCTTTCCTCCTGGCCACGGCCTAATCCCTGGGGTCATCACTTTGCCTCTCCTGGCCTGGACTGACTTTTTTATTTGCTGCGTGACATAGCCTCAGACCCAAAGTCCCAGTTTCCAGCCAGGCTGTCAGTTCTCCCTGTGTTTAAAGCATTCTCCCTTTCCTCAATTTATCTATATTCTGTCCATACATTTGAGGCCCAGCTCAAATCTCTCTTCCTCCAAGCAGTCTGCCCTAACAACTGTGACTTATATGTATCTTTTACTCTTCATAAAACTAAGTGGTATGGGCGATATACTGCCTTGAAGAGGTCTGTATGCACACATCTGTGCCTTCCCTCCCTAACAAGCCTACAAATTCCTTGAGATTCCTCCCATCATCTTGTTTGCTAATAGCGTGCACCACTCCTTCCAGGGTTACCCAAATAATTAGTAAGCATCTTTGGCTTGATTTATGGCTTTTGTGCAGGACCTTGGACGGCTGGTCCTCTATGTGGTAAAGAAGGGAAGCATCTCATTTGAGGATCTGAAAGCTCAAAGTAATGAAGAGGTGGTTCAACTTTCTCCAGATGAGGAAACTAAGGACCTCATTCATCGTCTCTTCCATCCTGGGGAACATGTGAGGGACTGTCTGAGTGACCTGCTGGGTCATCCCTTCTTTTGGACTTGGGAGAGGTAAGTAAAACTTTGTGCAGATGCCACAGGCCTCCAGGATGGAAAGGGTAAGGTGGTGCAGACAGAAGTCTGGGCTGCAAATCAGGAGACCCAGGCTTTTTTCTTAGCTTGGGATTTACTGGCTGTGTGTCCTTGGAGAGATGACTTAACCTCTCTGGAGTCTGCTTTTCATTTCTGAAGAATAAGGAGGGGAAAAAAAGAGATGCTTGCCTCTCCTATCATGCAGAATTTTTGAAGACATGGTTGTATTACTTTTATTAAAAACCAAAATCTAGCCAGGCGCGGTGGCTCACGCCTGTAATCCCAGCACTTTGGGAGGCCGAGGCGGGTGGATCATGAGGTCAGGAGTTCCAGACCAGCCTGGTCAGCATGGTGAAACCCCGTCTCTACTAAAAATACAAAAGTTAGCCGAGTGTGGTGGCAGGTGCCTGTAATGTCACCTACTTGGGAAGCTGAGGCAGGAGAATTGCTTGAACCCGGGAGGTGGAGGTTGCAGTGAGCCAAGATTGCGCTACTGCACTCCAGCTTGGGGGACAGAGCGAGACTCCATCTCAAAAAAAAAAAAAAAAAAAAAAAAAAGAAAGAAAAACCAAGAAAGCACAAAAAACACCAAAATCTAACGGTTTTCTTTTTCTGGAAAAGGAAAGGGAGGGATGGGATGATCATGATCATTTAGATCATTTAGTCATCTTCAGCCGCTATAGGACGCTTCGGAATGTGGGAAATGAATCCGACATCAAAACACGAAAATCTGAAAGTGAGATCCTCAGACTACTGCAACCTGGGCCTTCTGAACATTCCAAAAGTTTTGACAAGTGGACGACTAAGGTATGAACAATTCCTATAGTGCAGGGGTTAGTCCAGGAATAAGAATTTGTGTAATGTTTTATGTTAGTTTTTCTATCTTATTTTACACCAGTGGCAAACCAGAGGCTCAAAGAGGTGATTTTGCCTCCTGCCCTCCCATCCCTATCCCCCTAGGCTCCCTGCCGGGGTGTCTACTTCTACTTTCAGAAGCTGGCCCTCCCTCTCTCCCATTCAGACCCATGCCCCTCTGATAGACTGTTATTCAGGCTCCCCCTGGATGGCCTTATCCCAGCCCATGAGCCTTTCCCTCACTTAGCTGATAATCCTATTGCCATTATGGCACGAGCAGCTGACTAAATAGAGCTTAATCCAAGGGAAGTGCTTCACCATGAGGTGTTTCAGTCCAGGTACAGCCTGGCTGCCTCCACTGCCTGTAAACAGCCCAGCTCTCAGGATCCACACACAGACCTACATTCTGCCTGAGGAAATAGACTATGAAGGAAAGATGATCTTTCAAATTGCTCTCTTTAAGAAAAGTTCCACCTAACTTGCATTAATTATAGTGGAACTCTACAAAATTAGTCATCATCTCAATCTAGTCAGTACTGTCAGAACTTTCATTATTAATTAACAAACATCTATACAATACCAATTATGTGCTAGGCCCATGCAAGGCCTTGAGCATACAAAGCAGAATACAATGTGTCCCTGTGGGGCTGAGAAGCCCATGGAAATGATGCTGTGGGATGTGTGCTGGGCATCCCAGGGACATGTGCAAAGCACTATGGGAGAACCCATAATCTTCAGGTCTTGGAAACCAACAGCTTCCTATCCTAGACCTGACCTGGGACTCTGCTTCTCCTAATTCTTGTTTTGCTTTCCTTCCCTCACTGGTCTCTAGACTGCACATCACACTCATAATTACTGGCTTACGGTCCATTTTCCTTGCTAGACTGTAAGTTCCATGAAGGCAGAGACTACCCATTGTCTTGTCAGTTATTGTATCCCTGGCATGGAGTAGATGTGCCATGACTCTTTACTAAATGAATGTCTATCAAACTTTGGCTAAAATTTTAACTTGTAGAAACAAAGAAATTTGAAAGCAGCTATGATAGTGATAGCTAATGATTACGTAGTATCATTATGATTATGTGGCAGCCATAGTTCTTGAGACTTTACATGAGTTACCACATTTAATCTTTAGCACAACTTCTGAGACAATCATCTATATTTTGCAGATGAGCAAGCTGAGGCACAGACAAATAATTTTTCCAACTACACAGAACCAGTAAGGGGTGCACCAGGATTTGAAGCTGGGAAGGATGGCTGCAGAGGCCATGTGCTTAAGCCACACCACTACATGAAGCTGTGATGGCATCAAGTCTACCAACTCATTTACTCACTGAGGAAATTGAGGCTCAGAGACCACACTCAAATTACTCATGCTGGACAGTCAGAGATTGGCAGACCTGGAAAGAGGAACTTGTTCTTTTATTTCCCAATTTATTGGTTCTTTTCCCTAAATTCCATGGGCTTATATTGAATTTTGATAGTCTTCAGGTTTTAACTTCAAGTTTTACCTTTTAATTCCCATTTTACACTTTGTTTTTCTGTTGACTTGCCCATTTTCATGGTCACACAATTAATTTTGTCAGCATAGGTCTGGAGCCCAAGTTTTCCAGCTTGTATGACTGTATTGGTTCTTGACTTGCCCCATCCTGCCACACATACGTGCTTGGCGTTTCTCACGGGTGTTCTGCACAGAGTGCACCTGGCCAGTCTCAGCAGCATCCTCACTAGCATTGCTCTTTCATCAGTTACTCTTCCTAAGTGACCCACTGGATTCTTGACTGTTGCATCTTGATCTCGTAGCCCAAACTCTTTCTAAATATGAGAGCCATCTATGGCTCTGTATCTATGAGGGTGACAAGCACAGACAAAGAGGATGACATTACTGTGATATGAAAGGAGTTGCCCTGGGACACCTGCAGGCAAGGAGAAGCAAGTAACCTTGTTTAAAATATAAATTTTAGAGGGTACTAGTATAGTTTTGTTACATGGATATATTGTGTAGTGGTAAAGTTGGGCTTTTAGTGTAACCATTACCTGAATAACGCACATTGTACCCATTAAGTAATTTCTCATCCCTCTCCCTCCAACCCTCCCACCTTTCCAAGTCTCCAATTATATTATTCCACTCTGTACATCCATGTGTACACATTATTGAGCTCCCACTTATAAGAGAGAACATGTGATATTTGACTTTCTGTTTGTAAGTCATTTCACTTAAAATAATGGCCTCCAGTTCCGTCCATGTGGCCACAAAAGACATGATTTCATTCTTCTTTTTTATGGCTGAAATGGCCCAGACACATTTTCTTTATCCAATCATCTGTTGATGGACACTTAGGTGGATTCCATATCTTTGCTATTGTGAATAGTGCTGTAGTAAACATATGAGTGCCGGTATCTTTTTGATATAAGATTTCTTGGGCTGAGTGCAGTGGCTCACACCTGTAATCCCAGCACTTTGGGAGGCCGAGATGGGTGGATCATTTGAGGTCAGGAGTTTAAGACCAGCCTGGCCAACATGGCAAAACCCTGTCTCTACTAAAAATACAAAACTTAGCCAAGCATTGTGGCACACGTCTGTAATCCCAGCTACTTGGGCGGCTGAGGCATGAGAATTGCTTCAGCCTGTGAAGCAGAGGTTACAGCT